>NT_187693.1:355600-711200 GCF_000001405.40 Homo sapiens | reverse complement strand
ATTCCCTTCTTCTGGCTCATTCTGTGTGTGTGTTCATGTCTTTGCTTTTTGATTTCCCTGATTTCACTCCGTGTCTCTCTGTGGGCTTTTGTTCTCAGTAATCCTATAACATGTGGTGCTATTTGAATATGAGCCTCAGAATCCAGTATGGGGACTCCAGGAACTCACAACATACAGGGGTTGGTGTTCTGCTCCCTCACCTGGGGCCATGGTGTCCTGCGACGACGACAGCTCCACTGCACGGAAGGCAGAGGTTTAAGAATAAACACAGCATCTGTAGGTGCCACCAGCCTGGGGCCACACGGCCCAACTCAGGCCAGATAGATGTGTCTCTTTGGGTTCTCCTGGGAGAGAACACTTTGTAGAGGTAAAACAGAATGGAACCTTCTAACCTGTGCCTGGTCTCTGAACAAAGTCAGCATAGAAGGACACCTCTCTCTGGGATATATCTGTCTCTCTGTGTCTTCTTTACCTCTTTATCTCTTTTTCTAACACCTTGTATGGCCCCTGTGTCTGGCTTCTATGTTATGACATGAGGTCTGTACTTGTGTCTCCTGTTTCTCTGCCTTTGTTGGTACAGACCTCACCAAGTCACTTTCTCTCCATAGGAACCCCACACTCATCTTCCTCATGACCACCTGGGGCTTCCAGTCCTAGATCATTCACTCCATCTCCCAGCAAGGGTGAGAGGCAGGTCTGTATTCTCTCACCTACGACCACGATGTCCAGAGGGTCACTGGGAGCCGACAACTCATAGGGTAAGTGAGTGACAGAACCAAAGCATCTGTAGGTCCCTGCAAGGGCAGGTGTCATGGGACCCATGGAATAGTTGACCTGGGAACCCGCATCGTGGAGCTGTCCAACGAGGCGCAAGGGGTCCTCAGTGATCCCCTCTCTGTGCAGAAGGAAGCGCTCAAACCTGACATCTGACCAACATTGCAGGATGACCGTCTCTCCCGATTTCACCAGGGGACCTGGGTGGGCCAGGAGGGAAGGTTTTCTGTGGACTCCTAAGAAGAGAGGTTGTGAGTTCAGAAGGCGTCTCCCTTTCTCATCCCATTCATGGGACCTGAAATAAGTGAGGCTTCCCCTCCATGGTGTCTATCTCTCTCCTTCCTCTCTGTGTCTCCGTGTTCTTTTGTGCCCATAACCCCTGTTGCAGGTCCCTCCATCTGTCTCCCTCCCTCTTCCCTGTCTCTCTGTCTCTAGTAGCCCTGATTCCCTTCCCACTGTGCTCAGTGTCACCTCTTATGCTGTTGTATCTGTTTCCCACTAATCTCTTTCCTGGTGTTTATGTGGGGGTGGAAGAGGAACCACGACAGGCTGCATGTCCAGGCTCTTAGCAGCCTGAATCAATCTCTTTTGGACAGATTGGAAAGGCTGGCAGGAGGTACGAACTCATCAGTAAGGCAGGCATCAGTGTCCCTGTTCCTGATGGGGATTGGGAGCCTCTCCTGTCATGTCTGTGCCTTCTCCATGGCCCCAGCTTCCATAGGGTGGCCCCTGGTGCTGGTTCCAGGAGCATCAACCCCTCCCTATGTGGATCGAGCCTGGTGGTAGCATCAGTATCCCACCCATGCTAAAATCAGTGTAGCCAACCTTCTCCTTGTTTGGTTTCTTAACTTGTGCTTCACCTGGGTTCCTGTGTTGGTTTCCTGTTGCTGCTGGAGAAAATTGTCACAAACATGGGGCAGGAGAGAATACAATGACCCCTTCCACTTCTGGAGAACAGAAATCGGACCCAGTTCTCTCTGGGCTAAAATCAAGGCATCTACAGGGCTGTGTTTCCTCTGGAGACTCAGGGAAGAATCAGTTCCCTTGACTTCTCCAGCCCTTAGAGGCCAACTGCCTTTGTGGCTCATGGCCTTCCCCCATCTTCAAAGCCCGCTGTGGCTGATGGAGTCTCCCTCCCACGACGTTGCTCTAACCCCACTTTCCTCTTCCTCCTCCTCTCATGAGGACCCTTGTGATTACTCTGAGCACAGCAGGACAGTCCAGGCTGTCTCCCCATCGCAAGGTCAACCCATCAACAACCTGAGCTCCATCTTCCCCTTCAGTCCCCTGCCCTATGACATAAATAGTCACAGGGTTCATGGATTACCATGTAGCCATCACTGGGGACAATTATTCTTCCCACCACAGCAACTATTTCTCTGTACTGAATCCCCCTTTACCCCAAATACAGTCTGGGCCTGGATGATTGGACCCTGATGGACGCCCCCACCAGAAGCTCTGGGATTCAGGAGGTGGGACAGTGAGAAGCCCAGACAGAAAGCCTCTGACCTGTGACCATGATCACCACAGGGTTGCTGGGTGCCGACCACCCAGTGGGGGAGTGTGGGTGTGAACTGCAACATCTGTAGGTCCCTGCATGTGCTGGGGTCACAGGGCCCATGAGAAAGCTGTTCCGGAATATTCTGTTGTAGAGCTCAGGGACAGGCATCCCGTCTTCTTTGGACAGACTGAATTCGTTAAACCCAAGACGAGAGCGACACTGAAGAGTCACATGTTGTCCTTCAGACACCACAGTGCCGGGCCAGGCAGAGAGGAAGGGCTTGTCCTGACCACCTGGGGGAGAAGGAGGCACTACCTTAGAGAGGAGGATGTGGAGCCGCCCCTCCCTCCCTGTGCTCAGAAGATTCTCCCATTTCCACGTTTCTAAGGCTCCTACCACACCTGGGTGCCCAGGGCTACAGGAAGGACCCATCCCGCATAGACATGGCGTCTCCCTACAGCAAGTGTCAGCTGAGAACTTTGAGCAGGTGCTGAAGAAGCGACTCTTACTAGATTTTAACACTGCAAAATTACTTACATAAAAGAACACAAGGTAGACACAGGATGGAGGGCATGATCAGCTAATGCATGAACCATAATAAACAACTGAGCCCCTATTAGAAGATCTGGAATGTCAGGGTCATGACTGTGGTTCCCCCACCTCTTAGGTAGAATGACAGCAGCCACATTGCAGCCCCTACCGTCATGGAAACGCTGGAGGGTGTGAGTTATGCTCTTGTCCTCAGAGGCCTGTTGTTCCTTGCACTGCTTCTCTCCCTTCCTCTGCCGGTGACACCACTTCCTCCCTGCACACCACTCCTTTGAGCACTTCAGTCTCCCCCTGGGTCCCCACAGACTCAGCCAAGGGAAAGAAAGGCCGGGGAGGGCTAGGACAGAACTGTGGCGAAGCTTCCCCTGGCTTCCTTTTCCTAGTTCATGAGAGATTCCCACATGGCTTCCCATGGTCAGCCCATCAGTCAACCCCCTGTGTCGCCTGCCTCCCGTTTCAGGAACATCATCTTATGTGGGGAGATGACAACCTAAGGTTTGGGGGAAGGACTCACCCACATGTGGCCAGGGCCCCTCCAGCAAGAAGAACCCTGGAAAGAAAGATCATGATGGATGATCCATCTGTACATCACCTCCAGGCCCATATCTCCACTCCAGGCCCATATCTCCACCTCCGTCCTATATCTCTACTCCAGGCCCATATCTCCACTCCAGGCCTATATCTCCACCTCTGTCCTATATCTCTACTCCAGGCCCATATCTACACTCCAGGCCCATATCTCCACCTCCAGGCCTGTATCTCCACCTCCAGGCCCGTGTCTCCATTCCAGGCCCATATCTGCACTCCAAGCCAACATCTCCACTCCAGGCCCATATCTCTACTCCAGGCCCATATCTACAGTTCCAGGCCCATATCTCCACCTCCAGGCCCATATCTCCACTCTAGGCCCATATCTCCACCTCCAGGCCCGTATCTCAATTCCAGGTCCATATCTGCACTCCAAGCCAATATCTCCACTCCAGGCCCATATCTACAGTTCCAGGCCCATATCTCTACTCCAGGCCCATATCTCTACTTCAGGCCCATATCTACAGTTCCAGGCCCATATCTCCACTCCAGGCCCATATCTCCACCCCAGGCCCATATCTCCACTCCAGGCCTATATCTCCACTCCAGGCCCATATCTCCACTCCAGGCCCATATCTCCACTCCAGGCCCAGATCTCCACCCCACCGCTCCCTCCCTCGATTCCCTTCCAGGACTCACCAACACACGCCATGCTGACGACCATGAGCGACATGGTGCTGCCGGTGCAGACAGGCGGCTGCGCCCCAGCTCAGTTCAGCAGCACACAGGATGTTGTGAGGGGCTCATGCAGTTTACATGCTGACCACATCATGGGAGGATGACGTATGCAGGCTATTTCTACCTTGCATGAGGCCCAGTGGCTGTTTGGTCAAGAGCAGAACATGGCTTCCTGGAAATTGTTCCAACTAGAATTGACACCTTGCATCCTTCACTATAACCAACTCAAAACACGTCTCAGATCCAATCTCTCATACAGGAGATGACTGAATGCTTGGCTTACATTAAAGACTTTTGATGTATTTTTGTTGTTTTTATCTGAGATTCAAACTCTTCTTCATGTGCTATTTTCCCCAGGCTGTTCTTTGACTTCAGAGTTCAAGCAATCCTCCTGCCCCAGCATTTCTAGCAGCTGGCAGTATGTCACAATCTGCCACACCCAAGTCACAACTTTTAGAACTTTTTTTTTTTTTGAGACGCAATCTCACTTCGTCACCCAGTTTGGAATGCAGTGGTGAGACCTCGGCTCATTGCAGCCTCCACCTCCCAGGTTCACGCAATTCTCGTGCCTCAGCCTCCTAAGTAGCTGGATTTACAGGCACCCACCACCACGCCCACCTAATTTTTGTACTTTTAGTAGAGAGGAGGTTTCTCCATGTTGGCCAGGCTGGTCTTGAACTCCTAACCTCAAGTGATCTGTCTACTTCAGCCTCCCAAAGTGCTGAGATTACAGGTGTGAGCCACCATGCCTGGCCGGGACATTCTATATGTGTGCGTATGTGTGCATTTATATACATATGGTTATACACACACACACACACACACACACACACCCTAAGCACTCACATATATAGTTGTTTCAAATTTTAAAAAATATAAATTTTGTATTTTTCTTTCTTTTTCTCACATTTGTGTTTCTATGACACCATATACATATTGAATTTTATAGCTCTATTTTATTCTTTTGGATTGCAGTTTAATAGTCCATGCATAACTTTATCAACATGTAATTATCCATTCTTTTTATCATGGACATTTGTGTTGTTTCCGGATTTTCTCTTTTATAACTCGGGCCTTGATAATCGTGTTTCTGTGTGATCCCTTGCATACATATGCTGAATTAATTAGACATATTTACCTAGAAATGAAATTATTGGTTTTGGGTGCAAGTTGGTGTTGAGCTTAACCAGGAAGTGCCAAAATATTTCCATCATGACCAAATGTGGCCTGGAAAGTTTTTTGGGGTCAATTTTCCTGTTTCTTCTAAGGAACAAAATTGATGTCACTGATTTTTCTGTCCTGTTTGTCATTTATGAATGTATGTACATATGCACGTATATATTTGCTTGCCATTTTATGTTTTTCCTCGACGTTACTTTGGAATTAATTTGCTGATGTGTAGTATTTCTGCAAGTGAAAGTTACCTATTTACTCAGCTCTTCCTTCTTTTCTAACACAGACATTTGAGGCTTATTGTCCCTTAACGCTGTTCTATCTGTATCCCCAGTCATTTGCCGAGATGTGTTTTCATTTTTAATTGATACAAAATATTTTCCACCTTTCTTTGAAATGTTTTTCTTCCACTCATTGTTTATTGCTATGTGTGTTTATTAATTTTAAAATATTTGATAATTTCCCCAGCATTTCCTTGTTGTACATTTATAATTTAATTCAACTGTTTCATCTATCATATTACCTATGATTCAGCATTTAAAAATTTATTTTGGTGAATGTTCCAGGGGTGCTAGACAAGTTTGTGGATTAGGAAGATTTGAGGTGGATGCTTTCTAAATGTCAGTTAAGAAAAAAATCATTCAAATGTTTTTCTTTATTTAAAAAAAATAGAGACGGGGTCTCACTATGGTGCCCAGGCTGGTCTCAAACTCCTGGCCTCAAGTGATCCTCCCATTTTGGCCTCCCAAAGTGCTAGGATTATTGAAATTATTAAATGTTTCATATCAACACCCAACCTTATGCACCCGCCGCCTACACAAATGTTTTTCAAGTCTTTCATATGCTTAATAATTTTCTGTGTACTTGTTCTGGAAGTGAGGTGAATGTTGCTATCTCTAGCTGCAATTTGGATGTGATTGATTATGTTTTGAATTATGCCTTTAATTTAATGTGTTTTGAGGTTCCAGCTTTAGGTGTGTAGGCATTTAGGATGATTATGTCTTATTTATGAATTTGCCTCTTTGTCATTATGAAGTACTCCTCTTCATATCTCCATATATCTCTTCTTTGTATGTGCATGGTGAAATATTTCATTCTTTGAGTTAAGAAACTTCTATTGAGGAATACTTTTTATTACAAACATTTACCTATTCTATGTATACAACTGACTAGAAGCATATTTTGCACTGGGCATTATCATGACAAGGTAATGTCATTCTTTCAATATTTACATCTTGTGGATTAGTATTTGAAGTGCAGCTTATGTAGACAGCATAAGGTTGGGTGTTGATATGAAACATTTAATAATTGCACACGTATTTGCCTCTTGGGATACTTCCACTTTTTTGAATTTCAAGTTACTAAATGGTATCATTAATCTTTGCTTCAAGAGCTTAACATTTATTGTAGAACAATGCTTCATGTAATAAATTGTGAGACATTTTTAATGGCACCTTTATTGCAGGAAAATGTTTTCCTTTTCAGGTTGAAAGATTCTAGTTTGAAATATTTTCTTGTAGCACTTTAAAAATGTTGGTCCACCTGTTTCTTACTTTCATAGTTTTGAATACAAAGTTTGCTGTCATTCTTGTATTTCTTCTTCTGTTTTTTATTTATTTATTTTTGACAGAATATCTTGCCGTCTCACCCAGGCTGGAGTGCAGTGGCATGATCTTGGCTCACTGCAACCTCTGCCTTCCAGGTTTCAGCAATTCCTGCCTCAGCCTCCTGAGTAGCTGGGACTACAGGCATGCGCCACCATACCCAGCCAATTTTTTTTTTTGTATTTTTTTTTTGTAGAGATGAAGTTTTGCCATATTGGCCAGAACTCCTGACCTCAAATGATCCACCTGCTTTGGCCTCCCAAAGTGCTGGGATTACAGGTGTGAGCCACTGTGCTCAGGCTATTTATTCCTTTTTATATAATATGAATTCACATTCATACATACCAGGGGTTAGGATTTCAACAAACGTTTCTGGGGGAGACCACTCAAAACACAGCACTCATCCTTGGTTATTTCCAGCCATGGAGCCTGTATCAATATCCTGGTGAATTATCTAAGCTGTCCACCTACCTACCCCAAATCCTCATGGTCACATAAAAGGCTAGTATAGTATAATAATTTTTCTTTCCCTGCTTATCTACAGTGATGAAGAAACGAATATTCAAAGGGAAAAATCTTAGCTTTAGGTATAGGGTAATTCTTCTTCCTATTTTTAAATAACTTCAACCTTTACTGTAGATTAAAGGTATGCATGCAGGTTTGTTACATAGGCATATTGTGTGACTCTGAGGTTTGTGGTTCCAACAATGCCATCACCCAGGCAATGAGCATAGAATCCAACAGGTGTTTCTTCAGCCTATACCTCCCTACTCCTCCCCCCATCTGTAGTCCTCGGTATCTGTTGTTTCCATCTTTATGTTCATGTGTATTCAATGTTTGGTTCTCAGTTATAAGTGATAACATGTGGTATTTGGTTTTCTGTTCCTGGGTTAGTTCACTTAGGAGATTGACCTCCTGCTACATTCATGTTGCTGCAAAGGACATGATTTCATTATTTTTTATGGCCATGTAATGTTCCATGTGTATATGTAGCACATTTTCTTTAACTAATCCACTGTTGGTGAGCACTTAGGTTGACTGCAAATCTTTGCTATTCTGAATTGCACAGCAATGAATATACTAGTGCATGTGTCTTTTTGACATAGTTAATTACCTTCCTTTTGGTATATACCCAGTAGTGGGATTGCTTGATTGAATAGTAGTTCTATTTTAAGTTATTTGAGAAGTCTCCAAACTGCTTATCACATTGGCTGAACTAGTTAACATTCCCACCAAGAGTGTATAAGTGTTCCCTTTTCTCCACAATCTTGTCAGCATCTGTTATTAAAAAAAACAAAAAACTTTTTAGTAATTGCTTCTGCTTCTCTGATTGTTGTGAGATGGTATCTCACTGTGGTTTTAATTTGCATTTCTCTGATGATTACTGATAATAAGCATTTGTTCATATGTTTTTTGGCCATGTGTACATCTTCTTTTGAGAAGTGTCTGTTCATGTCATACTTAATTGAGGTTTTTTGGTTTTCTGCTTGTTGATTTGTTTACATTCCTTATAGATTCTGGATATTAGAACTTTGTCAGATGCATAGTTTGCAAATATTTTCTCCCAGTCTGTAGGTTATCTGTTTACTCTGTTGATACTTTCGTTTGCTGTGCAGAAGCTCTTCAGTTGAGTTAGGTCCCAATTTCTGTCTTTGTCACAATTGGTTTTGGGGAGTTAGCCATAAATTCTTTGCCAAAGTCTATCTTGAGAAGGATATTTCCTAGGTTTTCTTCTAGAATTTTAATATTTTGAGGTTTTACATTTAAATCTTTAAACTATCTTGGGTTAATTTTTGTATATAGTGAGAGTTAGGGGTCCAGTTCTATTATTTTGCATATGAGTAGTCAGTTATCCCAGAACTATTTATTGAAGAAAGGGTACTTTCCACATTGCTTGTTTTTGTCAATTTTTTCAAAGATGATTGTAGGTATGTAGCCTCATTTCTGGGTTCTCTATTCTGTCTCATTGGTCTATGTGTCTGTTTTTGTAGTAGTATCATGCTGTTTGGGTTACTATAGCATTGTAGTATAGTTTGAAGTTGGGTAATGTGATGCCTGGGCTTTGTTCTTTGTGCTTAGGATTCCTATGTGTATTCAGGCTCTTTTTTTGGTGCCAAATACATTTTAGAATAAATTTTTATAATTTCGTGAAAAATGACATTGCATTTTGAAATGGATAGCATTGACTCTGCAATTTGTTTTTGGAAGTATGGCGATTTTAACTATTTGTTCTCCTAATTCATGAGCATGGAATATTCTTCCATTTGTTTGTATCATTTCTTATTTCTTTCAGAAGTGTTTTGTAGTTCTCCTTGTAGAGAATTTTCACCTTCTTGGTTAGATGGATTCCTAGGTATTTTATTTTCTTTGTGGCTAGTGTAAATGGAATTGTGTTCTTGATTTAGTTCTCAGCTAGAATGTTAGTGGTGCATAGAAATGTTACTAATTTGTGTACATTTTTTTAATCCCGAAACTTTATTGAATTTGTTTATCAGTTTCAGGAGCCTTCTGACAGAGTCTTTAGGGTTTTCTATGTATAAAATTATTTCATCAGCAAAGAGAGACAGTATCACTACTTCTTTTCCAATTTTAATGCCTTTTATTTCCTTCTCTTGCCTGATTGCTTTGGCTAGGACTTCCAGTACCATGTTGAATTAAAATGGCGGGAGTGGTCATCCTGGTCTTGTTTCGGTTCTCAAGGGGTATGGTTCCAGCTTTTGCCCATCAATATGATGTTGGCTGTGGGTTTGTCATAGATGGCTCTTAATATTTTGAGGTATGTTCCTTTGATGCCTATTGACAGTTTTTATCATGAAGGGATGTTGGATTTTACAGAAAGCTTTTTTTGCATCTATTGAGATGATCATATAGTTTTTGTTTTTAATTATGTTTATGAGGTGAATCACATTCGTTGACTTTGTAGGTTGAACCAACCTTGCATCCCAAAAATAAAGCTTACTTGATCATGTGAATTAACTTTTGATGCACTGACAGATTCAATTTGCTAGCATTTTGTTGAGGATTTTATGTCTATGTTCATTAAGGATATTTAGTTGTAGTTTTCTTTTTTTCATTATGTCTCTGACAGATGTTGGTATCATGGTGATGATGGCTTCATAGAATGAGTTAGGAAGAAGCCCCCACTCCTTGATTTTTTCCAAAAGTTTCAGTAAGATCGGTATCAGTTCTTCTTTGTATGGCTGTTGGATTTTGGCTGTGAATCCGTCTGGTCCTGGGCTATTTTTAGTTAGTAGGGTTTTTATTACTGATTAAATTTCTGAACTTGTTATTGGTCTGTTCAGGTTTTCACTTTCTTCCTGGTTGAAATATGATAAATTTTGTGTTACCAGGAATTTATCCATTTCTTCTAGGTTTTCTAGCTTGTTTGTATAGAGGTGTTCATAATAGTCTTTGACGATCTTTTCTATTTCTGTGGGATTGTTCGTAACATTGTTTTGTCAGTTCTATTTGTGTTTATTTGGATCTTTTCTCTTTTTCTTTGTTAATCTAGCTAACAGTCTATGAATTTTGTTTATTTTTTTTCAAAGAAAAACTCTTGGTTTTATTTATCTCTTGTATGGACTTTTTGGTCTCAATTTATTCAGTTCTCTCTGACTTTAGTTATTTCTCATCTTTTGCTGGCCTTGGGTTTGGACTGTTCCTTTTTTTTAATAGTTCCTCTAGATGCAGTGTTAAGTCACTAATTTGAGATCTTTCTAAACTTCTGATGAGGCATGTATTGCTATAAATTTTCCTCTTATCACTGCTTTAACTGCATCCCAAAGGTTTTGGTAAGTTTGTTTCTATTTTTATTAATTTTAAATAATGTTTTGTGATTTCTGCTTTAATTTCATTGTTCACCCAAGAGTTCTCAAGGGGTACAGTTCCAGCTTTTGACCATTCAATATGATGTTGGCTGTGGATTTGTCATAGATGGCTCTTAATATTCATTCAGAAACAAGTTGTTAAATTTCCATGTTTTTCTGTAGTTTTGAGAGATCATCTTGGTATTTTTTTCTATTTTTATTGTGTGCCTTGTTATGATTTTGATTCTTTGAATTTATTGAGACTTGCTTTGTGGCCAGTCTTAGAATATGATATGTTTTTTGTGTGTGCAGATAAGAAGAATCTATATTCTGCAGTTGTTGGGTGGAGTACTCTGTAGATGTCTATGAGGTCCAATTGGTCAAGTGTTGTCTTTAAGACCAGAATTTCTTTGTTAGTTTTCTGTTTTAGTGATTCATCTGACGTTGTTAGTGGGATACTGAAGTCCCTTACTATTATTGTGTGGCTGTCTAACTCTTTTCATAGGTGAAGAATAACTTGTTTTATGAATCGGGGTGCTCCAAATTTGGGTGCATATATATTTAGAATAGTTAAGTCTTCTGTCAAATTGAACCCTTTATCATTTTGTAATGCCCTTCTTTGTCCTTCCTGATTGCTGTTGATTTAAAGTGTGTTTCATGTGATATAAGAATAGGAATGCCTTCCTTTTTTTTGTTTCCTGGTTGCCTAGTAAATATTTCTTCATCCTTTTACTTTGAGCCTGTGGGTGTCATTACATGTGAGATGGGTCTCTTGAAGACAGCAGGCAGTTGGCTCTTGGCTTTTTATCCACGTTGCCACTCTATGCCTTTTATGTGGGGAATTTAGGCCATTTACATTTCTTCTCCTGATATATCCTTTTTATATTTTTATGATTGCCTTTTAAAATATATTGAATGGTTGTAATTCCAGGGAAATGTCTTTCAGAACAGTATTTATTCCTATCTACATGTTTTGGAGAGTGCACTAGGGGACATTGAAGTTTATTTCCTGAAAAGAGTTTAATTTTAAAATGTATTTTATTTAATAACTCAATGATTCAGGGAATGTCTAGGTATTTCAGAGATTGTTTTAGACAGTTTGTTTTCTTGTGATATGTGACCACTTCATCTAAGCTGAATAATGTCTTCATAATGTCCACTTAGAATCTTTTGAATTCTGTAGGATCTGTACTGATGTCATTGTTTCCTTTCTGATATTGGTAATTTTCCTGGGGTAGGATTCTTAGCTCCTCCTGAGGTCCTGCCTCTAAAATTCAGGGAACAATGAGTCAGATTAGTACTCTGATTTCAAAGGGAAAGCTGATCATCTACCATTTTTTGTTTATGTAAATGGACACATTAACATCCCTTGTCTGAACCTTAGTTACCTTGTTTGGAGCATTTTGCTATAAATCTCACTTCTCAGAGTGGTTGTGGGGCTTGATGTGGCTGGGGTATGGGATGGCTTAAACATAATTTATTTCCAGACCAGGTTAAGGCATGAAGGGGTTGGGACTTGTTAGAATCCTGTTGTCGGACTCCACAGTAAGGGTAGACATTTGAGGCACCCAATCAAAAACCTCAGTTGTTCCTAGCACTGAGAAATTTGATAGAATGTTTCTAAAACATTATTCATGGTCTAATGCACAAAAAGTAAAGTGATAGCCCTGGAAGTAGACAGGGAACCATAAGAAAAAAGAGAGAGCAAAGCTCAGTGGTCACCAGTGCCTGGGACCATCAAGGGGTTATTAAGGAGGAAGTTTCCACCTCTGTGGGGAACAGAAGAGGCTCCCTAGGGTCCACACACACAGGGAGTGAGCCAAGACTCTGGGCGAGGCTGGAAGCTCTGGGTCTCCTTCTGTGAGATTTTCTTTTTTTTTTTTGAGATGGAGTCTTGCTCTGCCACCCAGGCTAGAGTGCAACGGCGCGATCTCGGCTCATGGCAACCTCTGCATAAAGTGGTATGTATTTAAGGCATGCATTAGACAAATTACTAAGTATTTACTAGATAAGAAAAAATTATATCTGAATCTTTTCAAATTGCCGTCTTATGCATTATATTCTCTTTTTATAGTGCAATTTCTTAATAGTTAATGCCAGAAGATTTTTTTTTCTTCCTTTCTTTCTTTCTTTTTTTTTTTTTTTGAGACAGAGTCTCACTCTGTTGCCAGGCTGGAGTGCAGTGGCACGATCTCGGCTCACTGCAACCTCCGTCTCTCGGGTTCACGCCATTCTCCCGCCTCAGCCTCCTGAGAAGCTGGGACTACAGGCACCCTCTACCATGCCCAGCTAATTTTTTTTTTTTTGTATTTTTAGTAGAGACGGGGTTTCACCATGTTCGCCAGGATGATCTCTGTCTCTTGAACTCGTGATCCACCTGCCTTGGCTTCCCAAAGTGCTGGGATTACAGGCATGAGCCACTGCACCTGGTCGCCAAAAGATATTTTTAAAAACCTAAATGCCACTTGAAATGAATAAGACCCTCAATAATTCATGGGATATACATGTGAACTTATGACATATGATGAAATAAGCAGGTTACAAAATTGTAATATATCAAGCAAGGTAGAAAGCCATGGCAGAAAAAGAGACAAGCATTTTCAAGATAAGGAATGAAAGAGGGGAAACAGTACTATTGATTTTACAGATTTTACAAAGATATCTTAGGTGTGTTTTCCTAAATAATAAATGTACCCTCCTTTTGACCTTTATGTAATGAAATAACCATGCACACATTTTCAAATAATACTTCATTTACTTGACTTTATGCTTGAAAATTGAAGTATGGTGCTGTTTGTTATTTTCATTTATGCATTTTACTACCTTGTAATATTCCACTGAGTCTATTTACCACACTATGTTTATTTTTTTCGTAGGTGGACTTTGGTATTTTATAGCTTTGGCTAATAGGAACAGCATTCCTATAACAGTTGTGAGTGTATCATGACACATAAGTAGACATTTATCTCTAGGGTACATAATTAAGTACATAATTAAGAAGGGTCACAGCCGTGTGCCTCCTCTTTTTAACTAGATAATTCCAATACACTTCCTTAATTGATTAAAGCAATTTGTACTCTTACTATTAATGTACTAAAATTCTACATGTTCAATATTCTTTCCAAAAAATGATTTTGCTACTTTTTTCTTTTCTTGAGACTGAGTCTTGCTCTATCACCCAGGCTGTAGTGATCTCGGCTCACTGCAACCTCCGCCTCCTGGGTTCATGCGATTCTCGTGCCTTGGCCTCCCAAGTAGCTGGGATTAACAGGCAGGCGCCACCATGTCTGGCTAATTTTTGTATTTTTAGTAGAGACAGGGTTTCACCATGTTGGCCAGGCTGGTCTCGAACTCCTGACCTCAGGTGATCCTCCTGCCTCGGCCTCCCAAAGTGTTGGGATTACAGGCATGAGCCACCACACCCGGCCTATTTTTTTCTTTTCCCTCCATTGTGCTATGATTTTTGACATTACAATTTTACTGAAACTACACCATAAGAATGAAGCAGAAATTATTATAACCTTTAAATAAACTTTACAACTGGTTCATACTCGTGTGAACGACAATTCTTTTGACTACTTCCCAACTGTGCATTCAATGGCGTCATATGGGCACCCTGAAGTTGGCCATAAAGGACGTATTTATACCACACTAATCAGCAAATACCATAAATCTGGGGCTTTATATGTTCAGAGTTTTCTTAAGAAAATAATTTTTTCAGAGAGCCAGTTTAACAGAATACCATGAGGCTGAGCCTTCGAGCGTTAGTGTGCTCATTCTGAGAGATGATATTTCTGGACGAAGTACACAGGTATCATCCGATGAAGAGTGAAGGGAATTCAGGGTCCAGAGAGGGTGCTAGGGCATCATTTCAGACTCATATTTCCCTTTTTTTTTTTTTTTTTGGAGATAGAGTCTTGCTCTGTTGCCCAGGCTGGAGTGCAGTGGCAAGATCTTGGCTCACTGCAACCTCCGCCTCCCGGGTTCAAGCTATTCTCCCACCTCAGCTTCCTGAGCAGCTGGGATTACAGGTGCTCACTGCCACACCCAGCTAATTTTTGTATCTTTTAGTAGAGACAGGGTTTCACCATGTTGGCCAGGTTGGTCTCGAACTTCTGACCTCAAGTGATCCGCCCACCTCAGCCTCCCAAAGTGCTGGGATTACAGGTGTGAGCCACTGTGCCTGGCCTCAGACTCATGTTTCAAAGTCCCAAATACAAATCTGCCCACCTATTCCAGTTATTTAATCCAGATCTATGCTCAGAACTGAAAAGATGGAGAATCAATAGTTCACTTTAGAGAATGCGGTAGTTGGAAACAAAGACAAATGTATTACAGGACAGTGGACCAGAGCACGTGATCGCAGGGGTGTGGATGCAAACCCACCATGGGGGACGTGCCTTCACATCACAGAGAGCGAAAGGAAGGGAGGGGCAGACACGGAGGGTCCACAACAGCTGGACTGAAAGCACTGCCATTTAATGGAAGTTTAATGGAGGAAGCGTTCTCTACAGGCACCCAGACATCTCCCTGAACCTGACCCAAGCCTCCCCTTCTCGACTTTCTCAGTAGACGGTTTCCCGAATGATGGTCCAGACTTTCTTCCAGAACCTCCTAGGACTATCAGACTCATTGCCAAGGCTCTGGCACTCTGAAGGGTGCATTGTTCTCTCATGTATTTACCTCCTTGCTGCATCTTGGGGACTTCTCTAGCTGTGCCAATCCTAAAGCAGCAGAATCCCGAGGACCACCAGGACCAAGCCAGCCACAGCCACGCGGATGAGATTCTCCACTGTGTAATCCTGGGGGTGTGAGGCTGGGGATGGTGGACCAAGAGGTCTCAGAGGTCAGGGCAGATCAACATCACCCGGGACCCCTGGATGTCCACCCAGGGCACCCACCTCCCCTTCACAGGACCTGACCCTCTGTGCCAGCCCCATAACCGAGAGCATCTCCTTACACACCAGTCTTGGAGTCTGTCTTGTTTTGCGATGGGCTGAGGGTCTCAGCTGCTCCTGAGAATCAACCAAAAAAGGGGGAGGTGTGTGAGGAGTTGAAGAGACTTAAGCCAACATGTCCCTCAGTTGCTGCATTCCTTTGTGTCTACACTTCTCCTAACTGCTCTGTAGTTGTGTGATAGAACCTTTCCCTGCCGTGGCAGAGGTACATTCGCATACATACATACATATATGCATAGGTGTAAATATGTGTGTATACATAATATGTGTTATGCATATGTGTATACATAATATGTATTATGCATATGTGTATAGATAATATGTATTATGCATATGTGTATGCATAATATGTATTATAAGATATAGTGTGAGTATATATAAATATATAATATATAAGATATATAATAGTGTGTGTATACATATAAATATATAATAAGATATGTAATAGTGTGTGCATATATAAATATATAATATATAATAAGATATATAATAGTGTGTATATATAAATATATAATACATAATATATTATAAGATATATAATAGTATGTATATATAAATATATAATACATAATATATAAGATATATAATAGTGTGTGTATATATAAATATATAATACATTATATATTATAAGATATATAATAGTATATATAAATATATAGTACATAATATATAATAAGATATATAATAGTGTGTGTATACATATAAATATATAATAAGATATGTAATAGTGTGTGCATATATAAATATATAATATATAATAAGATATATAATAGTGTATATATATAAATATATAATACATAATATATTATAAGATATATAATAGTATGTATATATAAATATATAATACATAATATATAAGATATATAATAGTGTGTGTATATATAAATATATAATACATTATATATTATAAGATATATAATAGTATATATAAATATATAATACATAATATATAATAAGATATATAATAGTGTGTGTATATATAAATATATAATACATAATATATATTATAAGATATAATAATGTGTGGGTAATATAAATATATAATACATAATATATAAGATATATAATAGTGCATATATAAATATATAATACATAATATATATTATAAGATATAATAATGTGTGGGTATATATAAATATATAATACATAATATATATTATAAGATATAATAATGTGTGGGTATATATAAATATATAATACATAATATATAAGATATATAATAGTGTATATATAAATATATAATACATAATATATATTATAAGATATATAATAGTGTGTGAGTATATATAAACACATACATATATATTTGAAGTGAGAAGAGTATTATATAATTTAGAAACAAACAAGTTTGTCCTCCATTTTCTTGTGGTTAATGTAATTATTATCAATAAATCAGAAGAGATCATTTCGGAAAGGATTGAAAGGGAGTGTGTCTGTGGTAAGTTAATAGGAACTAAAATTAGCATACCCAAACCAATAGCTTTCTCATCCATACGTAACTAATTTTAGAAAATAGAAAGGAATCAAAGACTTTCAAATTATTCAAGTAGTAAAACAATGCTTAAAATTCACAATGTCCACAATTTTTATGAATACAACTTCAAGCATCTGCTAACTGTATAAAGTTTAATTTTAAATGTATTGGATACAAAGACATTATTAATGAGAAGTTATTCTCCATCATGAATGCACATATTTAATTTAATCCCAAAGAAAATCAGAGCACAGTTATTTTACATCATAACGCTACCTAACAAATTAAATGTGTAAATTATAAATGCCAGCATTGCTTTGAAATCTTCAGAAACAGAAAGAGAAACTAGATATGTGGACATAAAAAATAAAGGACAGAAAGGAATTGCACACGAGGTTTGCTGTTGAATAATTTGCCTGCATTGCTGCAGTGAGCAGGTGCATGATCTCCCCTTCGTCTCAGGTATGCACTGAGTATTTTGGGGCCGCCAGGGGAGCCCAGGTGGGGAGTGGGTGGGGCCTCCATCTTCTACCCTCAGCCTAAGCATGATTCCTCCAAGGTTTCTCCATATCTCATTTCAGCCCTCCCTGGCCTTTAGCCCCATCTGAGGTCTCTGGGGTGGGAGCCCAGGATTAGGAGGTCCCTGACTATTTCCACCCTCTCATGGGCTGGGCCCTCCCCTGCCGACCCTCCCCCTTTACTCCCCTCTTTCCTTAGCGTCCTGAGCTCTCCTGGGGGCAGGGCCTGAGCTGAGGTTTGAGCTCAGAGAGGACAGGGTCAGCGGCCTCACCTGAGACCACGAGCTCCAGGGGGTCACTGGGGTGAGACAGCAGGTAGGGGAAGAATCTGCGTGAGCTGTAGCACCTGTAGGTCCCCGCGTGGGCTGAGGTCACAGGACTCATGGGGAATTCAGCCTGGTGCTGCTGAGCTTGGTGCTCTGATCTCAGACGCAGTGGGTGATGGGCTGCCCCCTCCTTGGTCAGAAGGAAAGTGTCCAACTGCTCCCGTGACTGACACAGCAGGGTCACGTTCTCTCCTGAGGCCACCGTGGGGCCCGGCTGCACCGAGAGGGAGGGTCTGCCACGGATCTGTCCTGGAGAGAAGAAGGATGGGTGAGGGGCTGCCCCACCTCGTTCTGAGCTGACACCTCCCCAGGCCTCTCTCTGGGACCCTCAGTCTCTGTCTCTGTTTTCTCTGAGTCTCCCTCTACCCGCCCATCCCCTGTCTCTGTCTGTCTCTCCCTCCCTTGGGACCCCCACCCCTCATCCTGGCCATCACCACCTGGGCTCCCCCAGCAGGGCCTGTGCGGAGCGTGGGTCCCTGACTGAACCTGCTGGGCTCCTCACCTGCGATCAGGATGCTCAGGGGGTCACTGGGGGCCGACCACTCGGAGGAGAGGTTGTGTGCACCGTAGCATCTGTACTGGCCCCCGTGGGAGACCCTCACAGGGCCCAGGGTGAAGTTGGCCTGGGAGAGCCCAGCCTGGGGCTGCCGGCCAGAGCCCTGGACGAGGTCATGTCCCCCCTCCTTGTACAGAGTGAATTTGTCATAGCCGACATCAGAGCCACACTGGAGGGTCAGATTCTCCCCAGGGGCCACGACAGGGCCCTGCAGGGTCAGGAGGGAGGGCTTCCTAGACACGCCTGGAGGGAAAGAAGAGTCGGGACTAGGAGGGCTGGTTCCTCCCACACCCCTTCCTTCTCCCCTCCTGGCCCTGCAGGTCTCACTGTCTCTCATACTCAGTGTCTCTGGGCTCAGGAGTCCCAAACTTCCCTTGTTCCACCCTCCTACATGGGGCTCCGTGAGAGTAAGTTCTCAAAAATAAATAGGGCAAGGAGGAAGACATCCATACCTAAGACCAGGATCTCCATGGTATCACTGGGTTCCGACCACACCCAGGGGAAGTTCGTGTAATGCCCATAGCATCTGAACATCCACCGGTGACTGGCAGCCACACGGCCCACAGGGAACAGGGCCAGGGACAAGGGACAGCCCCTTGGAGAGTTCCTGTGAGTCCAGCATCCAGGAGAGCTTGTTTTCTCCTTCCTCAATCAAAATGAACCTGTGAAATCCCACCCTTGAGCTACACTGGATGGTCACGTTCTCTCCTGAGGTCACCACAGGGCTCGGCAGGGCTGAGAGAGTGGGTTTTCTGTGGGCTCCTAGGAGAGAAGGAGACACTGTCTTAAATGGGGCTCACGCGTCCCACATCATCCCCCAGGGCTGAGTTATTAGAACGGAGATGCCCTTGAGAGCCGACCCCCTTCCTGCAGGCAGAGCCTGGGGCTGGGACCCCTGAGTGTCCTCTTACCTGTCACCACCAGCTCCAGGGGCTCGCTGCGCTCTGACCAGCCTGCAGGGCTGAGATAGTGACAGTGGTATCTCCCTGCATGGTGCTCTCTCATGGATGGGATGAAGAAGTTGGTCTTGTTCCTGGGCTCTGGTGGGCTCTGTTGGTACCAGGTCATGGGGTTTCCTTCCTTGGTGAGATAGTAACCCTGGGTATCCAGGGTCCCCTGGCACCAGAGGGTCATGGGGCTCTCCCAGGTAATCACAGAGCCTGGCTCAGCCCAGAGGCTGGGTTTGGGGAGGGTCCCTGGAAGAAACCACAGGCTGGGGTCCACAGACCTCCCCCGCTCCTCATTCCCAGCTCAGGTCACAGACCCTCTTGATTTTCTCACCCTCAGTTCAGAAGCCCCTGAGATGAGAGTCCAGGTGCTGAGTGTGAGGTCAGGCATGGGAGGTTAGCAGAGACTCACCTGCAAGTGCTTGGGCTTTCTGGCCCAGACTCAGCCATGGAGAAGAGTTTCCTGTGGGGGATTTGGAACACAGAGGTGTGGCTGCTTCCCTTCCTGTTGGAGCACCAGTAGCCACTGGAGCCCTGAGGCTCTCTGGTGAACAAGGCTGCTGTGGGACCCTCCCCACCTCAGCCCAGTGCCCCTCCTGTCCCTCGTCTCTCCACCACTGACTGAGGCACAGAAGAACAGTGAGGATGGACACCATGATGCCTGCTCTGCGTGCTCCAGCTGTGGGACAGGTGACCACATGGCCCTCCATGACAGACAGATGCACGGATGTGGTTAAGTCAGAGCCTGCTGCCGCCTGCCTGGGTCCCCACAGCTGTGAACCCACAGGAAGTGGACAGCCCCTTGCTGGGCCTGTCTCTTATTCCCCCCCCAGTGCAGGGGCTCAGGAGGACCCAGGCCCTCTGCACACATCTCAGCCCAGACCTGAGGTGTCCCCTGATTGCCAGGGATCCTTTGTCTGAAAACCTGCCCGTGGAGGGTGGACCCAACATCATATCTATGTCAGCTCCCAACTTAGCTGGGTCTAAACTGAAAACACAGCCCTTATTTTCTCAGAGCCTCCACTCATGACATCGGCTTTCTTTTTCCCCACTGATGCAAAGACAAATATTTCCCAGCAGAAAGTCATCCTGATCTGGAGAGACCCATTTCCTGCGTTCAGTAAATAAAGTCAGTTTCATTAGGGGAGGCTCTGGGAAAATAAGGGGATGCAGACTAGCAGAAGATGAACATTTAGCTACTTGTTTCTCAATTAATTGATTTATTACCAAAGAGAGAGAAGTGGAAACATGAGAATAGGGACCATGACTAGAATGTGGTTGAGGGAATGGTTTCTATCTTATTCCCTGGCAGAGAACTAAGGGATAAGAATGAGAAAGCTGGCTGGGTGCAGTGGCTTACACCTGTAATCCCAGCACTTTGGGAGGCCGAGGCAGGAAGATCACAAGGTCAGGAGTTCAAGACCAGCCTGACCAACATGGTGAAACCCCTGTCTCTACTAAAAATACAAAAACTAGCTGGGTGTGCTGGCATGCGCCTGTAATCCCAGCTACTAGGGAGGCTGAGGTGGGAGAATCGCTTGAACCTGGGAGGTGGAGCTTGCAGTGAGCCGAGATCGCGCCACTGCACTCCAGCCTGGGCAACAAAGCCGGACTGTCTCAAAAAAAAAAAAAAAAAAAAAAAAAAAAGAAAGAGAGAAAACCCAGCAGTGAGAGGTAGTTGTGAGAACACACTAAAGAGGAAAGATAATCCAGGGCTGGGAGTGGTGGCTCATGCCTGTAATTCCAGCACTTTGGGAGGCTGAGGCTGGCAGATCACAAGGTCAGGAGTTCGAGACCAGCCTGACCAACATGGTGAAACCCTGTGTCTACTAAAAATGCAAAAATTAGCTGGGTGTGGTGGTGGGTGCCTGTAATCCCAGCTACTCAGGAGGCTGAGGTGGGAGAATCGCTTGAACCCAGGAGACGGAGGTTGCAGTGAGCTGAGATTGCACCACTGCACTCCAGCATAGGCAACAAAGCCAGACTCTGCCAAAAACAAAAACAAAAACAAAAACAAAAACAAAAACAAAAAACAAGAAAGCTCAGTGAGAGGTGGTTGTGAGAACACACTAAAGAGGAAAGATCATTCAGGGCTGGGAGTGGTGACTCACGCCTGTAATCCCAGCACTTTGGGGGGCCACAGGCGGGTGGATTACCTGAGGGCAGGAGTTCAAGACCAGTCTGGCCAACATGGTGAAACCTCGTCTCTACTAAAAATACAAAAACTAGCTGGGTGTGATGGCGGGTGCCTGTAATCCCAGCTACTCGAGAGGCTGAGTCAGGAGAATCTCTTGAACCCAGGAGGCAGAGGTTGCAGTGAGCTGGGATCGTGCCACTGTACTCTAGCCTGGGTAACAGAGCAAGGCTCTGTCTCAAAAAAATAAAAATTAGAAAGAAAAAAGGAAAAGGAGAAGAGGAAGGAGACAGAAAGGAGAGAAACATCCCTGAGGTGGAACATTACATGCAACATGGAGTAGGCAGGGAATCCGATAGAGCACTGAAACTCTCACTGGGTACGGTGGCTAACATCTGTACTCCCAGCACTTTGGGTGGCCGAGGTGGATGGATCACCTGAGGTCAGGAGTTTAAGACCAGCCTGACCAACATGGTGAAACCCCATCTCTACTAAAAATACAAAAGGCTGGGTGTGGTGGCTCACGCCTGTAATCCCAACACTTTGGCAGTCTGATACAGGCGGATCACATGAGATCAGGAGTTTGAGACCAGCCTGGCCAAGATGGCAAAACCTCATCTCTACTAAAAATACAAACATTACCTGGCTGTGGTGGCAGTCGCCTGTAATCCCAGCTATGCAGGAGGCTGAGGCAGGAGAATCGCTTGAACCTGAGAGGTGGAGGTTGCAGTGAGTCAAGATCGTGCCATTGCACTCCAGCCTGGCCAATAGGAGCAAAACTCCATGTCAAAATAAAATAAAATAAAATAAAATATAATAAAATAAAATAATAAATCAAAAAAGGACTGGACATCTCCTGTGGGTTGTCAGTGAATGGAACTAAGCAAGCCACCGCTCTTTCCCTTTTGTCCTGCAAGTGTCTTTCTTGGCCTCCAGGAAGTGAGTTCCATCATGTCAGACCCTATGTTTGTTCCTGCTGGGTTCACTGAGGCTCCTCCCTTTCCACCTGTGGCTCCCCATGGGTTCCCAGTCCCCAGCCAGTGTTGTGAATCGAGCCAGGAAGACCAGCCCTATCACACCCCTCCTGATGGAATTCCCACAGTGTCATCCTGGAGAACAGGGGCTGGGGGCTGGGGTAGGATCAGAGACCTTTTCATGTGGGCCAGGCCCCTCCCTCCACAGGAGCTCTGACACGAAGCTCATCACCATTCATTTCACCCTGACGATATTCTTCCTGCCCAGACACCCCCGTTCTCCCTATGTCATCATGGGCACCTCAGTGAAATCCATGGTTGAGGGTCTCTGTCACTTACTCTGCCCTCTTCTTGGAAAATTTCCTTGGATCCTTCCAGAGCCCTTCCTGAGTGTGCTGCAGGGTCTCTGCCACATGACACACTCTCAGGAACCCTCATCCTCCCCTTAATCTACTGCGCCCACATAGCCAGGTGCAGGCTCCGTTTCTTCATCTTCCCTTCCCCACAGGCCCCGATGGAGAGTGGATTAGACTCGCTCCTGAGTAGGGACTCAGGTCACTCTGACCCCTTCCTCCCCGTGGACGAGGCCTCTGTCCCAGAGCATTGGAGGCTGAAGGGCCTTGTGGATTCCCGCACTGGCCACAGTCTCCGATGCAGATGGGGAACTGGGGACCTGGGAGGGGTTGCCTAGCCCAAGGCCACATAGCTGGGCGGTGGCACAGCCTTCACTCACACAGGGACATTCCATCTTCCCAGGGACTTCACACTGGAGGCTAAGAGCCCCACTTTGCACACCACATTCAGGGGTAGATTCTGTGTGTGACTAACAAGTTCTCTTAGGGTTCTGAGGTAACAGGACAGCAAATGGATGAGTGAGAGTTTCCCTCACCCCACTGAAGTAGGACCATTCTCTGTGGAGGGTTGGTCCCCTGACTTCCTCTACTCTGTCATCTCCCTAGTGACTGATAGGGGTCCTGGGGTCTCTTCCCTGGAATCCCATGAGGGACAATTCCTTTCCTGAAGGGAAGGTATAGAGAGGACTAGCAGGTGCCTGGTGATGGAAAGTCCCCATAATCAAGAGACATTGCCTCCCCCCCCGGCATGATAAATATCTGGGTTTCCAAATGGGAAATCTGTCTGTGATGAGAGCTCAGGAGGGGCTTCTGGAAGATGGAAAAGGGCTAGAGGCTGAGGCCACTGCTTATCTCCCCACACTGTATCTGGCTTCACCTCCTGTGTTTGTCCTGACCTCTTCCTTCACTCACCTGGATAAGTAGGACCCCAAAGTGGGCCTCCAGACAGGAAGCAGTGGAGAGTGTGGAGCTGCCCTGTCTACCACCCTACACCCTGACACCACTGTCATATTCAACCTCTCTTTTCCTCTTTGTGTTTCTCATTGCTTCATTTTGTCTGGAATCCCTAAGATTCCCATGTCTCCAGCAGGCTGTCCCTCAGACGTGGCTATATGATTTAGTGTTTCACAGGGCATGCAGCAGGCATGGGCTACCCCCAGTAACAGTGGTCATCTAGGGCTGATCACTCACAGGCAGAGCCATCGACAGAGAGCTGCAGCATCTAGAGGTCCCATCACCAGCCCCAAGACCCAGAGAGAAGTTGGCCTGAATGCCCCACTCTGTCTCTGCACCCCAGTGAGCCAGTGTCCAGGGGCCTTACCTTCCTCGTTAGAAGGCACAGGTCAAATGAGCTTCCAGAGCTGCAGAGCAAAGTCACATTCTCTCCATCATTACTTACTGCAGGGCACAGTTGAGCTGAGAAGGAAGGTCTCTTGTAGACGCCTGGGGAAAAATATAGTCCTTGACTGTCGAGCACAAGCCTTACCCAGCCTATCCTCAGGGCATGAAAAAGGCATTCTCTCCACCTGTTCTGGGGAGCATACTCTGTTACCCACTCGTGCCTCTCTCCATCTCAGTTCTAGCTCTACAAGCTGGCTCATCATGTGTGTGTTTTCCTGTCTGTCTTTGCTCAGCTTTTCCTTGAATCTCTTGCTTTTTGCCGGTGCATGTGTGGCTTTCTGCCCTTAGAACCATATGAGATTTAGGGTTCTCCTGGCACATAGAACTGTTTACTTTGAGGACCCTCAGAAAACATAGCCCTGGGCTAAGGCTCCCTGTCCTGGAACTAGAAGGTTATGGGTGTCACCATTTCCCAACAGCATGTCTGAAAGTGCCAGAATCTTCAAAGAGTCTGCAACATGTTTGTAGGATCTTTATAGGGTCTGATATTGCAGGGACCAACCAAGGTGCCCTCACACCCCAAGACGCTGGAAGTGACCCCTTGCTGAAAGTGGTTGGAAGTTTCACATAGAAGTTTGAGTTAAGCCACATTGCTGAGCAATGCCTCAGCATCCCAGTCTTCATCCAGACCTTCCAGGAGCCTGGCTGGAGGGGGTGTCTCTGGTGTGTCACTGAGCCTTATAGCAGAGGAAGGGGGCTATGGTGGAAACTACCTCCAAGATACCACTCAGTCCTAAGCTGGGGAACAAGCTGAGCTTGGATTCTGGTAGTGAATGAACCGGGGAACATTTATTTGAAGGGTTCTAAGAGTAGCATCGTGTGGGTGCGTTAATTGTATGTGAAGGGGAAGATCCTGAGAAAACAAGAGCTGCTCCACTCTGTGCCTGGGTTTACCAGAGGGACCGATGAGGTCCTCACAAGACCCAGGAATCCCACCGGGGGAAGGAGGCTTAGGGAGATGTGTTTAAGACTGTTAACTGAGTCACAGACAGAAGCAGATCAAGCCATCCCACCACCTAGGTTTGTGGTTTTGTTTCTCCTAAACTTCCTTTCTGTAAGTAGCAGAACCTTCTCATCACCATCCTTCAAAACCTCTGCATTGTTTGAGCTCCTTGTATTTTCTGGAGATTAATCTCTTGCTTGCAAATATTCTTTCCCATTCTGTAGGTGGTCTCTTCACTCTGCTGTTTGTTTCCTTGATTGTGCAGAAGGTTTGCAGTTTGCTATGATCTCATTTGCCTATTTTTGCTTTTGCTGCCTGAGCTTTTGAGGGTTTTTTTTTTTTTTTTTTTTTTTTTGAGACGGAGTCTCGCTCTGTCACCCAGGCTGGAGTTCAGTGGCATGATCTCAGCTCATTGCAACCTCCGCCTCCCGGGTTCAAGTGATTCTCCTGCCTCAGCCTCCCTAGTAGCTAGGACTACAGGCGAGTGCCACCACACCCGGCTAATTTTTGTATTTTTAGTAGAGGCAGGGTTTCACCACGTTTGGCCAGGCTGGTCTCAAACTCCTGACTTCAAGTGATCCACCCACCTTGGCCTCCCAAAGTGCTGGGATTACAGGCGTGAGCCACTGCGCCCGGCATTGTATTGGATTTTTAATTCAGCCCTATTTTCTCCGACATTTGATATTGGCATTTTTGTCTTTTTTGGATATGCTAGGATCATGGTGTCATAATTTAATTTTAATTTTTATTTTTATTTTAAGTTCCGGGGTACATGTGCAGAATGTGTGGGCTTATTGCATAGGTCAATGTGCGCCATGGTGGTTTCCTGCACCTGTCAACCCATCACCTAGGTATTAAGCCCAGCATACATTAGCTATTTTTCCTAATGCTCTCCCTACCCCTACCCCACCCCCCCCCGACAGGCCCCAGTGTGTGTTGTTCCCCTCCCTGTGTTCACGCATTCTCATTGTTCAGCACCCACTTGTAAGTGAGAACATGCAGCGTTTGATTTCCTGTTCCTGTGTTAGTTTCCTGAGGATAATGGTTTCCAGCTCCATCCATGTCCCTGCAAAGGACATGATCTTGTTTCTTTTTATGGCTTCATAGTATTCCGTGGTGTATATGTCTCACATTTTCTTTATCCAGTCTATCATTGATGGGCATTTGGGTTGATTCTATGTCTTTGCTATTGTGAATAGTGCTGCGATGAACACATGTGTGCATGTATCTTTGCAATAGAATGATTTATATTCCTTTGGGTATACGCGCAGTAATGGGACTGCTTTTACCTGTGCCAAAATACTGAAGTAGAAATGATTATTCACTCTAAAATGGAAGGTAATAAGATGTATACGTGAGCTATCAGATGCCTGGTGCTTATGAGTGAAGACAAGTCTGTCCAACGCTTCCCAACCCTGCATTCAGGGATGTCTCGTTGGCATCTTGATTATGGCCATGAAAAAAGAATTTACGTCAAGGAAATTGGTAAATGCCACTAATCATAGCATTTCAAAAAATGTCTTTTTCAGAATTAGCATACCATTGGGTCGTGACTTCAAATGCCAGTGTGTTGATTCCAGGTGGTGATATTTCAGGAGAAACTACACAGATAGCATCTGATAAGGAGGGAAGAGCTCATAGGGTCCACACAGGAGGTGAGGGCATCACGGTGCATTTATCTTTTCCTGGTCGGACTCTGATCTTCTCCCGTTGAATTAGTTCCTAAACCAGGTGCGGAACTCTGAACTGAAGACATGAAGACCCAGTAAAGTACACCAGGAAGTGTGGCAATGAGAAATGAAGAGGACTGTGTGACACGCCATGGACCAGAGCATGCAGGTGTGCAGAGGTGTGGACCCAACGCTGCCATGTGGGATGGAGCCTCATGTCTAAGTGTGGGAAAAGAGGCAGATCCAACCAAGGAAAGTCAACATTAATGGAGAGGAAAGGTATCACATTTTAATGGTTCTCCATGGATCACCCCAGAAAATGTCCCTGCACTCGGACATTGATTCCTTCCTCTGGAAATGACCAGCAGACAGTCCAGATAGCATCGGCCCTAGATTTTCTTCCAGAACCTCCTGGGATCATCAGATCTGTTCCTGAGGCTTCACGACTCTATAAAGTACATTATCCTCTCTGCTGTTCACCTCCCGGCTGCATCTTGGGAAGCTTCTCTGGCTGTGCCAAGCCTCAAATGACAGAATCCCGAGGACCACCAGGATCAAGCCAGCCACGCCCATGTGGATGAGATTCTCCACTGCGTAATCCTGAAGGTGTGAGGCTGGGGATGGTGGACAAAGAGGTCACAGAGGTCAGGGTGGATCAGATTGTCCACCCAGGGCACCCACCTCCCCTTCACAGGACCCAACCCTCAGTGCCAGCCCCATCACTGAGAGTATCTCCTCACATACCAGTCTCAGAGTCAGACTTGTTTTGTGATGGGCTGAGGGTATCAGCTGCTCCAGAGAATCAAAACAGAGAAAAAGAGACCTGAGCCCAGCCTCTCACCTGGGCTCTGCAATTTTTTTTTTATTACTTAATGTCTCATGATGTGACTTTTACAGAATTTCTAAAAAAA
This sequence comes from Homo sapiens, assembly GCF_000001405.40. Lineage (NCBI taxonomy): Eukaryota > Metazoa > Chordata > Mammalia > Primates > Hominidae > Homo > Homo sapiens. The sequence continues at coordinate 683,362 of NT_187693.1, read as the reverse complement.
AAAAAAAAACCTCTTCCTCCGCTAGCAGGATTCCCTCTAGTCTCCTCATTGAACGATTTCAGTTTTCCTGTGTTCTATGGATTTAAACATTGCTCCTGAGTCATCTGGGAGAGAGTTTTCCTGCATCCTGAGAGCTCAGGATCTGCAAGGAAAGTGGTCCCCAGTACAGAGGTCACTGAGGCCTGTGTGCTCTCTGTGCAGCCTGGGACACAGGAGAACATGAGCCAACTCCCCCGGAGATGAGAGTTTCACGGATCCACCAGCTGAGGACCCAGGCTCCGTGGATGAGGGTTAGTCATCAGGGGAGCCTCAATGTCAGAAGCACAAAGGGGTGAAAGTCTGGGGCTGCCTCCCCTTCATGCCCTCAGCCACTTCACCTGGAGTTTCATCGTCCATTTAATCTCTAGGTAGCTAATTATTCGTATAGGCAGCAACAGGTAGAATGTGATACACACACAGAAAAACACAAACACAAATATATATCTGTTTTATATATATAGTGGGCCTTAAAAACTATCTCTGCCTTCTTGAAGTGTGGGTTCACCTGGAGACAAACAGCAAACATATAGAAACACAGCAGTGGAAATTTACTAGTCGTAGCAATGGTTTTAGATATATTGGTAGAGACCTATATTTATGTGTGAATATATATTATTTGTATAGATATACGGATAACTAGGTTTCAATGTCACGTAAGATGTCGGTGTGACCACACACGCGCACACACACACACACACGTATGTGCAGAGAGTGGAAGAGAGAGAGAAGGAATTCAGCCGCATGGTGTAGGTTGGTTAATTACTTGACATAAATGAGAAGCAGGCAGGACTGGGCTGAGCTGTGTCGTCAGTGAAGGTCACACTTGGAGGTGACATTGAAGCTGATTCCTCAATAGGAAAAAGGGCCAGGAAGGAGGCGTGTGGAGACCCAGACAGGGAGCAACAGAGGCTCCAGAAAGAGCAGGTCCCAGAAAGGTCTCAGCCTGTTCTTCAGAAAGGAATGGCCGCTTGTCTACAGGGTGGAGGAGGAGGCAGAGGAGGAGGGGAGATGAGCTTCGGGGCCTTGGTGGATTGAGAATAGGCCAGGATGAACCAGCCAGGAAAGAGCGGCCCCAATATCTCTCTCTCTGTCTCTCTGTCTCTGTCTCTGCCTCTCTCTCCCTCCCTCTGAGGTCTGGAAAGTGCTGTAGGGTTTCAAGGAGTGGTACCAGTCATTTGACTTTTTCTGAAAAGATAAGCCCTACCCCCTCCATAGCAAATGTCCAGAACGAAGGAAGTCCACATTTCTACCTGAAGTTTACAAAACCTCAGGGAGCACGTGAGATCAGGGCTATTACGAAACCGGGTGAGAATAAAAATAGGTGATGCTGCAAATCTACTTTCACCAGCTTGGACAAAAAGGCCAATATGAGATTTTAAAAACCCAAATAAAAAATGTCAACGGCGCAGAAGAGGAGCGGTGCACATTCCCTGAGCTGCTGCGGGAGCACGTGCAAGTCCCTGTGAGGCTCAGGTGTGCGCTGAGTGCTGGGGAGGCTGCAGGGGAAAGCAGGAAGTGGGGCGGGGTGGGGGGGGGTCGGGGGTGGATGCAGGTGGCACCGGCAGCCTGGATGCTTCTCTCTCCAGGAGGGCGTCTGTTGGGGACTGGGACCCAGAGGCTCTGATTCTGAGGTGGAGACACCAGGATGGGAGCAGGTGGGGCCTCCGTCTTCCACCCTCAGTCTAATCTCAACTCCTTTGAGGTTCACCCCCCGTCTCCTCCCAGCCCTCCCTGCACTTTACTCTACTGAGACTTCAGGGGTGGGAGCCAGGGGTGGGAGGTCCCTGTCTATTTCCATCTTCCCATGAGCTGGACCCTCCCCTGCGGACCCTCTCCCTTCACTCCCCTCTTTCCTTAGTGTCCAGAGCTCTGCTGGGGGCAGGGCCTGAGCTGAGCCTTTGAGCTCAGAGAGGACAGGGTCAGCGCCCTCACCTGAGACCACGAGCTCCACGGGGCCACTGGGGTGAGACAGCAGGTAGGGGTCGGAGCTGAGTGAGCCGTAGCACCTGTAGGTCCCCGTGTGGGCTGAGGTCACAGGACTCATGGGGAATTCAGCCTGGTACTTATGAGCTCCGTACTTTGATCTCAGACACAGCAGGGGATGGGCTGCCCCCTCCTTGGTCAGAAGGAAAGTGTGCATCCACTCTTGTGATTGACACAGCAGGGTCACGTTCTCTCCTGAGGCCACTGTGGGCCACAACTGCACCGAGAGGGAGGGTCTGCCAGGGATCTGTCCTGGACAGAAGACAGATGGGTGAGGGGCTGCCCCACCTTGTTCTGAGCTGAGACCTCCCCAGGCCTCTCCCTGGGACCCTCAGTCTCTGTGTCTGTTTTCTGAGTCTCCCCCTCCCCCCCATCCCCTGTCTCTGTCTGTCTCTCCCTACCTTGGGACCCCCACCCCTCATCCCGGCCATCACCACCTGGGCTCCCCCGGCAATGCCTGTGCGGAGCCTGGGTCCCTGACTGAACCCGCTGGGCTCCTCACCTGCGATCAGGATGTCCAGGGGGTCACTGGGGGCCGACCACTCGGAGGAGAGGTTGTGTGCGCCGTAGCATCTGTACTGGCCCCCGTGGGAGCCCCTCACAGGGCCCAGGGTGAAGTTGGCCTGGGAGAGCCCAGCCTGGGGCTGCTGGCCAGGGCGCTGGAGGAAGTCACATTCCCCCTCCTTGTACAGAGTGAATCTGTCGTAGCCGACATCAGAGCCACACTGGAGGGTCAGGGTCTCTCCAGGGGCCAGGACAGGGGGAGAGCTCTGTCCTCCCATGTCAGAGCCTCCCCATGGGGTCTCCCTCATGCCTTCAGCCCATCCATCAACACATCACTCTGGGTCCTTTCCAGATTCAGTCACCAGCCAAACTCCCCACAACCTGTCAGCTGTCCGGAAAGTGTGTTAGACAAGGCCGTGGCTCCCTCACCTGAGGGCAGAATCTCCAGGGGGTCACTGGGGTGGGACCACACCTGGGGGGTGTTCATATAATAGTAATAGCATGTGAACCTCCACCTGTGGCTGGGGGTCACGGGGCCCACAGGGAACAGGGCCTGGAACCCCCCACTGTGGAGCTGCTGTGAGTCCAGGGTCCGGGGGAGCTGGTGTTCTCCTTCCTTCATCAGAACAAAATGGTGATATCCCTTCTGTGAGCCACATCGGAGGGTCACTTTCCCCCCTGAGGCCACCACAGGGCTGGGCAGGGCTGAGAGGGTGGGTTTGCTGTAGAATCCTAGGAGAGAAGGAGGCACCATGTTAAATGGGGCTCCCACCTCCCACATCATCCCCAGGGCTGGGCTGTGAGAGGGAGACACCCCTGAGAGCCAACCCCCTTCCTGAGGGCAGAGCCTGGGGCTGGGACCCCTGAGTGTCCTCTCACCTGTCATCACCAGCTCCAGGGGGTCACTGGGCTCTGACCAGCCCGCAGGGCTGAGATAGTAACACTGATATCTCACTGCATGGTGCTGTGTCATGGATGGGATGGAGTATCTGGCCTTGTTCCTGGTCTCCAGTGGATTCGTTCTGTCCCAGGGCTCTGTGCTTCCCTCTTTATACAGATGGTACTCCTGGGCTTCCAGGGTCCCCTGACACCACATGGTCATGGGGCTTCTCCAGCTGATCACAGAGCCTGGCTTAGCCCAGAGGGTGGGCCTGGGGAGAGTACATGGAAGGAAATCAAAGCCTGGATCCCAAGACCTTCCCCACCCCTCAGATCATCCCAGCTGCCTGCCCAGAACTGCTGTCTCCATCCCCAACTGTCCAGGGTGAGGAGGAGGGACCTGGGAGAGCTGGGGACAGACTCACCTGCCTGCATGCGGGTCCTGGGGCCCAGACTCAGCCCTGGAAGAGAATTCCCAGTGAGGGATTTGTCCCCTGAAGCCTGAGCAAGTCCTCCCCTGCCTGGGAGCTCCCTAAAGCCCTGGGATCTCTTGATGGACCAGGGCCTGTGGGGTTTCCTCTCTCCTCTTCAAATCTCACCAAAGCAAAGCAAAGCAAGGCTGTGAGGGCGGCGGTCATGGCGTCTCCTCTGCCTCCTTTCAGCTTTGCAAATGGATGAGCCGTTGGTGCTGGCAGGACAGAGAGACACACAGGGTGTGGCCCCTCAGAGGCTGGGTCTTTCTTGTCATGGGGTTATCTCATCCGCAGCCCACAGGAACGGAAACTGCCCTCCCCAGGAGGCTGGCTCTCATTTCCCCAGGGCTGAGATGGGGGTGGGCACCAGGCTCTCTGCAGACATTTCAGAGAGAAATGGGGTCTCCCTGCCCCCAGGCCACTGTCTGCCTGATCTGTCTTTATCTTACCGAGAGCCGGGACACAACAGCAAATAGACCTGATGCCTTCCGGAGTCAGCCCCTTTCAGGCGAGGGTGACCTCTTCCCTCTCACAGCCTCCCCATGGGGTCTCCCTCCCTCCTTCAGCCCATCCATCAGCTCAGCGTTGCGGGGTCCTTACCATGGTCAGTGATTCTCCAGCCCTGGAGATGCTTCAGGGAAGACCCAGGTCCATGCTGCAGGCAGACTCAGATCAGCAGAGACGCACCTGACACCTGGCTGTGCAGCCGAGGCTGAGCTGCATGTGGCAGTGAGAACACAAGAGAGATGCAGGGAATAAAGAGAATAAAACATATGTTTTTCTGTCCCTGGAGTGTGTGTTTCCTTTCTGCCAAACAGTCCCTTTCTTGTCCCTTCAAGAACAGTCTCTTCCTTTCTACCAAACTTCCTATTTTTTTCCTTCCTTCCTTCCGTCCTCTTCCTCCCTCCCTCTCTCCCTCCTTCCTTCTTCCCTCCTTCCTTCCCTCCGTCTTTCCTTCCTTTCTTTTTGCAGCAGCATCCACCCCCCACCCCTGAGAACAAACCTCTAAGTCATTCCTGCCTTCTCAGTGCCCCTCACTTCCTGGGCCTTCCTCTGTGCCTTAATCCACGTTTAAGGTTTTTGGAGCAATTACGTTAGGTTTGAGCTCTGATTTCGGACATTGGGTTGGGAGGTGACTTTTATTTAATTCCTGATTATCATCCCCTGCCTGTGTGAACTTGGGAAGTAATATCCCATCCCTGAGCCTCAATTTCCACGTTTGGAGCCTGTTGTCATGAGCCCCACTCATCACAGTGGCTATGGGGGTCAGTGGTGCCCAGGACATGGGAGGGGCTCAGCCATGGTTAATTTCTAGACAAGTTAAGACAGGAGGGTGGGGATGGGAGAGGATCCTGATGTTGGGCTCCACAGTGGAGGACAATGATTGATGCCCCCATGAAGAGCCGACGTCAACTTTGAACACTGAGAAACCTAGTTACGATATTTCTGAATCCTGTAGTCATGGTCTTAATGTAGAAAAAGTTAAATAACAAATTCCTGAAATAGACAGGGTGCCGTAAGACAGATCATAGACCAGAGCTGAGGGACCACTGGTGCCTGGGACCACCCAGGGCTCATTAGTGGGGGAGATTTCCACCTCTGTGTGTGGGACAGAAGAGGAACCCCAGGTCCTCACAGGCAGGGAGGAGTCAGGGCTCTGGGTGAGGCTGGAAGCTGTGGTTCCTCCTCCCCTGTGTGTGTGGACAGGCGCTGGAATATCTCTGCTCATTGACATGGGCCCGTGGTCCACACTGAATCATCTCCCTTGTTTGTGTGAAACAGATTCACCGCGACATTGTCAGATATGGGTGTCTGTCCCACGTGTGAGTGTGAGGTTCACACTAGACCCTCCTGTGCTGGGCAAAACCCTAAGCAGATGATATGTTTGGAGGAGTTGAGATCATGCAGCAGGGATAGCTGGAACAATCCCCTCTTTTTCAGTCTGACCCCCAGGAGAGCACTAAGAACTACCTTCCATGGATAATTAGGTGTGTAAGAAATGAACCATTCAACAAACACGGACAGCAAAGAGCAATCCCTATAACCACAAGAAGTGCCACCAACGACAACCTATTGACTCATTAAGAGTTTATTGTATATTTTCAGATAGCTAGAAGAGAGGATTTTGAATGTTTTCAACACAAAGAAACGATAAATGTTTGAAATGGCGGATATGTTCATTACTCTTATTTAACCATTACACATTATATATATGTGTTGAAATATCAACTCTATACCCTACAAATATATACAATTATTATGTGTCAATTATAAGTTATAATAAAGATGCACTTAATCCCAGCACTCTGGGAGGCCAAGGCAGGTGGATCACTTGAGCCCAGGAGTTCTAGCTCTTTGAAAACATACAATAAACTCAAAACCACTATGAGATACCATCTCACACCAGTTAGAATGGCAATCATTAAAAAGTCAGGAAACAACAGATGCTGGAGAAGATGTGGAGAAACAGGAAATCTTTTACACTGTTGGTGGGAGTGTAAATTAGTTCAACCATTATGGAAGACAGTGTGGCGATTCCTCAAGGATCTAGGACTAGAAATACCATTTGACCCAGTAATCCCATTACTGGGTATATACCCAAAGAATTATATATCATGCTATTATAAAGATACATGCACACGTATGTTTACTGTGGCACTATTCACAATAGCAAAGACTTGGAACCAACCCAAATGTCCATCAATGATAGACTGGATTAAGAAAATGTGGCACATATACACCATGGAATACTATGCAGCTATAAAAAAGGATGAGTTTATGTCCCTTGCAGGGACATGGATGAAGCTGGAAACCATCATTCTCAGTACACTATCACAAGGACAGAAAACCAAACACCGCATGTTCTCACTCATAGGTGGGAATTGAACAATGAGAACACCTGGACACAGGGCGGGGAACATCACTCACTGGGGACTGTCTGGGGCTGGGGGGCTGGGGGAGGGATAGCATTAGGAGAAATACCTAATGTAAATGACGAGTCGATGGGTGCAGCAAGCCAACATGGCACATGTATACCTATGTAACAAGCCTGCACGTTCTGCACGTGTACCCCAGAACGTAAAGTATAATAATAATAAAAAAAGAGTGGTCTCTGGGCTATAAGTTCCCTGCAGAGGGTTGCATCATTTATTTTTTCACTGTCCCCCACCCTAATGTTTGTAGGCTCATATATTATGCCAGTTAATATGCAAAGACTTTGGGATTCAGTACTGAATAAAGCTTCTAGGGTACGCTAGAACTTAAAGTATAATAAAAACATCTAAAAAAGAAAATATACAGTAAACTATTGTTAACTATAGTCACCCTACAGTGCTGTAGGATACCAGAACTTATTTCCTCCATCTAGCTGTACAGTAAACTATTGTTAACTATAGTCACCCTACAGTGCTGTAGGATACCAGAACTTATTATTTCCTCCATCTAGCTGTACAGTAAACTATTGTTAACTATAGTCACCCTACAGTGCTGTAGGATACCAGAACTTATTTCCTCCATCTAGCTGTACAGTAAACTATTGTTAACTATAGTCACCCTACAGTGCTGTAGGATACCAGAACTTATTTCCTCCATCTAGCTGTACAGTAAACTATTGTTAACTATAGTCACCCTACAGTGCTGTAGGATACCAGAACTTATTATTTCCTCCATCTAGCTGTACAGTAAACTATTGTTAACTATAGTCACCCTACAGTGCTGTAGGATACCAGAACTTATTATTTCCTCCATCTAGCTGTACAGTAAACTATTGTTAACTATAGTCACCCTACAGTGCTGTAGGGTACCAGAACTTATTATTTCCTCCATCTAGCTGTACAGTAAACTATTGTTAACTATAGTCACCCTACAGTGCTGTAGGGTACCAGAACTTATTTCCTCCATCTAGCTGTACAGTAAACTATTGTTAACTATAGTCACCCTACAGTGCTATAGGATACCAGAACTTATTTCCTCCATCTAGCTGTACAGTAAACTATTGTTAACTATAGTCACCCTACAGTGCTGTAGGGTACCAGAACTTATTATTTCCTCCATCTAGCTGTACAGTAAACTATTGTTAACTATAGTCACCCTACAGTGCTGTAGGGTACCAGAACTTATTTCCTCCATCTAGCTGTACAGTAAACTATTGTTAACTATAGTCACCCTACAGTGCTATAGGATACCAGAACTTATTTCCTCCATCTAGCTGTACAGTAAACTATTGTTAACTATAGTCACCCTACAGTGCTATAGGATACCAGAACTTATTTCCTCCATCTAGCTGTACAGTAAACTATTGTTAACTATAGTCACCCTACAGTGCTGTAGGGTACCAGAACTTATTTCCTCCATCTAGCTGTACAGTAAACTATTGTTAACTATAGTCATCCTACAGTGCTGTAGGATACCAGAACTTATTATTTCCTCCATCTAGCTGTAATTCTGTATCCTTTAACCAGCATTTCCCTCTCCCCTCTTCCCACCCTTCCCAGCCTCTAGTTACCACGACTCTGCTCTCTGCTTCTGAGATCTACTGTTTTAACTCCCACAGATGAGTAAGAACACGCTACCTTTGTCTTTCTATGCCTGGCTTATCTCACTTATTTCCTCCAGGCTCATCCGTGTTGCCACAAATGACAGGATTTCATTCTTTTTAACGACTGGTAATATTCCATTGTGTAAATGTACCACATTTTCCTTATCCATTCATCTGTACATAAACACTTAGGTTGCTTCCAAATCTTGGTTATTGTGAATAGTGCTGCAGTAAACACCGGGGTGAAGCTATCCTTTCAATATACTGATTGCCTTTCCTTTCGATCTATACCCAGAACTGGGCTGGCTGGGTCATAGGGTGGTTCTCTTTTTAGTTTTATGAGGAACCTATGTACTGTTTCCTGTAATGACCACAATCCTTCTTGTTGCCTTCAACAGTGCACAAGAGTCCCCTTTTCTCTGCATCCTAGCCACCACTTGTTATTTTTTGTCTTTTTGATAATGGCCTTTCTAAGTGGTGATAAAGAAGTGCTGGGAAGGGAAGGGTGTAGTCCCTTTAAATAATACAGAAGAGGGAAGGGAAGTGCTGGGCAGAGGAGGGCGTGGTCCCTGGCTAGGGCTCCACCCTCACAGACCTAGGTGAGGACGGGCACTTCCTGCCCAAATGTTGCATTTCCCAAGACCACCCTGGCCTGCCACGCCCCCATCCTGTGCCTATAAAACCCCCGAGACCCTAGCATGCAGACACACAGGCGTGAGCCACGGCACCTTGCTGAAGTACATCCACACCGTTGCACAACCATCATCCCCATCCATCTCCAGATCTTTTTCATGATCCTAAACTGAAAATCTGTATGCATTAAATACCAATTCCCATTTTCTCTCCCCCAACCCCAGCCCCTGGAAGCCAATATTCTACTTTCTGTCTCTATGGGTTTGCCTATTCTATGCACTTCATATAAATAGAATCATACAATACTTGTCTTTTTGTGATTGCCTGATTTCAGTCTGCATAACATCTTCAAGTTTCACCCGTGTTGTAGAATGTGGCAATCATGATTTCATTCCTTGTAAGACATACATACTCTACTGTATGTCTACACTACAGTTTATGTCTCCACTCATCCATCTATGAACATTGGGTGGTTTATTCTTTTTGTTTGTTGTAAGTAATGCTGCTGTGCACATGGAGGTATAAATATCTGCTCAAGTATTTGCTTTGACTTCCCCTGGATATATACACAGAAGTAAAATGGCAAGATTACATGGCAAGGCTATGCTTCATTTTTCAAGAAGTCACCATACATCTGGGTAATTATGTACACCACGTTCGGTTTTGGCAGTCTCATAAGCAATATGAGGCCATGGCCATTCTCATTTTTATTCAGAACTAAATCCCTAAGTCTTTGCATATTAACTGGCATAATATATGAGCCTACAAACATTAGGGTGGGGGCAGTGACAAAATAGATGATGCAATCCTCTGCAGGGAACTTATAGCCCAGAGACCACTCTTTTTATTATTATTATTATTATACTGTAAGTTCTGGGATACATGTGCAGAACGTGCAGGTTTGTTACATAGGTATACAAGTGCCATGGCAATTTGCTGCACCCATCAACCCGTCGTCTACATTAGGTATTTCTCCTAATGCTATCCCTCCCCTACCCCCCTACCCAACCCCCTGACAGGCCCTGGTGTGTGAAGTTCCCTCTCTGTGTCCATGAGGACACATATATATCATATATATCACACCTGTAATCCCAGCACTTTGAAAGGCCGAGGCGGGTGGATAACTTGAGGACAGGAGTTTGAGACCAGCCTGGCCAACATGGCAAAACTTCATCTCTACTAAAAAAAAAAAATACAAAAACTGGCCAGATGCAGTGGCTCATGCCTGTAATCCCAGCACTTTGGGAGGCTGAAGTGGGCGGATCACAAGGTCAAGAGATTGGGACCATCCTGGCCAACATGGTGAAACCCCGTCTCTACTAAAAATACAAAAATTAGCTGGGCATGGTGGTGTGCACCTGGTAGTCCCAGCTACTCAGGAGGCTGAGGCAGGAGAATCGCTTGAATCCGGGAGGCAGAGGATGCAGTGAGCCGAGATCACGCCACTCCACTCCAGCCTGGCGACACAGCGAGACTCCATCTCAAAAAACAAGACAAAACAAAACAAGACTAGCTGGGTGTGGTGGTGCATACCTGTAATCCCATTTACTCGGCAGGCTGAGGCACAAGAATTGCTTGATCCTGGGAGGCGGGGGCTGCAGTGAGCTGAGATAGTGCCACTGCACTCCAGCCTGGGTGACAGAGAGATTCTGCCTCAAAACAAAGAATAAGATACTGTCATTTTCAGCCACATTAATGGACCTGGTGGTCATTATTCTAAGAGAACTGACACAGAAAAAGAAAGCTGAATACTATATGTTGTCACTTATAAGTTGGAAGTAAATACTGAATACATAATGGACACATAGGAGGTAATAACACACAGTGGGGCCTCCTTGGTAATCACACACAGGGGGACCTCCTTGAGGGTTGAGGAAGTGGGGAGGGTGAGGACAGAAAAACTACCTATTTGGTACTATGCTTATCACCTGGATAACAAAATAATGTGTACTTCAAACCCTTGTAACACACAATTTACTTATATAACAAACCTGCACATGTACCTCTGAACCTAAAAGTTAAAAAAACACATTTATTTGCCACATATTTAATTTAGCACCATATTTTCACTTTCCATAATGATTCTTCTGATGGCAACTTTTCATTTTCATGTCTAGACAAAAACAAAATAAATTAATAATGGTTTCTCAGTTTGGCATTATCTAAAGTAGGATGAGAGTAGAATTCTATTACACTTACGTAATGCCATGCAGTGAAAAATTATTATTTCTAGCCACATTCAATTCGAAAAAAATTTTAATTTCCTAAAATTTAGACATTTTCCAAAGAATATAAATTAGAAACTATCAAAACATAGTTTTTATTTTTGCATTTTTTACTTGTTTAATAATTAACAAGTTGTTAAATTACAAAGTAAAATAATTGGTGTTAAAAATTGAGAAATATTAGATTCTTGGAAATTACAGATTAGTTCAGAGAAATAGATACTTTAAAAACTCAAAGCCATTTCTTGGTGGATACACAATAATCCATAACAGTTTGGCCCAAGTGTTGTAGAGGATGGGGAGAAAAATAAGAGAATAAGAAAAGAATATGAATTTCATATATGGTGTGCACATGAACCTGTTGAAAAATTTTCTTGGAAAGAAAATATTTTATAACAACAACTAGAATATATTTAGCAAATTTGTATCAGAGATCAACAAACCAACAAACACAAGTTAGAGAAAGGGGCATGTTGCCCATTAAGTCATAGAGAAAACATACAAATACATTTAAATTATACCAAATAAATCATGTAAGCAGGAGTGAGAATGACACAATTATGGTAAATAATGGAGACGAGAAAATACCTGTGAGTCCTAGACCCGTTGTGATTACGGGCCCCATATGTCCTTCAGTAACTACAATCATTTATGAAAAAGTAAATACTGGTCTTTGTTTCTTTTATCGAATTCTTTGTTTTTCTTATGGAAACACAATTAGGAAATAATGAGGCTATATTTTACTTTCTGGGATGGTGACAGGAAATTCCTCACCTCACGCTCCCGTGGCTAGGATCTCAGCTGTCAGAACAGACCAAGCGTTCACCACTTAGGGGCTGAGAGGAGGAACAGTTTCAGAAAGCTTTGGCTTCAGAACCCAGTGAATCTGGAGCAGATGAAAAGGTTTCGGAACTCTGAAAGCGCTTTTAAATACGGTTAAGGATCAGAGTTGCATTTATTAGACATGAACACCCATATAGTCCCTGATTATTCCTGCTCTCTAAGCCTTGACAATTCTTAGTCACGTTTTGTAAAAGTGAGATTTATATTTTTCTAAATGAAAGATATAATTTACCTTCTTCACGCCGATCTGAGAAATTGTCTATAGACATATATTACTGGTGAAATCAAGTGCATTCGGCTCCCCGGAACCCATAAGAAAGGAGATGAAAGTGTACCGTTTTGCAATCATCACAGAAGGTTTTCAGAGACGTACAGCCATTGCCAACCAAAGTGCAGCATGCAGCCACCAGAGATATTTCAAATGTCCTAAGTACCAGTTGCCATTAGACAACAGGTGTGTGAACAGGAGCCAAGACCTGAACACACTCTTACCCCTCGTACAAAGAGGAGAGCTAAGACTATGAGGTTTGGTATATTTATTCAGACAGAGTCTTTCAGATGGGGCTATGACAGAGAAGGTAAACAGGAGATGCCAGGCAGCCCTGAGTGGGAAGGCTGGGGTGGTTCTGTGTCTCAGGAACTCTCAGAAAATACCCCTGCCCCATGTTTCTTTTCCATGTTCAGTTTTGACCTTAGGGGAAATAGACCGGGATGTTTACACCATATATATATATATATATATATATATATATATATATATATATATATATATATATACACACACACATATATGTTGCAACAAATATTCTACATCTCTAAGAATATGGCTCTCTAACTGAAAGAAGGTCCACTTACCAAATGCAGTTTCTTGCTGGGAAAGCAACTGCCATAGTCACAGTCTAAGCACCTCCACAAAAGGGGGCATCTTAACCCTGAGATAAAGGCTTAAGACTACCATGAGATCCTTTTCTTGCCGGGAAGTGATTATCATTTCATCTGCAAGTACAGTGACAGTGTTTGCATAGGGATTTCAGTTGATCTAGAAAAACATCCGTGAAATGTTCAAATTACTGAAAGCTATTCGTAGCTATTAGTTTTAGTCGACTGAGAAAGTTGGAGCAAGAAAGAGAGAGATGGAAAGAAACAGAACAATAGAGAGACAGAGACAGGAAGAGACAGAGAAACTTAGAGAGGAAATCATATCTGGGAAGCTTGAAGTAGACTAGGTAGAGACGGCATTGCAGCCAAGGACATTGAGATCTAACTGAGAGAAGGAAAGTAAGGATAAGGCTGGGGTTTGTTTCTTGCCAACCTTAAGGTTTTGCCTCCCCCAAGAATATTTTTCCATTCTGAGGACTTTGCACTAAAGGCAGCCTGGAAGGGAGAAAAAAAGAGAGAATCAAGTAGAAATCATTTGCTCCAGTGTTAAAAATAAACTTGGAAGAAGTGGAGACACTTTTATTCACTGTTTTCATGGGCACACATTAAGTATCTAATGGGTCAAACGTGATTCTTGGTGTATAAGATGTATCAGAAAAAAGACAGAAAGACTTCTAAAAAAGTGTCTGTATTGAATCAATATTATAGTTGAGAAAGATGGATATTAGACAACAACAAAAATTAATAGAAAATCCAATATGTTATAGGATGATACATGTCTTGTGAGCAAAATAACAATAAAGTAATAGCAGAGAGCTCCCCTGAGCAAGAAGAAATTCTTCCAGCAGATTGTCTTTGGATTTTTTAGTTTGCTACAACTCTTTCCTGAGTCTCCAGGATACTCTACTGTCCTGCAGATTTTGGACTCACCAAGCTCCTACAATCACATGAGCCAATTCCTAGGTAAATGAATAGATAAACAAATAAATAGATAGATAGATAAATAGATAGATACATAGATACATGGATAGATACATAGATAGATACATAGATACACAGATAGACACATAAATAAACATTCTGCTGGTTCAATTTCTCTGGAGAACCCTTGAAAAAAAAATCATTTTGGTTCCAGGGATGATTCCAAAGGAACAGAATTTTTAAGGATGAGTTTTCTGAATTGGATCCAAAGTTTCTGAAATCGGCTTTCTAATTTGATTAGATTTAAAAACACTAATGACTCCATTTCCAGTAGTGTTGATAGTGCATAACATGATGTGGCCATAGGGATACACCAAATGTCATCATTGGAAACGCCTAACAAACATTTATAAGAATCTGAGTGGGCCGGGTGCGGTGGCTCACCCCTGTAATCCCAGCACTTTGGGACGCCGAGGCGGGTGGATCACGAGGTCAGGAGATCGAGACCATCCTAGCTAGCACGGTGAAACCCCATCTTTCCTAAAAAAAAAAAAAATACTAAAAAATTAGCCAGGTGTGGTGGTGGGCGCCTGTAGTCCCAGCTACTTGGGAGGCTGAGGCAGGAGAATGGCATGAACCTGGGAGGCGGAGCTTGCAGTGAGCGGAGACCATGCCACTGCACTCCAGCCTGGGCGACAGAGCAAGACTCCGTCTCAAAAAAAAAAAAAAAGAATCTGAGTGATCATGTACATAATACTTTTGAATGTTTTTGAAAACTAATGAGCATAATGAGATTGGCTGGGTTGTCACTGGACAAAGTTGGGGAAAGAAGAGGATGAATTCAAAGATTTGAATTTTCAGTTCAAGTGCAAACATAAATGAGCTAAGACTTCTATATCTGCCCTAAAAGATACTCATCATTTGTAGCCACAGGGCTGAGGCCTTTGAAAAGTCAAACCTGGGGCCAGGTGCGGTGGCTCACGCCTGTAATCCTAGCACTTCGGGAGGCCGAGGTGGGCAGATCATGTGAGGTCAGGAGTTCGTGACCAGTCTGGCCAACTTGGCGAAATCCCGTCTCTACTAGAAATACAAAAATTAGCCAGGTGTGGTGGCTGGTGCCTGTAATCCCAGCTACTCAAGAGGCTGAGGCAGGAGAATTGCTTGAACTCAGGAGGTGGAGGTTGCAGTGAGTCGAGATCGTGCCATTGCATTCCAGCCTGGGGGACAAGGGCAAGACTCTGTCTCAAAAAAAAAAAAAAAAGAAAAAGAAAAAGCAAACCCAGAAACTCACCCTTCAAGTGGCTAAATTACAATACAAATGGAATTCCCAGCCTCAAAGGGTGTCTACTTTAAGGGTATTGATTCGGAAGGTGTGGAATCTTGACATTTGGAATAGGGATGTGTGAAAGACACTGATGAAGGTAAGGACAGTGAGTTCCTTAATCATGCTCTTTGACAATGGAAGCATTCTCTCCCCGTGCATCTGAGGAGATTAACCCTGCACTGTCTGAGGAAACAATAGTGGCCTCCGCGGAGGCAGTTGCCATGCAAGACAGTGCTAATTTTCCTCAGGATCCGCCCCCACTACCCATCTTTGCTTCTAAGCCATAGGTTCAATGTGTGATCCATGGGGAAATGTGCTACACTCCAAAGTGACTACTAAGTTCTTCTGATTTATACACCTAGAAATCTAGGGAACATGTGTGCGAATGGACATTAAGGGTGTTGGATAATGGTGAAAGGAAGATAAAGTTGAGCCAGGCCAATGTTATTGATATGGACCTACTAAGGAGAGATCCTGCATTTAATGTTGCATCTCAGTGAGCTAGACATGGCTCTAACAGTTTGTCTGGTTCATTGGCTAAAACATGGAACAAACGTTGGCCCACAGTAAGAGGGGCCATATTGTATTCATAATGCACATTCCTAGAGAAATAAACAGATAGCTAGATAGACAGAGGATAGGTATATACATAAATAAACATCTGATTGGTTCCATTTCTCTGAAGAAAACTCTTGCAAAAACAGATTTTAGTCTAAGGGATAATCGCACTCAAACTTTATTGCACTCATAATATACACTCATGAGCAGCCAAGGAAACTCAGTATTCTGTATGACGAAGGAAGTTCCAGGATGCTTCCCTCTTGGCTTCCTGTCTGCCTACCCTGGTGTAGAGTACAAAAATAATTGCCTATTTAGATAGCAACATTCCATGGTCCAGCTAGACGTCATCAACCTCTTGAGCTTCCCCACATCCTGTTCAATTTTGGCTCCTATTCAAGGTCTCCAACAGACCTGGCCCTGTATCTAGACACCATTCCTATTTCCTCTATCAGGCCCCAGCCCCAGGAGAGTGGCTCCTGTGGTCGCTGTCCACAGCACTGACTGGGATGTTGCCATGAACTCTAGTTTCAGCACCATGGTCAGAGTCCAGGAAGCAACAAGGCTTCCACTGTTTTCTGGTGTGTTAGTTGATACATTTGTATGAGCTGGGCCCCCTCTTAGAGACTCCTAAATAGAGATTCCCTGAAGGTGTCTAATAAATATTTAGCGAATGCATCAGAATAAATTGGAAAAAGACACATCCACTCCATGGATTCTGAATAGGAATGGAATTCAGAAGCTTATGATGTTAGCCGCTCACCCAGCAGGACAACCACTAGCACGGCCCAGGGTGGCATTTAGAGTTGGCTCTTCCTCATCCACCTCAGGTCATCTCTTTCCAGACCATGTTCAGGAAACCAGTTTATAGGGTATTGACTAAAAAGCAACAGGCTTGGGGCCAGACACAGTGGCTGACGCCTGTAATCCCAGCACTTTGGGAGGCTGAGGAGGGATGATCATGAGGTCAGGAGATGGAGACCATCCTGGCTAATATAGTGAAACCCTGTCTCCACCAAAAATACAAAAAAAAAAAAAAAAAAGAAAATTAGCCAGTCGTGGTGGCGGGTGCCTGTAGTCCCAGCTACTTGGGAGGCTGAGGCAGGAGAATGGTATGAACCCAGGAAGCAGAGCTTGCAGAGAGCTGAGATCACGTGACTGCACTCCAGCCTGGGCAACAGAGTAAGACTCGGTCTCAAAAAAAAAAAAAAAAGCAACAGGCTTGGAGTTACATCACAGTACTTTCAAAACCTACATCTGCCTTTTGCTATCTCTGTCTCCTTGGGGAAGTCACTTTGCCTCTCTGAGGCTCACTTTGCTTTTCTATAAAATTGCAATAATAAAAATGTCTTCTTTGTAAGGATATTTGGTGGGTTGACAATCAGAGATTATTATATTCTACCTCTCATAGGAAGCAATCAGTTGAACTAACAGGGAAGACTCTGGAGCCAGGAAGCCTGAGATTTGATCACAGCTCTGCCCCTTTTAACTTCGTGAGTTAGGGAAAGTTACCCACATTGCTATTGTGTCATATATAAACTTAGTATAGTGCTAGTATCTACCTTACATGGTTTTGGTGGGGAACTACATAGTTAATACATGTGATGTACAAAGTGAAATTCTACCATGCTCTTAGCAGTCATTCAATAATGTGGGCTATTTTTTACTATGATTATTATTTTCATTATATGCCTAGAGATAACCTGATGAACTATGCTCAGTAAATGACAGCTGCTTTTATGAAGAATTGCTAGAATTGCTGTGAAGGTTCTTAGGCATCTGACACATTCCCTGGTTTATGTTCTAACATTCTAGACTCTCCATCTGAGGTTTATAGACTCTTTATCAGCCCTGAGGGATGCAGGTATTTGTTTATTACTAGATTCATGCAGAAAACATCCCCTGGGTCTCTGGCGTGCCATATCCCGTGCAGGAAATGGGTGATGTGAAAGATGGATATTAGAAGCTTAGAATATCTTAGCTTAGTTTAGATAGCTAAGCTTCTAAGCTTAGAAGATTAGAAGATAGCTTAGAAGACTATAGCTTAGGTAGCTTAATGGCTTAGAATCTTCTAAACTTATTAGAAGATAGTTTGGAAGCTTATCTAGCTTAGATAGTTTAGAAGAAGCTTAGCTATCTTCTTAGCTTAGCTTAGAAGAAGCTTAGCTATCTTCTTAGCTTAGCTTAGAAGAAGCTTAGCTATCTTCTTAGCTTAGCTTAGAAGATAGCTTAGAAAATAGCTGCATTTTTTAATAAATAGCTTAGAAGGTATATAAGCTCTGGGAAACTTTGTAATTTTGAGTTGGTCTGGCAATGTTTTCCAGGCCTTCTCCCTGTAACCGGTAACAGAAATAAAAACTCTCTCCCTCCCCAGTTCATCCGCATCTCATTATTGGGCCATGAGAAATAGCAGCCCCACCCTCAGTTTGGTCTGGGAACACTTTGGGGGTAAGATTAGGACTGTAACCCGCAAGTGTTCTTGGGGCAAACAGGGTCACTCTCTGTCAAAACATCTGAGTCATTTCTCCTTCCTTACTACCTCTTTTCTTCCCTGCTCACAGCCCTCAGCTGATACCATGGATTCTGTCTCCATGCTTTGGGCAAGAGTGATCCCCGGAGGAAATGAACGGGTGTTAATGTAAGACATGAGGGTGGAATTTACTGATGGTTGACCTTGATCATGTAACACCTCTTTCCCATTTTCCTCCTTATAGAAGAAGATAATGACCCATATCTCAGGGTTGGTTTGAGGATGAGTATTGCCTGAGACATGTAAGGCTCTCAATCTCGTGTAATCTCTTTTACCAGATCCAGACACGTGGTGTAAGAGCCTTTATGTTCCAAAGGTAAGTCAGGAACAATCCGTCATCACGGGTGGAATGGTAAAGTGTCAGAAAAAGTTACAGACTGCAGGAATCCTGGAGCTCATCCCGAATTCTGTACTCAGCCACATTAGAATTTAAGATGTAAGGTGAAAAGATCAGCTTCATGTCTGAACACTGTGGGACTTAGGACGTCTCTCACTTATTAGGAATCTTACCTCACATTAAAAAAAAAAAAACACTGGGTCATGTTGCAACTTTTTAAGATAAAAGAAATCTGCATAGAACCATGCTCTTTTTTCTTAAATTTCCATTCACTGAAGTAAAATACAGATAATGTAAAATTGACCCTTTAAAAGTATACAACTCTAGGCCGGGCGCAGTGGCTCACGCCTATAATCCCAGCACTTTGGGGGGCCGAGGCGGGTGGATCACCTGAGGTCAGGAGTTCAAGACCAGCCTGGCCAACATGGTGAAACTCCGTCTCTACTAAAAATACAGAAAAATTAGACAGGTGTTGTGGTGGCCACCTGCAATCCCAGCTACTTGGGGGGCTGAGGCAGGAAAATCGCTTGAAACTGAGAGGCGGAAGTTGCAGAGACGCGAGAATACACCACTGCACTCCAGCCTGGGCAATAAAAGTGAAACTCCGTCTCAAAAAAAAAATACATATATATATATATACAACTCTGTGGCATTTAGTAGATTTTCATTGCAGCAACTGCCACCTCTAGTTCCCAAAGATTTTCATCACCCCAAAAGGAACC
This sequence comes from Homo sapiens, assembly GCF_000001405.40. Classification (NCBI taxonomy): domain Eukaryota; kingdom Metazoa; phylum Chordata; class Mammalia; order Primates; family Hominidae; genus Homo; species Homo sapiens. The sequence goes on along the minus strand of NT_187693.1, from coordinate 663,975 downwards.
CCGTTCCACGGAGCAGTCCCTCTCCTCTCCCTACCCCTGCTCAGCCCCAGGCAACCATCAATCTGCTTTCTGTCTCTGTGGATTTCCAGCTGCTGGACATTTTATATAAATGTAATCATATAGTATGTGACCTTTGGATCTGGCTTCTTTCACTTAGCTTCATATTTTGAATCTCCAAATTGCAGCATGCATCAGTACTTCATTTTTATGGATGAGTAAATTTCTAACATATGGATGCAACACGTTGGTTGGTGGACATTTGTGATACTTTTATCTTTTTATTGTGAATAATGCTTCTATAAACACTTGGGCACAAGTGTTTGGATATTGTCCAATGAGATAAGTCTCTTATCATTTCAGGAGATTTATTTGCCAAAGTTAAAGATGTGCCTGGGAGACAGATCTATGCCTTTCTCTGAAGATGATTTTGAGGGATCCAAATTTAAAGGGTAAAGGGCGGGATATTGAGAAGCACACAATTTTCATGTAAGAGGAGGGTAAGGAAAAATAGTTACGCATGCCTTTGTCTAGCTCAGTGAATCTGTATTTTTTTTAAAAATAGTCATTCATGCCTTTGTCTGGTTCAGTGAATCTGCACTTTTTACATCAGACGACAAAAACAAATGGGGCAGAGGAAAATATGCAGTGAATCTGCATTTTACATAAGATAAACATAGACAAAATTGGGTGGGGGAATGATCAGATATGCATTTGTGTCTGATGGGCTGGGGAGACTGTACCTGGAAAGATAAGTTATCAATATACACTGGAAAGATAAGCTATCAATATACACTGGAAAGATAAGCTATCAATATACATTGGAAAGATAAGCTATCAATATACACTGGAAAGATAAGCTATCAATATACACTGGAAAGATAAGCTATCAATATACATTGGAAAGATAAGCTATCAATATACACTGGAAAGATAAGCTATCAATATACACTGGAAAGATAAGCTATCAATATACACTGGAAAGATAAGCTATCAACATACACTGGAAAGATAAGCTATCAGTATACACTGGAAAGATAAGCTATCAGTATGCACTGGAAAGATAAGCTATCAGTATACACTGGAAAGATAAGCTATCAGTATACATTGGAAAGATAAGCTATCATACACTGGAAAGATAAGATATCAATATACACTGGAAAGATAAGCTATCAGTATACACTGGAAAGATAAGCTATCAATATACATTGGAAAGATAAGCTATCAATTTACATTGCCATGGTGAAATTTTAACAGCTCACTAGGAATCTTCTTGTGGGCAAAACGTGGGGGAGGCATGTAGCTTTTCACCTTGTAGCCATCTTATTCACGAACCAAAATGGAGAGGCAGGTTTGTGTGACCCAGTCCCCAGCTTGACTTTCCCCCTTAGCTAAATGAGTGTGGGGTCCCAAAATTTAATTTCCTTTCACAATATCTACTATCAGTCTTTTTTTTTATTGTGGTAGGAAGAGTTAATTCTCCTACCAATTTTTAACTTCATGATGCAGTATTGTTAACTAAAGACAAAATGTTGTAGGGTACATTGCAAACTTCATTCGTCTTGTATAACCTAAACCTTTAGTCACATACCTAGAAGTGAAATTTCTAGATCATAGAGTAATTCTAGGTTTATTTTTTATTTTATTTTATATTATTATTTTATTTTATTTTATATTCAAAAGGTACATGTGCTTGTTTGGTGTATGTATGTGTGTGTGTGTATATATATATATAAATAGATAGATAGATTTTTTTTTTTTTGAGATGGAGTTTCACTCTTGTTGCTCAGGCTGGAGTGCAGTGGTGCGATCTCGGCTCACCGCAACCTCCACCTTCCAGGTTTAAGCAATTCTCCTGCCTCAGCCTCCCGAGTAGCTGGAATTACAGGCATGCACCACCATGCCCAGCTAATTTTGTATTTTTAGTAGAGATGGGGTTTCTGCACATTGACCAGGCAGGTCTCGAACTCCTGACCTCAGGTGATCCCCCCCATCTCTGCCTCCCAAAGTGCTGGGATTACAGGCGTGAGCCACCGCACCCAGCCCTAATATATTTTTTTAACCTCTTGCCCTCCTCCCACCCTTCCCCCCTTTTGGGTTTCCCTGTGTTTATCTCCATCTTTATGTCCATGAGTGCCTATTGTGTAGCTCCCACTTGTAAGTGAGATCATGCAGTGTTTGGTATTCTGATTCTGAGTTAGTTCACGTAGGATCATGGCCTCCAGCTCCATCCATGTTCCTGCAAAGGACATGATTTCACTATTTTTTATGGCTATGCTGTATTCTGGGCTATATATTTACCACTTTTACTTTATCCATGCCACGATGGATGGACATCTAGGATGGTTCCATGACTTTGCTATTGTGAATAGCACCACGGTGAACATACGAGTGCGTGTGTCTTTTTTAATATAATTATTTCTTTTACAGTAGTGGGATTGCTGGGTCAAACGGCAGTTCTGTATTTAGTTCTTTGAGAAACCTCTATGCTGTTTTCCATAGAAGTTGAGCTAATTTACCACCAACAGCATATAAGCCTTCCTAGGTTCATCTTTTAAGGAACTGTCAAACCGCTTTTTTCTTTTTCTTCTTTCTCTCTTTTTCTTTCTTTCTTTCTTTTCTTTCCTCTCTCTCTCTCCCCCTCCGTCCCTCCCTCCCTCCCTCCCTCTCTCTCTCTCTCTCTCTCTCTCTCTCTTTCTTTCTTTCTTTTTGATGGAGTCTGGCTCTGTCACCCAGGCTGGAGTGCAGCGGCACGATCTCGGCTCACTGCAACCTCTGCTCCTGGGTTCAAGCTATTCTGCCTCAGCCTCCTGAGTAGCTGGGATTACAGGCACCTGCACCGTGCCCAGATAATTTTTGCACTTTCAGTAGAGAAGGGGTTTTGCCATTTTGGCCAGGCCGGTCTCAAACTCCTGACCTGAGGTGATCCTCCTGCCTCGGCCTCCCAAAGTGCTGGGATTACAAACGTGAACCACCACGCCCGGCCTCCAAACCACTTTTCACAGTCACCGAAAAATTTCACAATCATGCCAGCAGTGCGTGAAGGTTCTCTTTCCGCACACCCTTCCTGACATTTGTTATTTTTCAGAATATGGCCAATCCAGTGTTTGAAGTAGTGTCTCACTGTGGATTCCTATGAATTTTTATAATAAGTAATGGTTTGGGTGTCTTTTGATGTGCTCACATTTATTCCTATATCTTGGGAGGATGTTGATAGAGGGGTCCAAAATTCCAGTTTGACAGAATAACTTCCAGATCTATGCTACAACATGGTGACTATAGTTAATAACGATATATTCTATTCTTGAAAATCACTGTGAGAGTAGATTTAAGAGTTCTCACCACAAACAGTAGTAAGTATGTGAACTGATGTGTATGTTTATTAGATCGATTTAGCCAACCCACAAATAGGAATGTTGCAATACCACATGTTGTATACAGTAAAAATATACAATTTAGGGAAACTTTTTTTTTTTTTTTTTGAGACGGAGTCTCTCTTTGTCGCCCAGGCTGGAGTGCAATGGCACAATCTTGGCTCACTGCAAGCTCCGCCTCAATTTAGGGAAACATTTTAAAAGCTGTGTTACTAACATGAAGTTCTACATTCACACGACTAATGCCAGCTTCAATGGACACGGGTTGGAGGTTTCTTACCTGAGACCATGAGCTCCAGTGATATGGCTTTGGTGACTAGGGTTTTTGGTCTCATGCCAGTTTAGATAAAACAATAAGGACACACGTGGAGTGGTTTTAAGGAGCAAAAAGTTTAATAGGCAAGAAAGAAGAAAGAAAGAAGAAAAGAGCTCCTCTGTACAGAGCCAAGGGAGGGGAGCTTGGAACAAAGAAGAACCCCGTGTGTGGTGGAAAAGTGGTTGCTTATATTGGGAGGCTGGAGGAGGCAAGTGTCTGGTTTGCATAGGGCCCAGGGGATTGGTTAGGCCAGGTGTGTCATTTACATAGCCCTCGAAAAACTTGTTCCTCCCACCTTAGCCTTTTAATATGCAAATGTGGGCCACCATGATGCTTTGTGTTATTTGGAGGTGGCCATCACGCTTGGCACAGGTGGTGATAAGAAGATGGCAGAAATCACCATATTGCATGAACCCATGTTTTAATGGCCAGCATTTGAATTTTAAAGCTTGCCGGCCAGGCTCTTTAAGACAGCTTCTCTGTTAGAAAAGAGATGGTTCAGGGGTTGTTTCTTATTACAGGAAAATTTCCACCAAGAACCTTTACCCTTACTATGTGCCTAAAATAATTCCTTAATAACTCCTGTATTATTCCTCCCCTTAAAGAGAGGCAAAGCTAACTGCTGTTAGTGCGTGTTGGATCATGTTTCTTTCTGGCTACTTCCTGCTGAAAAGGGGTGTTGTGTGGGGGAACAGCAGTTGGGCCTTTTTCTGAGGTTGATTTAAGGTTTCTCAAAAGAATGGCGTGTCCATGTGTGGCTTTGCTTGCAGCACCATTTGGAGTTTAATTACTTTTAGGCAAAAAGAGAGAAATTTTACAAGAAGGTTTAAAATATAGGGTTAGAATATGAGTATTAAGATTACCACCATTGGGGCTGGGTGTGGTGGTTCATGTCTGTAATCCCAGCACTTTGGGAGGCCAACGCGGGCAGATCACCTGAGGACAGGAATTCAAGACCAGCCTGGCCAGCATGGTGAAACCTCATCTCTACTAAAAATACAAAAATTAGCCGGGCATGATGGTGAGTTCCTGTAATCCCAGCAACTTGGGAGGTTGAGGCAGGAGAATCACTTGAACCCGGGAGGCGGAGGTTGCAGTGAGCTGAGGTTGTGCCACTGCATTCCAGCCTGGGCAACAGAGCAAGACTCTGTTTCAAAAAAAAAAAAAAATACCATCGTTAGTGGCAGTCCTACAGACCCTAAGTGACAGTGGAGTTTGACACCTGTTGTTGTATCAATGGATTGCAATACAGGTTTTCCTCCACTAGATGTCGGTGTACATTACCAGGAACGTTACTGTAAAAGTAACTTTTTCCTAGAGAAAAGCATATGTTTCCTCCTTAACGTGCCAGTAGAGAATAACTTTAGGCTTAGGCCATTTTTACTACTTGCAGTATGATTGGGAGAAATACATTATTGGGTGGCTAAAATAACTTTAGCGTTAATTTTGACTTTTTTTAATTATTAAATTTTTTATGACTTTCACAGACTCTCTTACAACACACTTAAACTTTTAGACTTGTCCTAAACATTCTTCCTTTAAACAACCAGTTATTTTCTTTTAGGACAAGTATTCACCATACAAAATCCTTTTTTATGTAAATGTTTTTATAACCTTTTTATAGCTTACAGTGCATTATATCACCAACCTTTGGTAAAAAGTTTTATTACACTTAATGCTAGTAAAACTTTAATGCTTGCTTTTTATTCGTTACTATTACTTCTGCTATAAGCAAAACAACCTTGATTAAATTTTTTCTGCAATTATTAATTTTGTTATAAGGATGATAATCAGGCAAAATATTACCACAATTACAATTTTACAACCAGAATTCTACATTGTGGGTGCCACAGAGTATAGTTTCATTGCAAATAGCAGTGTGACTACAACAATTTTCACAAGAATGGCTTTTTTTTTTTTCTGGCCAGTAATTTTTGTTTAAAACTTTACTTGCTGGCCGGGTGTGGTGGCTCACACCTGTAATCCCAGCACTTTGGGAGGCCCAGGCGGGTGGATCACGAGGTCAGGAGATCGAGACCATCCTGGCTAACATGGTGAAACCCCGTCTCTCTAAAAATACACAAAATGAGCCAGGCGTGGTGGCGGGCGCCTGTAGTCCCAGCTACTCGGGAGGCTGAGGCAGGAGAATGGTGTGAACTCGGGAGGCGGAGCTTGCAGTGAGCTGAGATTGCACCACTGCACTCCAGGCTGGGCAACAGAGCGAGACTCTGTCTCAAAAAAAAAAAAAAAAAAAAAAAAAAAAAAAAAAAACTTGCCAAGATATAACATTTTCCTTTGGGGATTCAGAAAGTTACAAATGTGATTTTATGAATATTTAAATTTTGCTGCAAATAAGTGTTAAAAAGAAGTTTTAATATTTGGCCGTGAACTTTGTGAGAAAAGGTTAGAAATAATAAAACATATTTGGTGGGTAGGAGTGGGACTGAGTAAGATGTGTAGCCCTTACTTAGTTACTTATCTTCTATGATTTTTAGCTTAAGATCTTCTATTTTTTTACATTAATATTTAGCTTTTTTTTTTTTTTTTTTTTTTTTTTTTTTTTTTACTGTTAGGGGTTGGTTTTTTAGCTTTTTGGCTTTGACTTGAGTGTGATGCATGTAGAAGTTGATTCCTGTAACTTTTACTGCCGAGGAGGTTGAAAGACGAACAGTGTAGGGCCCTTTTTAGCTTGGCTTAGGGAAGGAGACAGAGATGAGAGTTCTTACTAATACTAAATTTCCTGAGTTAAATAAAGGTGGTTTTATTTCCTAGGGCTGGGCTTCTGCTATTGTGTCAATTTTTGTTGGAAGTGAGCTAGAGAGGTTACGTGGTTAACCATTCTAGAGGTTTCCCGTCTGAAAACAATGTTTGAGCCCATTGATAAGTTTTATTTTTTCCTGAGTGAAAAGCTTAGGACTTCAAGAACTTTCTGTTGGCTGGAGGCTGACCAATAAATTTGCCATCCTGACTGTAGCCATCCTGAGGGCTGAAAAGTATGCCCTTGAGAAGTGGCTTATTCTATTTTTTCAGGGGAATACTGAGGTGTGATTTCTCTTATGGAGCCTTTTTAGATTAGAAGGGGCTTGAAGTGCATTAAGGCCTTGAAGCTTTTATGCCTTTGACTTAGCTGCCCGATTGGCTAACTTATTTCCTTTGGCTACCTTATTGTTTATTCTTTGATGTTTCTTACAATGCATCCCTGCTACTTTTTGTGGAAGAAAAAATAAGAATAACTTGCTAATTTTTTGGTGATTTTTTATAGGAGATTTATTAGCAGTAAGAACATGTTTTTTTGTTTTAAATGGCAGCATGAGCATGGAGAACCAAGAAAGCATACTTGGAGTTAGTGTAAATGTTAGCTGCCTTTTCCTTGCTTAATTTAAGTGCTTTTTAAAGAGCTATTAACTCAGCTAATTGAGTGTTTGTGCCTGGAGAGAGTGACTACTGCTTATTCTGCCTTATTTACTTTTTGCTTTACGGGCTGTTTACCAGCTAAGAGCTCCCCCTAGAGGACAGTGATTCTGCTACATTATGTGGGCTGTAAACAGTTAAATTATTTTTATTTTCTAGGGTTAACTTGCAGGCTTTTCTGACTAGTAGAGCTATCATGACAATGGCTTCAATGGCTTGAAAGCATGTTTTTTTGATTTTTTGTTTGTTTGTTTGTTTGTTTTAGATGGAGTTTCACTCTTGTTGCCCAGGCTGGAGTGCAATAGAGCGATCTCGGCTCACTGCAACCTCTGCCTCTTGGGTTCATGCAATTCTCCTGCCTCAGCCTCCCAAGTAGCTTGGATTACAGGCATGTGCCACCACACCTGGCTAATTTTTTGTATTTTTAGTAGAGATGAGGTTTCTCCATGTTGGCCAGACTGGTCTTGAACTCCCAACCTCAGGTGATCCACCCACGTCAGTCTCCCAAAGTGCTGGGACTACAGGCGTGAGCCACCGTGCCTGACCGAAAGCATGTTTTAACTAAGATTGAGAAAATATTGGATTAGACTTTTTCCTAAGATGCCCCTTACGGTTGTGATGAAGGAAGAAGGGAGGCCTGGATTAGAGAATAGAAAAGAGAGAGAGACTAGCTTTAGTGTTTAGAAGGAGGTCTACTTTCCTTCCTTTAATTTCCAGAATTATCCAGGGCTCTTGTGCTATAATGGCAGTTTGAGCTACTGGAGCCTAGGTTCAAGCACCAGGATCCATCAGTTTTGCTGGACCATCTGTGAGACTGGTTTTGAACTCAGTGACCTCCATGTCTGGGGGCAGTTCTGTTTTCAGTGGTTTTTGCCACAGGCTGGACAGAGTGGAGGTTGCTTCATTTTGCTGACTGGACATTCTGGCCTGCTACACTAATAGCAACTAGAGGATGCATCTTGGTGATCTGGGACTTTGCGAGCCTTCAAAGCTGCTGCTAGAGACTTTGTCCTTCTCCTGAGCTTTTTTTCTTTCTTTTGGGACTCCTCCTGGTCCATATTATAAAAGACCAAAGTGGCCACCTTCAGGAGGTTTTTTAAGGTGCTATTTGGTCCTGTAGCTTTCTTTTGTAGTTTTTTTTTTTTTTTTTAATATTGGGAGCTGCCTGTGTAATAAATTTGTCCCTCAGGATGAGCTGTTACTTAACTGGATTAGAGAATAAAAAGATATACTTTTTTAGTGCCTCTTTTAGCCTTTTTATAAAGGCTACAAGATTTTTATTTGGCTTTTGTTCCATTATAGACAGTTTAGAGTAATTGAGAGGTTTGGCCCTGGTTTTCTGTAGGCCTTTAAAAATGCATATTAAAAAGGGCTTTTTCATTCATTTGGGTCACCATGATGTTTTGAATACATGGTGTTGTCTGGAGGTGGCCATCACACTTGGCACAGGTGGTAACAAAGAGAAGACAGTAGGAATCACCATATTGAGTGAACCCAGTTTTTAATGGTTGGCATTTGCACATTAAAGCTTGCTGGCCGGGCCATTTAAGCTGTCATTTCTGTTAGAAAAGAGATGGTTCAGGGATTGTTCCTTATTACTGGAAAATTTCCACCAAGAACCTTTACCCTTACTATCTGCCTAAAACAATTTCTTAGTAACTCCTGTATTACCAGGAGGTCACTGGGGGAACAACAGCTTGGGGTAAACACTCTATGAGGCATAGCACCTGTAGGTCCCCGCATGGGCTGAGGTCGCAGGACTCATGGAGAATTCAACCTCTACCACAGAGTAGGGTACTTTGATATTAGATACGAGGGTGGGGTCTTGTCAGCTGCATCCTCCTCAGATAGAAGGAAAGTGTCTGTCCACCCAGCTTTGCATCTGACACAGCAGGGCCATGTTCTCTCCTGAGACCACAGTGGGGCCTGGTTGCACCAAGAGGGAGGCTGTCTCACGGATCTGTCCTGGAGAGAAGAAGGATGGGTGAGGAGCCGCCCCACCTTGTTCTGAGCTGAGACTTCCCCAGGCCTCTCTCTGGGACCCTCAGTATCTCTGTCTCTGTTTTCTCTGAGTTTCCCCGTCCCCGCCCAATCCATCCTCTCTCTCTCTCTGCCTCTCCCTCCCTTGAGACCCCCACCCCTCATCCCAACCATCACCACCTAGGCTCCCCTGGCAGGGCCTGTACAGAGCCTGGGTCCCTAACTGAACCCGCTGGGCTTCTCACCTGCGATCAGGATGTCCAGGGGGGTCACTGGGGGCTGACCACCTAGAGGAGAGGTTGTGTCCACTGAACATCTGTACTGGCCCCCATGGGAGATGCTCACAGGGCCTAAGGGGAAGTCATCTTGGGAGAACTTCTGGCCAGAACTCTGGGGAAGGTGATGTATCTTTTTCTTGGACAGAGAGAATATTTTGCAGCCAACATCAGAGCAACACAGGAGGGTCAACCTCTCTCCATGGGCCATGACAGGACCCTGTGGAGTCAAATGGGAGGGCTCCCTAGGCACACCTGGAGTGTGCGAGGAGCTGGGACTCAGAGGGCTGGTTCCTTCCAAGCCTCTTCTTTCACCAGGTTGCCTCCAGGTATGGTCAGAATCTAGTGAGCTGCTGGAGCTCTTGGTCTCAGGTGCTAAAGTCTGCTAAACCAGACTGGTAAACCTCCACCTGTGGCTAGAAGTCATGGGGTCTGCCAGGATCAGGGCTTGGAACTGTCCATCGGACTGTTTTTCGGGGTCCAGGAGACAGAATAGCTTGTGTTCACCTTCCACGGTCAGAATGAACCTGTCAAATCCCAGCCGTGAAGGACATAATGGTGTCACCTTACCTCCTGAGGTCAGGACAGGGCTGGGCTGAGCTGAGAGGGTGGATTTGCTGTAGAATCCTAGGACAGAAGGAAGCACCATGTTAAATGGGGCTCACACCTTCCACATCATACCCCAGGGCTGGGCTGTGAGAAGGGAGACACCCCCTGAGAGCTGAACCCCTTCCTGAATGCAGTGCCTGGGGCTGGGATCCCTGAGTGTCCTCTCATCTGTCACCACCAGTTCCAGGCGGTCACTGGGTTCTGACAAGCCTGCAGGGCTGAGAAAGTGACAGCGATATCACTGTGCATAGTGCAGAAATGCAGGGAAATAGGGGAAGAAAACATAACTCCTCCACTGACCCTGGGTCGTGGGTATTCTTTCTACCAAACAATTCTCTGCTTGGGCTTCCCTTTTTTTGTTACTATTTTCTAACAGTCTCCTCCACATCTCCCTGGATACAGCACTTGATTCATTTCTGCCTCCTCAGTGCCCCTTGTCTAGTTCTCAGAACCTTCCTCCTCCTCTTTCCATGGTCCTGCCCTGAAGCCTTAGGGACATTGGGTGGGTTAGCACTCCAACTTTGAAAGGAAAGCTAATCTTTATTTAAATAATCATCTGTCATCCACTGTCTGTGGCCAGGACTTAGCAGCAAATACATCTGGTGCCTTCCTCAGTTGGACCCTTTCCAATGAGGCTGACTGAGGGCTGAGCACACAAGTGCATGAGAAGTGCTAATAGTTCAGCCAGAGTGCAATTAGAACCTGCCCTTTCTGTAGGAGGAGGATGGAAGAATCCTTGCTCAAAAGTATATGCTCTCACTTCTTCTATTCAGCATAGTAATAGAAGTCCTAGACACAGCAATTAGGCAATAAAAATACACAAAAGCACCCAAATCAGATAAAAAGTGATATTGTCTCTGTTTGCTGACATGATTTTATATATAAAAATCTCTAAAGACTCAACCAAACAACTTTTAGAACTGATCCACGAATTTAGTAGAGTTGCAGGATACAAAATCAACATGCAGAAATTGGTAGCATCTCTATATACTAAAAACAAACTATCCAGAAAGAAATCGAAAGAAAAATTACACTTATAATAGCTAAAAAATTACTTAGAATTAAATTTAACCAAGGAGGTTTAATATCTCTGCACTAAAATCTTTATAACATTGATGAATGAAATTGAACAAGACGCATATAAATGGGAAGGTAGCTTATGTTCATGGTCTGCAAGAATTAACATTGTTAAAATGTTCGTATAACAATGAGAACACATGGACACAGGGAGGGGAACAACACACACTGGGGCTTGTAGTGGGAGGGCGGATGATGAAGGGAGGGAGAGCATCAGGAAAAAGAGCTAATGCATGCTGGGCTTAATAACTAGGTAATGGGTTGATAGGTGCAGCAAACCACCATGGCACAAGCCTACCTATGTAACAAAGCTGCAGGTCCTGTACATGTGCCCTGGAACTTTAAAAAAAAGTTCATACCTGCAGACTCAATGCAATTCCTAACAAAATTCCAAGGTCGTTTTCCACAGAAATAGAAAAACAATCCTAAAATTTGAATGGGACTACAAAAGGACCCCAAATAGCCAAAACAATCTTGAGCAAAGGGAAGAAGGGGATATCACACTATGGAATCCCCAAATATCCTACAAAGCTACAGCCAGGAAGACATCATGGAACTGGAATAGAAACAGGTACAGTGATCAGTGCAACAGGGATGAAAGCAAAGAAGGAAACACACATATTTATGGTGAATTGATCCTCAACAAAGTTTCCAAGAACAAGAGAGGGCAGTCCTTTTGAATAAATGGTCCTAGGAGAACTGAGTCTCCATGGAGTGTGGAGGTCTGGGTCCTCCCTGGGCTAGTGGATGGCCAGAGCAGTATACACACTCGGCTCAGCTGAACGTCCCCTTTCCTGGGAGGAAGAAGGCTTCATTATTTTCTGTTTGAGGGTAAGCTGTGCAGCTGGGCATAGGACACATCCTGGGGATATTCATATGAAGAAGAATGAAATTGAACCCTTATCCCATATACAAAAATGGGTGGGAGAAAAGCTTCAAGACGTTGGTCCGGGCAAGGTTTTTTTGGATATGGCCCTGAAAACACAAGCAACAAAAGCAAAAATAGACAAAAGGTGTGGCTTCTAAACAGCTTCTGCAAACAGAATGAAGAGACAACTCAGAAATGGGAGAAAATAGTTGCAAGCTGTATACCTGATAAAGGGTTAATATGCAAAAATATGTAAGGAACTAAAACAAAGCAACAGCAAGAAACCAAAAACTACTTGAAACATGGGCAAAGTAGCTGAACAGGCATTTCTCAAAAGAAGACATACAAATGGTCAGCAGCTATATGAAAAGGTGCTCAGACAAAAGCTTTGTCTATTGAGATGATAATTTTTCATTCCTTTTGTTAAAATACTGAATTACATTGATTGAGTTTTTGAAAATTAAGCTATCCTTGCTTTTCATAAACAAAATCAAAGGATAACAAAAAACCAGTGTGGTCATGATATACTGTCTATTTTATAGAGACATGAATCTTACTTGTTAATATTTGTTAAGGGATTTATATTTCTGTGAGAGATCTTCTATGACTTTCCCATTCTGTAGTTTCCTTTTCAGGTTTTGGTATCAACTTGTTCCTAGTCTGATCAAATGTATTTGTGTAAATATATACAAAATATTCTCAGGGAAAATTTATGCAAGTTTGTGTGTGTGTGTGTCTGTGTGTTTCATGAGTGCATAAGAGTTTGAAAAAACCACCAACAAACCTTGCTGAAGTGGCATTTACTTTGTGGGAACATTTTTGATTACAGGATCAATGCATTTTATATATGTTTATGTATGATGATTCAGTTTTTCTATTTATCCTTATGTTCATTAAGTAAACTGTAATTTTTCGTATTTCATCTATCTCATCTACATTTTCTGTTATGTCAGCATAGAATTGCTGACAGTTTTCTTTCACCTCTGTAAAGCTGTGTGTAGGGTCTGTAGTGCTGCCTCCTATTTTGTTCCTGTATGGAAATGGATGCCTGCTCTTTTTTCATTTTTATTTTTCTCATTGTGGCCAAGATTCATGTATCATTAATGTTTTCAAGAATAAACATTTTGACTTTATTAATTTTTCTCTATTTTTTGTTTGTCCTCATTAGAAGCTCCCATTTTCCCATGTCATTGGTTTGATGTGTAATATTTACATGATCATTCAATTTAAAACATTGTCTGACTTCTGTTTTGTTTTATCAGTTAACTCATTGTGAATTGAGAGGTCTGCTACTTTATTTTGATAATGCAGGGATATTATTTATCTTTGCAGAATCAGGTGACTCCCAACGTTCCCGGAATCTTCTAGTGGTCTGTGTCAGGGGTCTGGGCTGGCTGGGGTTCAGTGATGTCTACTGGAGGCAGCTTCCATGCCTTCTGGGGTCCTGAGTCTCCATGGCTTGTGGGGTCTGGGTCCCCCCTGGATTAGTGGATGGCCAGAGTGGCATAGACACTGGGCTCAGCTGGAGAGGCCCCTTCCTGGGATGGAGGAGGCTCAGTTGCCTTCTGTCTGAGGGTAAAGCTGTGCAGCTGGGCGTAGGTCACATCCTGGGGGGCTTCAGATGCAGCAGCCTGCAGCGGGGGAGAGTGAGAGGGAAGGAACGTGGTGGGGGTGGGGGAGGCCTGGGGGCCTGGAGAGGAAAGGACTCACCTCAGTGTCCATCTGTCTGTCCTCTTCTGCCTGTCTGTCCTTTGTGTCCAGGAATTCCCCAGACAGTGGGGAGGGAGGAGAGGCCATTTCTCTCCTAGGTCTGGAGTGTTTCACCTTGGCATACGTCACTGCCTGGGGGTCTTCATCGTGTGGGCTCTGCTGGAGAGAGACAGTGGTGGGGGGTGTCCTTGAATCCTCCTGACTCCCTGGAGTCAATTTTCCCCACTGTTCCCAGGGTGATCCGATTACATCCCTTTCCTGACGGAATCTCAGGGACGCCCTAAGGCCGTGGAGGGTCTGGCCGCTCCCTCCCTGTGGTTCTGGCCTCTGCTCCTCACTCTGACCTTGCCCATTTGGCTGCAGCCTCACGCGGCCTTCCTGCAAGAGCTCGCTGCTGCCTCGGGGCCTTTGCACGGCTGTTTCCTCTGCCTGCAGGGGCTCGTCCATTAGAGGATCACGTGGCCCTCTCCGTCCAGGCTTCTCAGATGACAGCTGAGCAGACAGCCCTCCCTTTCCATTCAGACTGGCCCCACTGCCCCACACTCTCTGCCCTTTACCTGGTTTATGTTCCTTACAGCACGTTGCACTCCTGGACACGATGCATTTATTTGCATTTTGTCTCCCACCACGAGGTGAGCTCAGGAGGCGGGGGCGGCTTTGCTCCCTGCTGTGTCTGCAGCTCCCATGGGGAGCCCCATCCACAGTGAGCTCCCTGGGAACACTCACTAGATGAATGAATGAAGGGGAGCCCAGGGGACTGGAGTGGTTCATTTATTCGTCATCCTCCTGAGGCCTGGGGAGCTCTCTAACAACCAGATGGCCAAACAGAGGATGAGGAGCAGGAAGGGGACCCGGGAGGAGGCCCATGAGGTCCCAGGACAGCAGGAGAGAGTGAGGTCCCAGCAGGCAGGAGGCAGCGTGCTGGACAAGGAGGGGTCCACCGTGACGATGCTGAGAGCCGGGGGAAGGAGGACAGAGAAGTCCTGCAGGATTAGATCTGGCACCAGGAGGCCTTTGGTGCCGGGGACAGGGGCGGGTTCTCACCCGAGTGTCCATTTCCACCCCGTCCTCAGGCTGTGTGTTCTTCACGGCAGCACCTGCTGGGGTAGAGCAAGGGGTTCATCTCCTGGGAAGGTTCCCTGGGACCTCTCATTCCTGCTGGTCCCTGCCCTGTTCCCATTAGTGCCACTGCAACGCAGGGAGGGGCTGTGATGTCCCCGAGGTCCCACAATGTGGGTTCAGACCACTTCTCCCTGAGTCCCTGACCAATCCTAGCCTGTGCTCCTGCCCCCATTGCTATTGAAATTTTGGGACCCCCAGCTCCACCCCAGGTGCACCTTCTCTGCCTCTCACTCACAGAAGTTTTCTCCCTGGACGTCAGCAGCTGGGCTGGACCTGGGGGAGGATACGGGAGTGTAAGGGGACAGTGAGGTGGCTGTTGGGATGGGTGGGAGTCTGAGGTCTTTGGGCAGAATTACCTCCTCTGTAGGCCCCCGTCCTTGGGCTCTGGCTCGGCAGCCCCTGGAGGACGTTGGAAATCAGCCTGTCTCTGGGCTGGGGGAAGATGGACAGAGTCTCAGCTCTGGGAACGTTAGAACCACCTGCCTTGCACATGCAAGTCAAGAGGAAAGGAAACCTGAAAATACACTTGCAAGGATGTTTTAAATACTTTCTAAGTTTAGAAAAACCGAAAGAATAAAGCACTTCCATTACTCCCTCATTCATTTTCTTCTTTCTAGATTTTCTCACTGGGAATTTCTGGAGCAGAGTTTCTAAGATGACCTCTCCTATCTGGAGTCCCTTTGGCTGGTGCCCTGAGCCCACCCTCCATCAGCCCACGGGTCCCCCAATTTCCTACTTACCCAATGTCCTGTGTTTTCCCTGACGCCAGTGTTGGAGGAGGAGGAAGAGGAGGAGGGAGAGAAGCAGGATGGAGACCACCAAGACCCCGATCAGTACCTCCCAGTGCCTTCTCAGACCTTGGGCGTGATGACATCAGGAATGGGGATGATGTCATTGATGTGCACACCTACTGTGTGTGCACCTACTGTGTGTGCTGGGTCTTTCTTTCATTACCTCCAACCCTCACAGCAGTTGTGCAACCTGAGATTGCCACCCTCTCTCCACCCATTTCACAGATGCACAAACTGAGGCTCAGAGAGGGGAATCGCCTGCCCCAGACCCCTCCAGCCAGGAAGCGGCAGAGCTGGGAAGGAAACCCGGGAGTCTGAGCTGCAGCCCTTGTTCCTGCACCAGAGCCAAGCCCCAGAGTTGCAGGGAAAGAGCCTGACTGTCTTGAACCACCGCCCTGCTCCCCTCCCCTGCCCCAGGTCACCGTCTCTGCTGCAGGTGGGACCGGACAGGCCCCTGCGGAATCGGGTCTGGGAGGTTCCCTGGGAGGCCTCCTCTCCCAGGAGGGCACAGCTGGGAGTCAGAGCTGAAAGGAACTTTCCCACCCGCAGGCCTCTCTCCTTTACACTTGGAGAAACTGAGGCCCATGCAGGGGAGGGGCCTGTCCACATCACCACCTCCAGAGGAGCCTTAACCTAGGACAGAACCCACCCTTGGCTCCCCTAGACCCTGCCCACCTCCCACTCAGAGCCCCTCACTCACCACTGTGGGGGACTGACCCTGTAGGCATGAGGGGCTGGTCCTCAGGGCCTGCTGGGTTAGAACAGGGATGTGAGGGCTGGGGCTGCCCTGCTCCCCGCATCAGCTCGGCTTCTCCCCGCAACATCTCCTTCAGCCTTGACCCCCTCACCCCTCACCAGCCCAGCCTCAGGGCCTTGGGAGCCTGTGGTGCCTCCCAAGTCGCTGCCCGACTCCCACACCCGTGGAAGCAAGCCCAGCTGAGAATTGGAACGAGGACTTAGATCCACTGAGCATGTCTTGAGACAGGCCTCGGGCTTTGGAAACTCTCTGGACAGAGGCCTCTGAGACTCACCAGCTGTTGAGACGGACCTTGTGGGTGAGGGCCTGGGATCCTCCAAGGATCCTGGGTAGAAGGACAAGAGGAGGGTGAGAGTCTGGGGTTGCCCTTGGGTCTCCACATCAAATTGAACCTCTCCCTATATCTGCCCTGCAGCTTCCCAAGGACCATTTCTCTGTCCACCTGGCACCTTCTGGACCCTAGGTGAGGGAGAAGAGCATGGGCATGCCTGGGAGGGCCCCTGTTGTCCTCCTCCCCTCTGAGGGCTGAGTCCCCCACTGGCTGAGCCCCTCTCCCTCCATCCCTGCCCAGAGCTCTCCTGGCAGCAGGGCATGAACGGAGCCACTGAGCTCAGAGAGGACAGGGTCAGGAGCCTCACCTGAGACTATGAGCTCCAGGGGGTCACTGGGGTGTGACAGCAGGTAGTGGGAGAAGCCGTGTGAGCTGAAGCACCTGTAGGTCCCCCCGTGCACTGAGGTCACAGGACTCATGGGGAATTCAGCCTGGTGCTGCTGAGCTCCGTGCTCTGATCTCAGATGCAGTAGGGGATGGGCTGCCCGCTCCTTGATCAGAAGGAAAGTGTCCATTGGGCTCCGTGACTGACACAGCAGGGTCACGCTCTTTCCTGAGGTCACAAGAGGACTCGGCAGGGCTGAAAGGGTGGGTTTACTGTAGGCTCCTAGGAGAGAAGGAGGCACCGTGTTAAATGGGGCTCCCACATCATCCCCAGGGCTGGGCTGTGAGAGGGAGATGCCCCTGAGAGCTGACCCCCTTCCTGAGGGCAGAGCCTGGGGCTGGGACCCCTGAGTGTCCTCTCACCTGTCATCACCAGCTCCAGGGGGTCACTGGGCTGTGACCAGCCTACAGGGCTGCGATAGTAACAGCGGTATCTCCCTGCATAGTCCTCTGTCATGGATGGGATGGAGAATCTGGCCTTGTTCTTGGGCTCCAGTGGGTTCTGTCTGTCCCAGGGTGCTGGGCTTTCCTCTTTATCCAGACGGTACTCCCGAGCCTCCAGGGTCCCCTGACACCAGATGGTCACAGAGTTCCCCCAGCTGATCACAGAGCCTGGCTCAGCCCAGAGGGTGGGTTTGGGGAGGGGCCCTGGAAGAAAATCAGAGGCTGGATCCCAAGACCTTCCTCAGCCCTCAGATCCCAGCTCTCAGCCCCAGGACCCCCCCGTCATCCTCATCAGTCACCCAGAACTGCTGTCTCCTCCCCCAGCTGCCCATGGGTGGCCCCTTGTCCCAGTGAGGAGGAGGGACCTGGGACAGCTGGGGACAGACTCACCTGCCTGCATGTGGGTCCTGGGGCCCAGACTCAGCCCTGGAAGAGAGTTCCCTGTGAGGGATTTGCCCCGGAAGCCTGAGCAGGTCCTCTCTTTACCCTGAGATTTTTTTTTTTTTTTTTTTTTTTTTTTGAGACGGAGTCTCGCTGTCACCCAGGCTGGAGTGCGGTGGTGCGATCTTGGCTCACTGCAAGCTCCGCCTCCCGGGTTCACGCCATTCTCCTGCCTCAGCCTCCCGAGTGGCTGGGACCACAGGCGCCTGCAACCACCCCCGGCTAATTTTTTGTATTTTTAGTAGAGACAGGGTTTCACCGTGTTAGCCAGGATGGTCTCGATCTCCTGACCTCGTGATCCGCCCGCCTCGGCCTCCCAAAGTGCTGGGATTACAGGCGTGAGCCACCGCGCCCGGCTACCCTGAGATTTTTGAGTCTCCTAAAGAACCAGGGCCTGGCTGTGAGGCAAATTTCCTCCAAGACTCGGGTCTCCCCTCCCCCTCTTTAAATCTCACCGAGGCAGAGCAGAGCCGTGAAGGTGGGGATCATGGCGTCTCCTCCCAGGGGCCCCAGCTGTGCAGATGGATGAGTCCTCAGTGCCGGCAGGACAAAGAGACACACAGGGTGTGGCCGCTTGGAGGCTGGGTCCTTCTCGTCATGGGGTTGTTCCATCAGCAGCCCACAGGAAGGGAAACTGCCCTCATTTGAACCCCAGCCTGGCTTTCATTTCCCCAGAGCTAGGGCTGAGGCAGGCACCAGGTTCTCTGCAGACATTTCAGACAGAAATGGGGTCTCTCTGATCCCAGCCTGCTGTCTGCCTGGTCTTAATTCCTCTCTTGACCAAACATCAACCCGTATGTATCGTGTGTTTGCAAAGCGCCTGACACTGGGGGTACATCATTGAACAAGTGAAAAAAAAAAAAAAACCAAAAACCTGCATTTTCAGGGTACAGATGAACCATAAAGCTTCCTTTTGCTGCCATAACAAATCACCACAAGCTTAGTGGCTTCACATAATGTAGGTTTATTGACTTACCGTCCCGGAGGTCACAAGTCCAAAATGGGTCTCCCTGGGCTAAAATGAAGCTGCTATCAGAGCCGTGTCCTCCTGGAGGCTCCAAGGAGAATCTGTTCCCTCGCCTGTTCAAGCCTCTGCAGGCTCCCGCATTCCTGCCTCTCCATTCCCTCCAACCTCAAAGCCACCAGTCCCGTTATCTGCCCCCTGCTTGCATGCACTCACCTCCTTCTCTCACTCTGACCCTCCTGCCTTCCTCTTTCACTTACTCAGCCCCTTGTGATTACATCAGGCCCACCTGGGTAATCTCCCCAACCCAAGATCCTTGACTTAATCACATCTGCAAAGTCCCTTTTGCCACATAAGCTTCCCCAACTCACAGGGTCTGGGCCTCAGGAGGTGGACATCTCTGGGAGGTCACTATTCTGCCTCCCACAGGCCTTCAGGGACTCCTTTAACCAAATCTCACATAGAGCACTTCTCTGCGATGACGGAGAGTGGCTGGGCACGCCAGTCGAATGCTTGGTGGGCCAGTACGCAGCCAGGTCATGGTCGGCTACTCATGTCCCATGGGACCTGCCCACTTGAGGCCAAACATTCCATCTCCACCAGAGCCCGGTAGACATCTAAAAACTGTGTCGCAAAACAAAACTCATTCTCTGCAGCGCTAGCACGATGTAGCTCCAAAATATATATATATATTTTTTCTTTTCTGAGATGCAGTCTCACTCTGTCGCCCAGGCTAGAGTGCTGTGGTGTGATCTCAGCTCACTGCAACCTCCGCCTCCTGGGTTCAGGAGACTCTCCTGCTTTAGCCTCCTGTGTAGCTGGGATTACAGGCACCCGCCACCACTCACAGCTAATTTTTGTATTTTTAATAGAGATGGGGTTTCACCATGTTGGCCAGGCCGGTCTCGAACTCCTGACCTCTGGTGATCCGCCCATCTCAGCCTCTCAAAGTTGCTGGGGTTACAGGCATGAGCCACCACGCCCAGCCAAGCATAGATTTTAAATGTTTTCACAGATGTTAGTATGCGGAGTGATGGACATGTTAACTGTCTTGATTCCATCATTCCACAGTGTATACATTTATAACACATTGTACCCCATAAATATATATAGTTGGTGAATTAAATATTTAGTAAAATTATTTTGAAAAGGAAAAAAGCCATAAATACATAACAAGCAAGCAAAAAGGCCAGATAGCTTCAACCCTTAGATCACTGCCTGTGTAAAACACTTCAGGTGGCCAGCTCTCAATAATCATCCATTTGAGTGGGCACGTCCTGCAATGATCTGGAATTGTAGTCTGTCCTAGATGGTGACTAACCATTTTCTGTCTCTGTTCTTCTTAAAAGGATGAGAGGACCTTCTAACTTTAGAACTGAAACATAGGGTGGGAGGGGAAAGAGGAAGCAGAAAAAACAAACCCCAAATTAATTGTATCTAACGGTCAGGAAGGCAAAGAAGGAGAGGCTTGCAGGAGGCTGAAAGTCAAAGTGCCGGGAAACGCATGAACACCACTGCCCTCAGGTTTCCAAGCACCTGCTTTTAGTACCTCATTCCGTATCCTTTTGGGTCACTCTCAGAATCACGGGACAGTATCTCATTTCGAGGATTTCCATGTGTCTCTCCACATTTGTGTGTAAGGACCTTATTGGAAGCTATTTCAGCCAAAGCTTGATGCGTCTGACAGTGGCTGGGGAAAAAGAAACTCCCAGAAATGGGGGCTAGAAAGCCATACACATATTGGCGAGTATCTCCTGTTTTGGCGGGAAGTTCTGGATGATGGTCTGCACATTATCAGAGATCCTGGTGTGGACCTGTCCATATTACCTGCTGTAGTGGTGTCCGCAATGCATGCTGATTTCAGGAATTCCTCTCCTTCTCTCTTTCATAAGGGAACCCTATTCCCTTAAACTTGGTTCCCAAATCAGTTACCTGCGCTCATATCCTTGTCTTAAGTCCTGCTTTCAGAGTAACCTGTGCTAGGCAAGGACTGGGAAATGCCAGGAGGTTTTTCGATGTCATCACCCCTTTTCTAACCGCTCAACATGCCTTGCCTTTACCAGTCCTGGACTTCTTGTATTTTGCTTCTTTTTTTTTTTTTTTTTTGTGACAGGGTGACACTCTGTCATCCAGGCTGGAGTGCAGTGGTGCAATCTTGGCTTACTGCAACCTCGGCCTCCTGGGTTCAAACAATTCTCCTAACTCAGCCTCCCGAGTAGCTGAGAGCTGAGATTACAGGCAGCTGCCACCACACCCGGCTAACTTTTGTATTTTTAGTAGAGATGGGGTTTCACCATGTTGGCCAGGCTGGTTTCGAACTCCTGACCTCAGGTGATCTGCCCGCCTTGGCCTCCCAAAGTGCTGGGATTACAGGCGTGAGCCACCGCGCCCGGCCTCATTTTGCTTTTGTATTCGTGCACTCACCACTCAGTAAATCTTATCCATCCTCACTTAAGAAACATTTAAACATGTCAACCTGTGGCCATCCCAGGACACAAGAGATAAAGGCGAGCAAAGCAGATATACTGGATTCACAGTAACCCAGACTTCATTTCAAATTACCTCCCCTCCTAGAAAATCTAGCATCCTAGCAAAAATTAAGTTGATAAAATCACTACGCAAAAAGTTTAGAGATAGGACCAGTCCCGGGAAGGAAAGATTTAACGCAATAGGACAGGATAAAAGAAATACCCACTGGGTCCTGCACTCACCACCTGGGTGCAATAGTTCCATGTAGCAAACCTGAGCATGTATCCTCGTATCTAAAATAAAAGTTGAAGTTCAAAAAATAAAGAAGAAAAACAGAAAGCAATTGAGATGGAGGGTGGTGAAGAAGCTGAAGGAGAGGTCAGATGGTGATGATGAATTGGTATTATCTGAATGAAGGGATGCCTGGAGGTGGAGAGAGAAGCATTGCAGGAGGTCCTGGTCATAGGTATTCAAACGGGTGGATCCTAAAGCCTTACAAGAAGTAAAAAGACCACAAGAGTCGTTCATTCATTTCCAAGTATATTTCACTCTAGAGTCAAGCTTTTGTGAGATACTGAAAACAGGACCTAGTTGGAATGAATCATAAATTTCCATCTTAACTTGGGGTCACGGGTGTTCTGTGATTCATAAGAACCCATGTTTCATTGTTTCGTTTTCTTTTTTTTTATTATTATACTTCAAGTTCTGGGATACATGTGCAGAACGTGCAGGTTTGTTACATAGGTATACACGTGCCATGGTATTTTGCTGCACCCATCAACCTGTTGTCTATATTAGGTATTTCTTCTAATGCTATCCCTCCCCCAGCCCCCCAGCCCGTGACAGGTGCCGGTGTGTGATTTTCCCCTCTTCGTGTCCATGTGTTCTCATTGCTCAACTCCCACCTATGAGTGAGGACACGTGATGTTTGGTTTTCTGTTCTCGTGTTAGTTTGCAGAGAATGATGGTTTTCAGCTTCATCTGTGTCCCTGCAAAGGACATGAACTCATCCTTTTTTGTGGCTGCATAGTATTCCATGGTGTATATGTGCCACATTTTCTTTATCCAGTCTATCATTGATGGGCATTTGGGTTGGCGTATTTGATTTTATCCAGGGTTCTACAGATGCCAAGGAAGGGGTGCAGCTCTACTTAAGTTTACCTCTTGGTCTCTCCTTGGGACCTCCTCTGACTGTGCCATGCCTGAAACACCAACCCCTCTGTCACCACCAGGATCAATTGCAACTGCTCCATGCACATGAGACTACTGCATAGTCTGGGAGCAGTTGGCCTGGGGACAGTGGGATTGGAAGACCATGGAGGGTAGGAGAGCTCGCAGTCCACACAGCAGCCAGAAGGGAGGATATTTCAACATTCTCAAATCAATAGATATGATATCTCATGTCAACAGAAGGAAGAACAAAAAACATATAATCATGGGCAGGCGCGGTGGTTCATGCCTGCAATCCCAGCACTTTGGGAGATTGAGATGGGTGGATCACTTGAGGTCAGGAGATCGAGATCAGCCTGGCCAACATGATGAAACCCCATCTCTCTCAAAAATGCAAAATATTAACTGGGTGTGGTGGTGTGCACCGGTAGTCCAGCTACTCGGGAGGCTGAGACAGGAGAATCTCTTGAACCCAGGAGGTGGAAGTTGCAGTGAGCCAAGATCGCGCCACTGCACTCCTGCCTGGGTGAAGGAGAGACCCTCTGTCTAAAAAAAAAAAAAAAAATTATATGATCATCACAATAGATGTTAAAAAAACATTTGACAAAATTCAACATCCCTTCATCATTAAAACTATCAACAAATTAGGCCTAGAAGAAACACACCTCAACAAAAAATCCCCAGATAATTCCATTAACAAGTATGCAAAGCATCTGAATAGTTGCTTCTCAAAAGAAAATGTACAGATGGCCAACAGCTATATAAAACACTAATCATCGGCCAAGCGCGGTGGCTCACACCTGTAATCCCAGCACTTTGGGAGGCCAAAGCAGGTGGATCACTTGAACCCAGGAGTTTGAGACCAGCCTGGGCAACATGGTGAAACCTCATCTCTACCAAAAATACAAAAAAAGAAAAAAAAACAGCTGGGCGTGGTGGCATACACCTGTAGTCCCATCTACTGAGGAGGCTGAGGCAGGAGGCTCACTTGAACCCAGTAGGCAGAGGTTGCAGTGAGCCAAGATCACACTACTGCACTCCAATCTGGGTGACAGAGCGAGACTTCATCTCAAAACACAAACAAACAAACAAAAACCCACAATCATCACTGGCATCAAATCGAAACTACAATGAGTATCATCTTATTTCAGTTAAAATGTCTATTATCAAAGAAACATATAAAAACATGCTGGGCTGGGCACAGTGGTTCACGCCTGTAATCTCAGCACTTTGGGAGGCCGAGGCAGGCGGATCACGAGGTCAGGAGTTTGAGACCAGCCTGGCCAACATGTTGAAACCCCGTCTCTACTAAAAAGACAAAAATTAGCCGGGCGTGGTGGCGCCCGCCTGTAATCAGGAGGCTCCTGCCACTCGGGAGGCTGAGGGAAGAGAATCGCTTGCACCCAGGAGCTGGAGGTTGCAGTGAGCTGAGATGGCACCACTGCACTCCAGCCTGGGCGACAGAGTGAGACTCCATCTAAACAAACAAACAAATAAATAAATAGATCAATAAAATAAAATAAAAACATGCTGGTGAGGATGTGCTGACAAAATAACTCTTAGACACTGTTGGTGGGAATATAAATTAGTACAGCCATTATGGAAAACATGGAGATTCCGGCCGGGCGCGGTGGCTCACACCTGTAATCCCAGCACTTTGGGAGGCCGAGGCGGGCGGATCACGAGGTCAGGAGATCAAGACCATCCTGGCCAACAGGGTGAAACCCTGTCTCTACTAAAAATACAAAAAATTAGCCAGGCGAGGTGGCAGGCACCTGTAGTCCCAGCTAGTCGGGAGGCTGAGGCAGGAGAATGGTGTGAACCCCGAGGGGCAGAGCCTACAGTGAGCCGAGATCACGCCACTGCACTCCAGCCTGGGCGACAGTGAGACTCTGTCTCAAAAAAAGAAAAAAAAAAAAAAACACGGAGATTCCTCAAGATACTGAAACTGCAATTATCGTAAAATCCAGTGAGTTCACTACTGAATATTCATGCAAAGGAAAAAAATCTCAGGACATCACAAGAGTCCCTGCACCCGTGTGTTTATTGCAGCACTCTTCACAAGTCAGCATACGGAATCAACCTAAGTGTCCATCAGTGGATAAAAGGGTAAAGAAAATGTGGTATGTATACACAATGGAAGAGGGGTCATCCATAAAAAAGAATGAAATCCTGACATTTACAGCAACATAGTTGGAACTGGAGGTCATTATGGTCAGTGAAATAAGCCAGGAACAGAAAGACAAATCTCGAATGTTCTCACTCATACGTGGGAGCTAAAGAAGTGGATTCCTAAACAGAGAGAGTAGACTGGTTGGCCAGGTGTGGTGGCTTGTGCCTGTAATCCCAGTGATTTGGGAGGCCAAGGCAGGTGGTTCACTTGAGGTCAGGAGTTCCAGACCAGCCTGGCCAATGTGGCAAAACCCCTTCTCTACGAAACATACAAAAATTAGTTGGGCGTGGTGGTGTGCACTGTGGTCCTAGCTACTCGGGAGTCTGAGGCAGGAGGATCGCTTGAGCCCTGGAGGGTTGAGGCTGCAGTGAGCCATGATTGTGTCACTGCATTCCAGCTTGGGCAACAGAGCAATACCTTGTCTCAAAAGAAAAAAAAAAGGCCGGGCGTGGTGGCTCATGCCTGTAATCCCAGCACTTTGGGAGGCTGAGGCGGGTGGATCACTTGAGGTCAAGAGTTCGAGACCATCCTGGCCAACATGGTGAAACCCTGTCTTTAGCCTGGCGTGGTGGCATGCATCTGTAATCCCAGCTACTCAGGAGGCTGAGGCAGGCGAATCTCTTGAACCCAGGAGGCAAAGGTTGCAGTGAGCCAAGATCACGCCACTGCATTCCATCCTGGGTGACACAGCAAGACTCTGTCTCAAAAAAAAAAAATGTGTAGACTGGTGGTTACTAGAGCTGGAAAGGGTGGGAGATAAGGAGATGTTAGTTACGGAGTATAGAAATACAGCTGGATAGGAGAAATAACTGAGTATTTGACAGTACAGTAGGGGAAGTATAGTTAACAATAATATATTGTGTATTTCAAAACAACTAGAATAAAAGAATTGTAATGCTCCCCAACAAAAAGAAAAGATAAATATTTGAGGTGATGGATATTCTAATTACCCTGATTTTATTATTACCCATTGCATACAAGTATCAAAATATCATAAGTACCCCAAACCTATATACAACTATTATATATGGATAAAAATAAATAAATGGAACTCTGGCACCAACTTTAAGGCATAACGTGTACAAATCCAGGGGATCTATTTAGGGCACTGGTTGTCCTGAGTGTGCTAATTTGATTGTGGCAATCATTACACAATGTATACGTATATCAAATCATCATGTTGTACACCTCAATATATACAATCTTGGTTGATTAAATCATTTTAAGGATAAAAAAGGATTTTTTAAAAAGATAAAAAGGAAAACACTGAACTTCTCTGTGGCTCTCCTTTTTCCCTGCTCAGCTTTGAATAACTGTGAAGGCAAAGACTGGATGCAGGTGACCTGTGCACCCTAGGACCTGGCGTGGGATTGCCAGACTTTAGGTCTTTAGGATTATTTGTTGATGTACAAAGGAAAGCATGGCCCAGAGAACTGGGCTCTGCTCTCAGTTGCATAAATATGGCCCATTCTTAAGGTCAGCAATTAAGCTCCAGGAAGATCCCTAGAGTCAGCTGAACAGAAAATTACAACAAAGTCTCTGGGGCAATTGGGGATTTCCAGGAGACATAGGAGCAGCTGGGGACTGCGTCAGTGATAATGAAATCAGCTGGGTGGATGTAGCCGGGTCTCTAGAAACAGCCAGCGGATGTAGCCGGGTCTCTGGAAACAGTCAGGTGGATGTAGCCGGGTCTCTGGAAACAGCCAGGTGGATGTAGCCGGGTCTCTGGAAACAGCCAGGTGGATGTAGCCGGGTCTCTAGAAACAGCTAGGTGCATGTAGCTGGGTCTCTGCAAACAGGCAGGCAGCTATGGGGGATTGGGGGTGGTCACTGGAAACAGCTAGATGACTGTAGCTGACTCTTTAGTAACAGCCGAATGTAACTAGGTCTCTGGAAAGTCACCTTGAGGACTGAGCTGGGAGATGGGAGGTGCCTCGTGGGAGCTTATGTCATGGGTAGAGGAGCACAGTTTATTGCCTGGCAGGGCGTACGTGTGGGAATAGATTCCCCGGCCTCTCTCTCCTCTCACCCTCTGCTCTCCTGACAGTGCCTCCCATGGCTGAACTCAACCAGACACTAGACACAAGAAGATGTTGGTGATGCAATCCATAGAGTCAGCCTCCAGGGCAGAGACAAGGTGGGAAAGGACAGAGGGTGTATTAGGAGAGGCCAGAACTTCCAGTGGGAACTGCTGCCACTGAACCGAGAAACCTAAATGTAAGGGGAGTAGTTGGATCCTAGAGTGGCAGGACTCAAGTGTCAGAAGTCAGTCGACAAAGGTGAGAATCTGGTGTGTTGAATTGGGTGTGGTTATCATAGAACTGGGTGTGGTGATCATAATGGAAAGCAGAATCAAGGCAGTAATCAGAATAGACTGTCTCATGCAGCCCTTTAGTGTTGTCTAGTTGACCGCAGCGTTCTAAGACGTGAAATAGATAGGAAACTTACTTCATTCTTACTTGATTTGTATAAGCAGAACATTTCTTGGCAAAGAGAACAAGAATCTAATTAAAATCATAAAATAGACAGTTACAGTCTCTTAATCAATTACTAGAATTTCACCAGTTTATAGACCCAGAACCCCTTGAATTAAAGGGAAGACCAGGTATCCTTGAAGGCGCTGCCCCGGTATATACTATAAAAAGTTAAACAATTATATTTATCTCAGCTTCCCTTAAATGGACCTATGGCCTTTATCATGGTAGCTGTGTACTGGGTAAAGGAAATGATCAGATATTTTGGGTGCAACTAGACACTGGCTCTGAGCTAACACTAACTTCAGAAGACCCAAAACATCATGGTGACCCTCCAGTCAGATTAGAAGCTTATGGAGGTCAGGTAGTCAATGAACCTTTAGCTCAGATTTGTCTCCTGTTGAATTTTCTTGGCCACCAAATGCATCCTGTGGCTTTATTCCTTGCTCTGGAATGTATAATTGGATTAGACATACTCAACAACTATCAAAATCCCCACAAGTGGGGAAAAAATAGGACAAGCTGTGGGGCATATGTAAGACTAGTGAATGTGTTGATGTTTGCATAGTATTCAACTAGTAATTGCTCCATAGGATAAGCTGATTGAGTTATTGTTGAGTTTTTTAAAAAATATTCTTTTTCTTGTATAAAACGACATTTAAAAATCCACTCTGTTACAAGTATGCAGGTTTCTTTTCTGTTATTTTATTACGATATTTTAATTGAAAAATAATAATTGTATATATTTATTGGGTACCATGAGATGCTTTGATATATGTTTACCTTTGCAATCCGGCCAAAGGCATGCCCATGGTAAGTGTGTTATTGTTTATTTTAAATGTGCACAAAAATTAATTCAAATGAGGTACTGTCTCCCCCTAGTGGTTCTCAAGTAATTTTCCGTTTTAATCTGAATAGGGAGAGCATCTAACTTTCTAAGAGGGGTGGAGACAACCAAGTCCCAGCGCACAGAGGATTCAGAGGTCTCCTGACATGTGTGAGTGCGTTCAGGTTTGTGCATGTGTGTGCATGTGTGAATGTGTGAGTACATGTGCATATGTGTGTAAGTGCATAAGTGGGATTAGCTCTCTGTCTTCACCCATCCATGCATCCGCTCAGACACCTTAATTGATCCCTGATCATATGCTCCATCTTGGAGGCCTAAGATGAGCAAGTTCAGGGGATCTTATGTACAGCGTAGCTGGTGATGGATGCGCTGATTCATTTGACCGTGGCTATTATTTCACAATGTATATGTATATCAAATTATCACCTTGTGCATCTTGAATATATGCAATCACTGCCAATGAAATCCTTAAAAAAATACTGACACCTCCTTTGTAGCTCTTGTTAACCCCATGTAACCTTGAACAACATGAAGGCAGAGATTGGGTCCAAGTGATCTATACACCCCAGAACATGACACAGGACTGCCAGATGTGAGGTCTTTAAACTATTCATTGGTGCATGAAGTAAAGCATGACCCAGAGGACTGGTCTCAGCTCTCAGATCCATATGTATAGCTCATTCTCAAGGTCAACAACTAAACTCTAGGAGAATGTTCAGGATCAGCTGAGTAGACGATTGCTGGGGCAGCTGGGGGGATTTACAGAAGACATTTGGAAACTGCAGGGGGATGCAACATTGTTAATGGAATCAGCTGGGATGGCTATAGCTGAGACTCAGCAAACAGCCAGGAGACTGGAGCTGGGTGTCTTGAAACAGAGAAGTGACAGCAGCTGGATCACTGGAAACAACCAGGTGACTGGAACTAGGTGTCTGGAAACAGCCAGGTGATTGCAGCTGGGTTTCTAGAAGTAGCTGCAATGCCACCTCTTTGAGGTGCTGGTCAGTTGTGGAAGGAATCACCTGGTTAATGAACTTTCTAGATGCTGACTAGAGAACTTTGGGCTCTACCTCTTATCTCCAGAACAGTTGACTGGTTTTGCAGACCAGGATGATTCCAAGGGGAAGCCCTCCAGATGGCTTCTTGAGGCTTTTCCAAGCATGACTTCCTCAGGCGCAGGGGGCAGTGGTCCCGGAGTCAGTGCCTGGCGAGGGCTGTGTACATGCTAGACTCAGCCATGGGCACCATGGACTCTGGGGACACAGCCTGGGCTGTCCTCCAAGTGAAGGCCTGGTGGTCCAGCTGAGCATATGTCACCTCCAGGGGTCCCCTGCAGCAGGGGTCTGAGGACAGAGACCCGCGGTGAGGTAGGGGAGATGAGGGTGAGGGTAGGGGGTCTAGAGGGTGGCCCATTGGAGGTGAGAAGAAAATATTTGCTCAATATTACTATAATCTGCACTTATTTATGGTTTAAAAAATCTTAATGAATTAGGAATAGAATGAAACATCATAAACATGTTAAAGGATGCCCAGCAACAAATCAATAGCAAATATTATATTTAATGATGAAGCTTAGATCAATTTCCACTAAAATATGAACAAAACGAGGCTTAATGGTCTTTCCACTTTTATTCCATTTTCTACTGAGGTGTCCTAACTGATGTAATAATATCAGTAAAAGTAAAAAACTAAAAATAAGATATATGAGGGCTAGAGAGATTTTTTCATTACTTGTAGGTAGTAAGATTCTCTAAATAGAAAATTCAAAGTCCATTAGGATTTATAAGAAAATAAAAACAAATCCATATCAATGACATTTCTATACAGCAGGGGTAGTAGTTAGAGAATCGAATGGCCCCAAACTCCTGGCCTCAAGCAATCCTCCCACCTTGGCTTCTCAAAGAGCTAGGACTAACAGTCGCCGTGGAGAGCAGTTTGAGGATATCTCAAATAACTAGGAATGGAACTACCATTTGACCCAGGAGTCCTATTACTGGGTATATATCCAGGGAAAATAAATCATTCTAGTCAAGAACACACACACTTGGATGATCATTGCAGCACTATTGACAATAGAAAAGACATGGAATCAACCTCGTTGCCCATCAACAGTGAACCAAATAAAGAAAATGTGGTCCATATACACCATGGAAGACTACACAGCCATAAAAAAGAATGAACTCATGTCCTTTGCAGCAACATGGATGCAGCTGGAGGCCATTATCTTACGTAAACTAATGTAGAAACTGAACACCAAATACCACATATTCTCACTTATAAGTGGGAGCTAAATATTAGGTACACATCTTCCCATAAAGATGGCAACAGTAGACGCTGGGGACCACTGAGGGTGGAGAGGAGGGGGATGGGGCTGAAAAACTACCTGTTGGGTACCATGCTCCCTACCTGGGTGAGGGGCTCAGTCTTACTCCAAACCTCAATGCCACACAATATTCCTTGGTAACAAACCTACACATGTACCCCCAATTCTAAAATAAAAATGGAAATAGAAAAAGCAGTGTATAGGCCGGGCGCGGTGGCTCACGCCTGTAATCCCAGCACTTTGGGAGGCCCAGGCGGGTGGATCACAAGGTCAGGAGATCAAAACCATCCTGGCTAACATGGTGAAACCCTGTCTCTACTAAAAATACAAAAAATTAGCCGGGCGCCTGTAATCCCAGCTACTTTGGAGGCTGAGGCAGGAGAATGGCGTGAACCCGGGAGGCAGAGCTTGCAGTGAGCTGAGATGGTGCCACTGCCCTCCAGCCTGGTGACAGAGTGAGACTCCGTCAAAAAAAAAAAAAAAAAAAAGAAAAGAAAAAAGAAAAAGAAGTGTATAAAGGTGTGGGCAAATGAGAGGGATGAAGCACCCCAGGAAGCCACTGCCACTCCCAGGATGGGAGGTCAAGGGGTGGAGAGAGCCCTGTGTGGGAGATGGGAGGTGCCTTGCGGGAGCTGATGTCATGGGTAGAGGAGCACAGTTGCTGACAAACCACAGCCTGGCAGGGCATATGTGTGGGAATTGATTCCCCGGCCTCTCTCTCCTCTCACCCTCTGCTCTCCTGACAGTGCCTCCATGGTTGAACTCAATCAGACGCTAAAGGCAAGGAGACACTGATGATGCAATCCATAGAGTCAGCCTCCAGGGCACAGACAAGGTGGGAAAGGACAGAGGGTGTATTAGGAGTTCAGCACTTTGGGAGGCTGAGGTGGGAGGATTACGAGGTTAGGAGTTCGAGACCAGCCTGGCCAACACAGTGAAACCCTGTCTCTAAAAAAAATACAAAAAATTATCTGGGTGTGGTGGTGTATACCTGTAATCCCAGCTACTCAGGAGGCTGAGGCAGGAGAATCACTTGAACCTGGGAGGTGGAGGTTGCAGTGAGCCGAGATCGTGCCATTGCACTCCAGCCTAGGTGACAGAGTAAGACTCTGTCTCAAGAAAAAAAAAAAAAAAGGAGTGGCCTGTGGGGAAACAGCAGTGCCCTCAATGTGGGGACAAAGCATCAGGAGAGACTGGGACTGCACGTCTGAGCCAGGGAGGACAACAGAGCAAATCACAGGCAAAGAGAGAAGAAGCCCAGCTGGGCCAGAGTGCATGGAAATAAGAGAGGAGGGGACACACGTGAGCAGTGCTAAGAAGGCAGAACACATGGTTGGACCTGATTAATGTTGATTGTGGGGTGAAAGAGAGAGAGAAGTGATAATGGTTCTTAAAGCTCTGGCTTGGCTAACTTAGTGCACTTTTTATCTGTTAGCTCCTCTCTTTTGTGTGTTTTTACTACTCTTTCTCATTTTAAATTATAGTAAAAAAAAAAACAAATGAAATAAAATTTACCATATTTACTCTTTCTAACTCTACAGTGCAGTATTGTGAAGTGGTTTGACATTGCTATGCAACCATCGCCATCACCATCCCCAAAGTATTTTATCTTTCCAATTGAAGCTTTATATTCAGTAAACACCAACTCTCAGTTTCCAGGCCCCCAAGCCTCTGTTAACCGTGATTCTACTTCCTGAGTCTGTGAGTTTGACAGGTAGCTCATATAGATAGAATCTTAGCAATATTTGCAATATTTGTCCTTTATGAGACTGGCTTATTTCACTTAGCATAATATCTTCAAGGCTCTCCATATTATAGTGTATGTCAGTCACAATTTCATTTCTTTGAGAGACTGAACAGTATTTCCTAGTTTCTATAACATTTGTTTATCCATTTATCCATCTTTGGGTTTTTTCTACTTTTTTGTTAATGTGAATAACGCTGTTATGAACATGAGTATATGAGCATCCTTTTAAATCCTTGCTTTAATTTTCCCAGAAATTGCCGGGTCATATGGTAATTCTGTGTTTAATCTTCTGAGGAACTGACATACATCTGGGTAATTTTTACACTGCGTTCATTTTTTGAGAGCCTAAGAAGCAATATGAGGCTATGGTTATTATCATTTTTATTCAATACTGAGTCCCAAAGTCCTTGCGTATTAACTGGCATAATGTATGATCCAACAGATATTGTGGGGAGAAGTGATTAAATAAAGGACGCAATTGTCTAGAGGGAACTTAGAGCCCAGAGACCACACTTGGAGCATTTGTCTTCCTTGTCCAGCAGACAGTGCAGAACTGTGAGACGCGGGCATCACTGACAATGAACCCAAAGGGGCTGAATGTCGGGAATCCTGCAGACACCAGGAAAGAGATGCTTCTCAGCCAATGGCTTGGGTTCTGAATCCAGGTTACCCACAGTGATAAAATACCAGCTAGACCATGAGAGGAGACAAACATGCTCACCAGGACGAGGATGGTGTGTGTGGCTCTAGTTTCATGAGATTTTCAGGGGGAGAGGCCGTGGCTGCGAATGCATTGGACTGTCTGCTTGTGTCTATATAAGAAGAGGATCATGGAGCTGCTGGTGTAGTCCATGAGGGCCAAAGACATACCATCCACAAGGGAGAAAATGACTGCATTTGCTAAGAATAGCAATCATCCTAGAATGGGTGAGGAGAGTACCTATACATTTATTCCATACTCACGTTTTTGCTCTTCATTGGGCCAGTTACATGCATTGCAATATGGGTATATGCCACAATTTGCAAGATCCAGCAGAGGGGGCAGCAGAAAACAATGCACTTTGTGGACCTAATTCGGAGTTCCATCCTCCTAGAGATACTGAGGTTGAAGCTTCATGGCCTGGAAGCCACTGGGGAGACAGGCGGTGCTGAGGGAAACCCCTCTGGCCACTCTGTGTATAGATAGAAGACAAGTTTCATCCAGCCTCGTCCAGGAAGGATTTCATTCCAAAAGCTGCCATTGTCTGGGGGATTCGTTTAGAGAAAAGAACCAGGTTGTTGGCTAAGACCAGCTGGCTGAGAATCAGGTCTCTGGGTCTCAATATCTGTGAAGTGATAAAAGTAAAGCTAAAAAAGTAAAGGAGTGAAGAATTTCCAAGGATTCCAGCAGCGGTCTGAGTGAGAAAGACAATACCCTGATTTAAGTTAACAGAAACCGATCCATCCATTATAGAAACGGTATCACATTTCCTCAAAATGTTAAAAATTGAACTATAAGACACCAGATTTCAACTTCCGGATAATTATCCAAAAGAACTCAAATCAAGATCTTGAAGAGATATATCCACACTGATGAATTCACTGCACCAGTATTCACAATAGCCGAGGTAAATAAATGACATAAATGCCCATTGATGGAGGAATGGATTAAGATAACATAGTATAATAAATATAAAGTTTTATTCAGTCTTGAAAAAGAAGAAAATCAGATCATTTGTGATAGCAGGATTGGACCCAAATGACATTATGCTAAGTGAAATGAATCCAACTCTTAATAGATAAATATCTTATAATCTCACATAATTGTGGAATCTAAATAGTGAAATTCATAGAAGCTGAGAGTAGAATGGTGGTTAGCAGGGGCTGGAAATGGGAAAAATAAGATGTTGGTCAAAGGATACAAAGTTTCAATTCTCCGAAATGAATAATTCTGGAAAGCTAATGTATGGAATGAAAGCTATAGGTAACAATACTGTATTGTACACTTAAAATTAGCTGAGAGTAGATCCTAAGTATTTTCACTGCACACACACATGCACACAGAAATAATAACTAACTGAGGTGATTAATATATGGTATTTCTAGTTCTAGATCCCTGAGGAATCACCACATTGACTTCCACAATGGTTGAACTATATTGTGGCACTATTCACAATAGCAAACACTTGGAACCAAGCCAAATGTCCAACGATGATAGACTGGATTAAGAAAATGTGGCACATATACACCATGGAAT
Source organism: Homo sapiens (assembly GCF_000001405.40). Lineage (NCBI taxonomy): Eukaryota > Metazoa > Chordata > Mammalia > Primates > Hominidae > Homo > Homo sapiens. Next base: position 629,685 of record NT_187693.1, on the reverse strand, counting down.
ACTATGCAGCCATAAAAAATGATGAGTTCATGTCCTTTGTAGGGACATGGATGAAATTGGAAACCATCATTCTCAGCAAACTATTGCAAGGACGAAAAACCAAACACCGCATGTTCTCACTCATAGGTGGGAATTGAACAATGAGAACACATGGACACAGGAAGGGGAACATCACACACCGGGGCCTGTTGTGGGGTGGCGGGTGGGGAGGGATAGCTTTAGGAGATATACCTAACGTTAAATGACGAGATAATGGGTGCAGCACACCAACATGGCACATGTATACATATGTAACTAACCTGCACATTGTGCACATGTACCCTAAAACTTAAAGTATAATTAAAAAACAAACAAACAAACAAAAAAAACAACTCCGAGACCTGAGCAGGCAGACACACAAGCAGCTGGACGTCCGCAGATCAGCGGAAGAAGAAGACACTGGCGGCTGAGAGGAGCACGTCAGTGCAGGAACACACAGATGGCTGGATGTCGAGAGGAACGCAAGGACGGGCACCAGCACACCACAGGCCACCGACTGGCAGAACGACATGGAGCTTGGCTGGGACAGTCAGAGAGGATCCCGGGCCGCCAGGGGCCCGACTCCAGGAGAAAACCATCGCCCTTCTGCTGAGAGCTGTTTCCACTCAATCAAACCTTGCACTCATTCTCCAAGCCCTCATGTGATCCGGTTCTTCCGGTACACCAAGGCGAGAACCCTGGGATACAGAGAGCCGTCTGTCCTTGCAGGAAGGCAGGGGTCTAATGGAGCTGATACACACAAGTTGCCTATGGAAGGCCGAAACTAAAAGAGCACCCTGTAACATGCGCCCACTGGGGCTTCAGCGGTTGTCATTTTGAATGTGGTGAATTTATTTTTATCTATTTATTTATTTTTAAGTTTCAGTAGTTTTGGGGGAACAGGTGGTGTTTGGTTGCATGCATAAGTTCTTTAGTGGTGATTTTTGAGATTTTGGAACACCCATCACCCGAGCAGTGTACACTGTACCCAATGCGTAGTCTTTTATCCCTCACCCCCTCCCATTGCTCCCCCTGGGTCCCCAGAGTCCATTATATCCTTCTTATGCCTTTACATCCTCATAGCTTAGCTCCCACTTATGAGAACATATGATGATGGTTTTCCATTCCTGAGTTATTTCACTTAGAATAGTGGTCTCCAACTGCCTCCAGGTTGCTGCGAATGCCATTATTTTGTTCCTTTTTATGACTGAAGTATTCCATGGTGTGTGTGTGTGTGTGTGTGTGTGTGTGTGTGTGTATATATGTATATATACGCATATATACATGTTTTTTATATGTTTGTTGGCCATTTGTATATCTTCTTTAGAGAATTGTCTAAAGTCAAAAGGGGAATTGGATTTGGAGGGAACAATTTTATGGCTATTTTTCAGTATAATCATCAAGTGAAGATAGTGTCTGTTCGGCCAGTGTTACTTTAATCCATTACCTGTAGCCAGGAAGGGAGATGTTTATCACAGAGATAGGCACCAACCTGGAATGCTTTCCTCAAAAGTGATTAACTGTAGTGTGAACCCTAAATTTCACCGCAGTTTGGTCCTGATTTGGCACAAGATATGCTTTATCCACTGATGTGAAATGCCCAGGTGTTTTTTGTACGGTTTTGTTGCTGAAAGACACAATACCCTCTAATCTAAGGCATCCTCTCCAAATCCCACTGAACAATACCCTCTAATCTAAGGTGTCCTCTCCTAATCCCACTGAACAATACCTCTAATCTAAGGCGTCCTCTCCAAATCCCACTGAACAATATCCTCTAATCTAAGGCATCCTCTCCAAATCCCACTGAACAATATCCTCTAATCTAAGGCATCCTCTCCAAATCCCACTGAACAATACCCTCTAATCTAAGGCATCCTCTCCAAATCCCACTGAACAATAGCCTCTAATCTAAGGCATCCTCTCCAAATCCCACTGAACAATATCCTCTAATCTAAGGCATCCTCTCCAAATCCCACTGAACAATACCCTCTAATCTAAGGCATCCTCTCCAAATCCCACTGAACAATACCCTCTAATCTAAGGCATCCTCTCCAAATCCCACTGAACAATATCCTCTAATCTAAGGCATCCTCTCCAAATCCCACTGAACAATACCCTCTAATCTAAGGCATCCTCTCCAAATCCCACTGAACAATATCCTCTAATCTAAGGCATCCTCTCCAAATCCCACTGAACAATACCCTCTAATCTAAGGCATCCTCTCCAAATCCCACTGAACAATACCTTCTAATCTAAGGCATCCTCTCCAAATCCCACTGAACAATATCCTCTAATCTAAGGCATCCTCTCCAAATCCCACTGAACAATACCCTCTAATCTAAGGCATCCTCTCCAAATCCCACTGAACAATACCCTCTAATCTAAGGCATCTTTTCCAAATCCCACTGAACAATACTCTCTAATCTAAGGCATCCTCTCCAAATCCCACTGAACAATACCCTCTAATCTAAGGCATCCTCTCCAAATCCCACTGAGGCACAGGAGCGACACTAAGGAGGGGGTCACGGAGCTTCCTGAGGGAGATTCGCCTCCTGAACCCTGGGCAGATCCTCCCCACCTTGGGATCTCTGTGAACCTCTGGGGTCTTCTATTCAATCAGGACCAAGTTGTGAGGTGGGATTCCTTCCAGGCTACAGTCTCCCCTCTCCCTCTTTCAATTTCATCAAGACAGATCAGAGGTTTGCGGGTGGAAGTCATGGCATCTCCTCCACAGCCCCTGGCTGTGCAGATGGACGAGACCACAGTTCCTGGATGGAGTAAATCTACTGGGAGCCTGGGTTCTCCATCACGAGGTTGTCCCGTCATCAGCCCCACAAGAAGGGGAACTGCCCTCTCCAGGAGCCTGGCTTTCATTTCCCCAAGGCTGGGACTGGGGCAGGCACCAGGCTGTCTTCAGATATTTCATACAGAAATGGTATCTCCCTGACCCTTTTCTGCGATTTGCCTCATCTGTCCTCATCTCATCAAGGGTCAGGACACAGGACACAGCACCTTTCTGAGTCTGTCCTGTCCAAGTGAGAGTGACTGGGGGCTTTTTCTTCTTCTCAGAGCCTCCCCGTGGGGTCTCCTTCCCTCCTTCAGCCCGTCCATCAACACAGCATTGCGGGATCCTTACCATGGCATCCAGCCCTGGAGATGCTTCAGGAAAGTTGCAGGTCCATGCTGCAGGACAGGCTCAGATCAGCAGAGACGCATCTCACATCGGGCTGTGAAATTCAAGTTGAGCTGCAATTGGCAATGAGAAAAAAAGGAGAAATAAAGAAATGCTGACTCTTCTTTTGTCTTTGGAGTATGGGTTTTATTTCTTCCAGTTTCCTTCTTAGACTTCCCTTCTTTTTTTCTTCCTATTTTTTAATAGCGTTCAGCTCCCCTTCCCTTAAAAGTAACCTCTGAGTCATTCCTGCCTCCTCGGGGTCCCTCCCACCCCCAGCCCCGCTTCCTTGGGCATTCCCCTGCATCTCAGTCTGCCTTCAAGGTTTTGGGAACAAGTACTTGTCTTGAGCTCTGATTTGGCGGTGGGATAGGGAGTTAATTTTTTCTGAATTGCTCACCTTCATCCCTGCGTGCATGACCTTGGGCAGTAAGTCCCATCTCTGAGCCTCGGTTTCCTCATTTGGAGCCTGTTGTCATGAACCCCCCTCCTGAGTGGTTTTGGGGGCCAGTGGTGCCTGGGTCATGGGAGGGCCTCAGTCATGGTACATTTCCAGACCGGGTTAAGTCTTGAGGGGCTGAAACATGAGTGGATCCTGGTGTTGGACTGCACAGTCACGGTGAGCAACTTAAATGCTCAACAGCCCACATCTGCTCCTAACATTGGGAAAACCTACTTATAATGTGTCTGAAATATGTAGCCATGGTCCGATGAAGAAAATGAGAAATGAGACTTCCTGTCATAGGCAGGAAACCTTAAGAAGCAGAAGAGGCCAGAGCCGAGCGGCTGCTGGTGACTTGCAAAGTCTGGGGGTCACTAAGGGGGAGGTTTCTGCCTCTGTATGAGACAGAGGAGAACCCCAGGCCCTCACAGACAGGGAGGGGTCGGGGTTTTGGATGAAAGTGAGAAGTTGTGGCTCCTTCTCCCCTGTGTTTGTGGATGGCACTGGGATATCTCTGCTCATTGACTCAGGTCCATGGTCAGCCCTGAGCCGCCTCCTCCATGTGTGTGAAACAGATTCACTGCAGCGTTGTCACACATGGGCGTCTGTCCCACATGCGAGTCTGAGGCTCACACTGGACCTTCCCTGCTGGTTACAGCCCTGAGTAGACTCATGTGGCACTGGCAGCTGGAACCATCTCCCCTTTTCCAGCCTTAACTCCCAGCACAGCCCTGGTGGAAACCCTCTCTGGAAGATGAGGCATGTGGGAAGCATGTGTCCAAAAATGACAAGGAGGAGGAATTATCCCAATGATCAAAAGTGCTATGATAGGCCGGGCACCGTGGCTCATGCCTGCAGTCCCAGCACTTTGGGAGGTCAAGGCGGGCGGGTCACTTGGGCCCAGGAGTTCAAGACCAGCCTGGGCAACATGGCAAAACCGCATCTCTACAAAAAATACAAAAATTAGCTGGATGTGGTGTCATGAATAATGGCCTCCAGCTCATCCAGGTTGCTGCAAAACTCAATCCCTTGTACATCAGTTGCAAAAATTAAAAATATCTAAGTATATACCTAGCCGAGGAGGTGAAAGATCTCTACAAGAAGAACAACAAAATGCTGCTGAAAGAAATTGTAGATGACACAGCAAAATAGAAATATATCCCATGCTCATGGATTGGAAGAATCAATATTGTGAAAATGATCACACTTCCCAAAGCAATATTTAGATTCAATGCAATTCCCATCAAAATATCAACATCATTTTTTTCACAGAATTAGAAAAAACAATCCTAAAATTCATATGGAACCAAAAAGAGGACGAATACCAAAGCAATCTTAAGCAAAAAGACAAATGTAAATTTAATAAACATATCCTAGGCTGAATTGTGAGGGGTTGTTTTTGCTTTTGTTTTTGTTTTTGTGTGAGACAGAGTCTTGCTCTGTCACTCAGGCTGGAGTGTAGTGGCACAATCTCTGCTCACTGCAACCTCTGCCTCCCAGGTTCAAGCAATTCTCCTGTCTCAGCCTCCCGAGTAGCTGGGATTACAGGTGCTTGACACCATGCCTGGCTAATTTTTGTATTTTTAGTAAAGACGGGGTTTTGCCATGTTGACCAGGCTGGTCTCAAACTCCTGACCTCAAGTGATCCGCCCGTCTCGGCTTCCCAAAGTGCTGGGATTACAGGCATGAGCCACCGTGCCCGGCCTGAATTGTGGGTTTTTAAATGTTATTTTTATATTATATAATTTTTAACTCATTAAAAAAATACAAGGAAGTCTGTCCTGGAAACAAAAAAAAAATCCTAAAATTATTTATTTGTAAAAATGCAAATTATTTCCAATGGATTTGCATGCTCACTGGGATTGGACCTTCCAACAGCAAATTCAACACCAGGAGATACTAAAGAAAGGCCTTCAGAAATTCATGGTGAAGATTTCTGTGTTAATCTAAATTATTAAAGACAAAGGCAAACGACCTGTCGGCAGCTTGTCTCACACATTAAACCCAGCATGTCAGGCTTCATCTTGAGGAACGGGGAGGGATTGGCAGTAGACGCCTTAACCATTACATGTACTTTCCCTTCTACATCTTTTCCCTTATGCTTTATTTAATATAATTCAGGACAAAGACTTTATTTAATATAATTCAGGACAAAGATGGGCAAAGACTTCATGACGAAATCACCAAAAGCAATTGCAACAAAAGCTAAAATTGACAAATGGGATCAAATTAAACTAAAGAGCGTCTGCACAGCAAGAGAAACCATTATCAGAGCGAACAGACAAGCTACAGAATGGGAGACAATTTTTGCAATCTGTCCATCTGACAAAGGTCTAACATCCAGAATCCACAAGGAACTTAAACAAATTTACAGGAATAAAACATTAATAAGTGGGCAAAAGGCATGAGCAGACACTTGTCAAAAGAAGACATTCATGTGGCCAGGAAACATGGAACAAAGCTCAACATCACTGGTCATTAGAGAAATGCAAGTCAAAACCTCAATGGGATACCATCTCACACCAGTTGGAATTGCGATTATCAAAAAGTCAAGGAGAAACAGATGCCGGTGAGGTTGCAGAGAAATAGAAATGCTTTTACACTGTTAGTGGGAATGTAATTAGTTCAACCATTGTGGAAGATGGTGTGGTGATTCCTCAAAGATCTAGAACCAGAAATACCATTTGACTCAGCAATCCCTGGGTATATACCCAAAGGAATATAAATCATTCTATTACAAAGATACATGCATGCATATGTTTTTTGCAACACTATTCATAGTAGCAAAGACCTGGAATCAACCCAAATGCCCATCAATGATAGACTGGATAAAGAAAATGTGATACATATACACCATGGAATACTATGCATCCATAAAAAGGAACAATATCATGTCCTTGGCAGGGACATGGATGGAGCTGGAAGCCATTATCCTCAGCAAACCAATGCAGGAACAGAAAACCAAACACTGCATGTTCTCACTTATAAGTGGGAGCTGAACAGTGAGATCACATGAACACAGGGAGGGGGACAGCACACACTGGGACCTGTTGGAGGAGGGTGAGTTGGGACAGGGAGAGGATTAGGAACAACAGCCAATGCATGCTGGGCTTAATACCTAGGTGATGGGTTGACAGGTGCAGCAAACCACCATGGCACATGTTTACCTGTGTAACAAACCTGCAGATCCTGCACATGTGCCCCAGAACTTAAAATAACAACAAAAATTTTAAAAAATTTACAAATCTTGATACAGAGTGAAAGGGAAAGGAAGGTATTTCCAGAGCCACAATTAAAAAAAATTTTTATTGTTTCACACTTAGTGAAAGCAATTCTAAATGATGTAATTTAATTGGAAGATCAAAGAATCCAAAACATACAATGCGATATCCTCAAGGGAGGAAAAATGGGAAAAACCACACACTGAAACACACACACACACACGTGAACATGCACCCTCATAGTTACAGACATGGGTGAGTACACAGAATGGAAAAACCACATACTGAAACACACACGAACATGCACCCTCATAGATACACACATGAGTGAGTACTCAGAGCTCAGCTAATGTGTAATTTGAGCCCGTTTTCTCTACAGGGACAGGAGAAATGAATCCTTTTTCAAAAATATAGAATTGTTTTTGTAACTTGGCAATTGTGAATAGTGCTGCAATGAGCTTAGGAGTGTGGACGTCTCTTCTGTGGCCGATTTCATTTCTTCTGGTATACACCCAGCAGTGGGCTTGCTGGATTATATGGTGGTGGCATGTTTAGTTTTTTGAGGAGCTTCCATACTGTTTTCTAAAATGGCTGTGTTAATTTACATGTCCACCAATGGTGTGTAAGGATTTTTTCTCCTCATGCTCACCAACACTGATCTTTCACCATTCTGATAATAGGCAATCTAACAGCTGTGAGGTGATATCTCACTGCAAAATTTCACTTTCTACACATATATGTGTATACCTGTGTATACATATATACATACAATACACATGCATATATATGTACATACGTATCTGCACATATGTACGTATGGATGTTTATGTATGAATACATACATTTGCATATATACATATAGGCATATACTTACATACATATAAACTTTAAGAAGCTATAACCTCACATCTGTTAGGATGGTTACTATGAAAAAGAGTAGAATAACAAGTGTTAGCGAGAATGTAGAAAAAATAGAACCGCTGCCCTCCGCTAGTGGTAATGTAAATGAGTACAATGACCACAAAAATACTATAGATGTTTTTCAGAAGTTAATGATCAGAGCTACCCTGTGTTTCAACAATTTCACTGCTGGGTGTGTATCTAAAGGAAATGGAATCAGTACGTTGAAGAGATGCCCGCCCTCCCATGTTCATGACAGCTTTAGCCACCATAACCAAGACATGGAACCCGGCCAAGCGTCCATCAGCAGGCGAATGGATACAGAAAATGAAGCGCTCAGTATAAACACAGCGAAAAACTATTCCGCCTTCTAGAAGAAGGAAATTGTTTCATTTGTGACAACATGGACGAGCCTAGAGGACGTCACGCTACGCGGAATAAAGAAGGCACGGGAAGACACCTGCTGCCTGATCTCACTTATGTGCGGATTGCCCCAGTTGAACTCATGGAAGTAGAGAGTAGAAGGTGGTCCCCGGGAGCTGGGCTGGGGTGGAATCAGAGAGCTGCATCGAAGGATACCGCACTTCAGTTGGACAGGAGGAGTAAGTTTAGGAGATCTGTTGTACAGTATGGTGACTACAGTTGCTAACAATGGATTGCATACGCGAAAATTGGTAAGAAAGTGGATTTTAAATGTTCTCTTAACAGAAAGATAACTACGTGATGTTACAGATGTTAATTAGCTTGACCTAGCGATTTCACAGGCATATTAAAATACCATGTTGCACATCCTAAATATGTAGAATTTTAAACTGCCAAATAAAATAAAGTAAAACATTAAAATAAAATTTAAAAAAATATTATTTTGAAACAGAAAAACTGTAGAGTTTAAAATATGCCTGTTATAGAATGGAAAATTCTATTTTATATGTCATGACTTTTTTTTTTTTTAATTTTTTGAGACAGAGTCTGGCTCTGTTGACCAGGCTGGAGCGCAGGGGCGGGATCTCAGCTCACTGCAGCCTCCATCTCCTGGGATCAAGTGATTCTCCTGCCTCTGCCTCCCAAGTAGCTGGGACTGCAGTGTGCGCCACCATGTCCGACTAATTTTTGTATTTTTAGTAGAGATGGGGTTTTGCCGTGTTGGCCAGGCTGGTCTTGAACTCCCAGCCTCAAGTAATCTGCCGCCTCTGCCACCCTATGTGTTGAGATTACAGGCGTGAGCCACCGCACCTGGGCACATTGCCACTTTTTCTATTCTCAAGAAACATTTGTGATGCTCTGGGTGTGTTTGTGTGTTTCATTAGTGTGTCAATATTTGTAAGAAATCACCAATGAAGCTTCGTGAACTCGAGATTATTTTTATTATAGTCAATGTTTTTCACACACACACACATATATATACACACACACACACATCTAAAATGAGTCAGATTCTCTGATTACTCTTATGTTCATTATGTAAACTCCAGTTTAGAATATTTCATCTATTTAATCTGCAATTTCTAGTATATTGGCATAGGTTTGCCGCCTGTTCCATTGTTAGTTTTGGAAAACGTGTGTACGATCTGTAGGGCTGTCTGCTGGCTCACTCCCATATGGAAATGCATGCCTGCTCTTTCTTTCTCTTTTTCATTGTAGTTAGAATTCATGAGTGTGATTCATGTTTTCAAGAATGAGCTTCACTGGCTTTGTTGAATTTTCAAGCTTTGGTTTTTCCTCATGAACAACTCCTCTTATTATTGTTATTATTCCCTTTCTTACGCCTTCATTTGGAATAACTTGTTATTCTTCTAAATTTCTTTTTTCTCTTTTTCTTTCTTTTTTTTTTTTTTTTTTAATTTGAGATGGAGTCTCCCTCTGTCGCCAGGCTGGAGAGCAGTGGTGCGATCTTGGCTCACTGAAACCTCTGACTCCCTGGTTCAAGCGATTCTCCTGCCTCAGCCTCCCAAATAGCTGGGATTACAGGCACTGCCACCACATCCAGCTAATTTTTGTATTTTTAGGAGAGACAGGGTTTCACCATGTTGGCCAAGATGGTCTCGATCTCCTGAACTCGTGATCTGCCCGCCTCGGCCTCCCAAAGTGCTGGAATTACAGGCGTGAGCCACCGTGCCCTGCCCTAAATTTCTTATAGGAAAGCCAAGATCATTCATTTCCTACTTTTTTTCTTTCCTAATTCATTCATTCGTGGCTTGTAGTTTTCCAGTTTCATCGCTTGATGTGTAATATTTACATTGTGATTCAGTTTAATGCACTTTCTGACTTAGTTTTCTCAGCTACTTCATTGATTATTGAGAAGTCTGTTGCTTTATTTCAAAATTGTAGAGACATTAGTTATTTATACTGCAGAATTGAGTGACCCCTAAAAGTTCCCAGAGTCTCCTGGGGTAGATCCAGGCTGGGTGGGGTCCAATGGTGTCCACTGGGGGGGCAGCTCCCATGCATTCCAGACTCCATGGAGTGTGGGGTCTGCGTCCCCCCCTGGGCTAGTGGATGGCCAGAGTGGCGTAGATGCTGGGCACAGCTGGAGAGGGCCCTTCCTGGGATGGAGGAGGCTCAGTTGCCTCCCGTCTGAGGGTCAAGCTGTGCAGCTGGGCGTAGGTCACATCCTGGGGGGCTTCAGATGCAGCAGCCTGCAGCGGGGGAGAGTGAGAGGGAAGGAACGTGGTGGGGGTGGGGGAGGCCTGGGGGCCTGGAGAGGAAAGGACTCACCTCAGTGTCCATCTGCCTGTCCTCTTCCGCCTGTCTGTCCTTTGTGTCCAGGAATTCCCCAGACAGTGGGGAAGGAGGAGAGGCCATTTCTCTCCTAGGTCTGGAGTGTTTCACCTCGGCATACGTCACTGCCTGGGGGTCTTCATCGTGTGGGCTCTGCTGGAGAGAGACAGTGGTGGGGGGTGTCCTTGAATCCTCCTGACCCCCTGGAGTCAATTTTCCTCACTGTTCCCCGGGTGATCCGATTACATCCCTTTCCCGATGGAATCTCAGGGACGCCCTAAGGCCGTGGAGGGTCTGGCCGCTCCCTCGCTGTGGTTCTGGCCTCTGCTCCTCACTCTGACGTTGCCCATTTGGCTGCAGCCTCACGGGCCTTCCTGCAAGAGCTCGCTGCTGCCTGGGGGCCTTTGCAGGGTTGTTTCCTCTGCCTGCAGGGGCTCGTCCATCAGAGGATCGTGTGCCCCACTCTGTCCAGGCTTCTCAGATGACAGCTGAGCAGACAGCCCTCCCCTTCCATTCAGACTGGCCCCACTGCCCCACACTCTCTGCCCTTTCTCTGGTTTATGTTCCTTACAGCACGTTGCACTCCTGGACGCGGCACATTTATTTGCATTTTGTCTCCCACCACGAGGTGAGCTCAGGAGGCGGGGGCGGCTTTCCTCCCTGCTGTGTCTGCAGCTCCCATGGGGAGCCCCATCCACAGTGAGCTCCCTGGGAACACTTGCTGGTTGAATGAATGAAGGGGAGCCTGGGGGACCGGGGTGGTTCATTTATTCCTCATCCTCCTGAGGCCTGGGGAGAGCTCTAACAACCAGACGGCCAAACAGAGGATGAGGAGCAGGAAGGGGACCCGGGAGGAGGCCCACGAGGTCCCAGGACAGCAGGAGAGAGTGAGGTCGCAGCAGGCGGGAGGCAGCGTGCTGGACAAGGAGGGGTCCACCGTGACGATGCTGAGAGCCGGGGGAAGGAGGACAGAGAAGTTCTGCAGGATTAGATCTGGCACCAGGAGGCCTTTGGTGCCTGGGACAGGGGTGGGGTCTCACCCGAGTGTCCATCTCCACCCCATCCTCAGGCTGTGTGTGCTTCACGGCAGCATCTGCTGGGGCAGAGCAAGGGGTTTGTCTCTTGGGAAGGTTCCCTGGGACCTCTGAGTCCTGCCAGCCCCTGCTCAGCTCCCAGATGGGGCCACTGAGATGCAGGGAGGGGCTGCGATGTCCCTGAGGCCCCACAGTGTGGGGTGAGATGATCTCACCCTGAGCCCCAGACCCTTTCCAGCCAGCGCCCCTTTCCCCATTGCTACGGAAACTTCGGGGCCCCCATCTCCCTCCTGGCTGGTCACCTCTTCCTCTCACTCACAGAGGTTTTCTTCCTGGGCATCGGCAGCTGGGCTGGACCTGGGGGAAGAATGGGAGCTTTAGGGGCAGTGTATGGGCCACGAGCAGGTGGGAGTCTGGGGTCTTCGGGCAGAATTACCTCCACTGCAGGCCTCTGTCTGTGGGCTCTGGCCCCACAGCCCCTGCAGGATGTTGGAAATCAGCCTTTCTCTGGGCTGGGGGAAGAAGGACAGAGCCTCAGCCCTGGGAACATTGGAGCCCCCTGCCCTGCACACACAGCTCGAAGGTAAGGAAGGAAACCTAAAAACACTCCTGCCTCCATGTTCCAAATGCCTCATAGGATGGACAGAGCCCGAAGGACACTTTACATTTGTAGATGGCACTGAGCCCGAAGGACACTTTACATTTGTAGATGGGACTGACTGTCGATTGGCCTGGTGAGAAATGCTGGAACAGTTTCTCAAAGCTGCATTTGCCCAGTGGTTTGGATTCTCTTTGGCTGTGCCCTGAGCCCACCCTCGGTCAGCCCTCAGGGTCCCCCCATTCCCTACTCACTCGATGTCCAGTGTTTGCCCTGACGTCGATGTCGGAGGATGAGGAAGAGGAGGAGGAGGAGGAGGAGCAGTAGGATGACGGCCACCAAGATGCCGATCACAACCCCCAGGTGCCTTCCCAGACCTTGAGCACGATGATGTCAGGGATGGGGGTGATGTCATTGAAATGAGCGCCTACTGTGTGCAGGTGACTGCTGGACCTTCTGTTCACCACCTCCAACCCCCACAACAGTCGTGCAGCACAGAAACATCCACCCCACCCACTGTACAGATGAAAAACTGACGCTCAGAGAGGGGAATCGCCTGCCCGGGGCCCCCAGCCAGGAAGCGGCAGAGCTGGGAAGGAAGCCCAGGAGTCTGACCTGCAGCCCTTGTTCCTGCACCAGAGCCGAGCCCCGGAGCTGCAGGGAAAGAGCCTGACCGTCCTGAACCATGACTCTTCTCCCCTCCCCTGCCCCAGGTCACCGTCTCTGCTGCAGGTGGGACGGGACAGGCCCCCGCGGAATCGGGTCTGGGAGGTTCCCTGGGAGGCCTCCTCTCCCAGGAGGTCACAGCTGGGAGTCAGAGCTGAAAGGAACTTTCCCACCCGCAGGCCTCTCACCTTTACATTTGGAGAAACTGAGGCCCAAGCAGGGGAGGAGCCTGTCTATATCACCACCTCCAGAGGAGACTGAACCTAGGACAGAACCCACCCCTGCCTCCCCTGGACCCTGCCCACCTCCCACTCAGAGCCCGTCACTCACCACTCTGGGGATCCGACCCGGTGGGGGTGAGGGGCTGGTCCTCAGGGCCTGCTGGGTCAGGACGGGGAGGTGAGGGCTGGGGCTGCCCTGCTCCCCACATCAGCCCGGCTGCTCCTCCCCCAGGCTGGGCCCCAACATTTCTCTCTGCCTTGACCCCCCACCCCTCACCAGCCCAGCCTCAGAGCCCTGGGGACCCTGTGGCCCCTCCTCTGGCTCTGCCCGGCTCCCTGGAGGGAAGCTCGAGTCTTTGAGGGGAATGGGATTCTCTGGGAGACCCAGGGCTGCCCTGGGGGAGGCCGCACTCCCTTGAGTTCAGAAGCCTCAGGGACTCACCAGATGTGGAGGTGGGGCCTGTTGTCGGGGAGCTGGGGCCCCCAGACGGTCCTGGGTAAAAGAATGAGAGGAGGCTGAGGAGCTGGGGCTTTCCTGAAGTCTCCACCTCAAACCAAATTTCTCTACATGGGACCTGTGGCCTCCCCAGGCCCCTCCCTCCACCCGCCTCTCCTGTCCATGATGCTGGCGATGCCACTGAGGGTGGGCAGGCCTGGGAGGGCCCTGTTCTCCTCCTTCCCTCTGAGGGTGAGTCTCCCACTGGCTGAGCCCCTCTCAGACCCCCGCTCACTCCATCCCAGCCCAGAGCTCTCCTGGGGCAGGGTCTGAGCTGAGACTTTGAGCTCAGAGAGGACAGGGTCAAGGCCCCCACCTGAGACCACGAGCTCCAGGGGGTCACTGGGGTGAGTCAGCAGGTAGGGTTTGGAGCTCTGTGAGCCGTAGCACCTGTAGGTCCCCGCATGGGCTGAGGTCACAGGACCCATGGGGAATTCAGCCTGGTATTTTTGAGATTGGTACGTTGATCTTAGACGCCATGGGTCATCAGCTGCCCCCTCCTTGGTCAGAAGGAAAGTTTGCATCCATCCCTGTGACTGACACAGCAGGGTCACGTTCTCTCCTGAGGCCACCGTGGGGCCCGGCTGCACCGAGAGGGAGACTCTGTCATAGAACTGTCCTGGAGAGAAGAAGGATGGGCGAGGGGCTGCCCCACCTTGCTCTGAGCTGACACCTCCCCAGGTCTCCCTCTGGGACCCTCAGTGTCTCTGTCTCTGTTTTCTCTGAGTCTCCCCCTCCCCGCCCATCCCCTGTCTCTGTCTGTCTCTCCCTCCCTTGGGACCCCCATCCCTCATCCCGGCCATCACTACCTGAGCTCCCCCGGCAGGGCCTGTGCGGAGCCTGGGTCCCTGACTGAACCCGCTGGGCTCCTCACCTGCGATCAGGATGTCCAGGGGGTCGCTGGGGGCCGACCACTCGGAGGAGAGGTTGTGTGCACCGTAGCATCTGTACTGGCCCCCGTAGGAGCGGCTCACAGGGCCCAGGGTGAAGTTGGCCTGGGAGAGCCCAGCCTGGGGCTGTGCGCCAGCGAGCTGAAGGAAGTCACGTTCCCCGTCCTTATACAGAACAAATCTGTTGTAGCCAGCATCAGAGCCACACTGCAGAGTCAGGGTCTCCTCAGGGGCCACGATAGGACCTGGCTGCACTGAGAGTGATGGCTTCTTAGAAACACCTGGGAAAAGGTGGTCATGGTTTCCAGGAGCCGACCCTCAGGCTTCCCCACAAATCTTCCCTTTCCCCCGGGGCCACATCACTGCTGATCTTCCTGTGTCTCTGGCCCCAGGAGCCCTGAGCCCTCTCGCCCCAACATCATCCCACCTGGAACTGCCCTGAGACGCGGCTGCTCCCCACCTGCCTGGAGACTCAGGGAACTCCAGGCAATGCTGTGAATTTCTCACCTAGGACCAGGAGCTCCAGGAGATCACTGGGTAGAGACCACTCATAGGGAGAGTTCGAGTCATAAGCATAGCACCTGTACCACCACCTGCGACTCGGGCTCACGGGGCCCACGGAGAAGATGGCGCGGGACGACCCACGGGCATGGGGCTGGGAGTTCAGGCATTGTGGGTGTTCATCTTCTCCTTCCTTACACAGACTGAAGCCATCAAATGCCACCTGTGAGTCACACTGGAGGATTACATTCCCTCCTGAGTTCACCACGGGGCTGGGCTGGGCTGAGAGGGTGGGTTTGATGTAGGCTCCTAGGAGAGAAGGAGGCACCGTGTTAAATGTGGCTCAGACCACCCGCGTCATCCCCAGGGCTGGGCTGTGAGAGGGAGAAGCCCCTGAGAGCCGTCCCCCTTCCTGAGGGCAGAGTCTGGGGCTGGGACCCCTGAGTGTCAGCTCACCTGTCACCACCAGCTCCAGGGGGTCACTGCTCTCTGAGCGGCCTGCAGTGTCGCTACCATAGTAACAGCGATACCGCCCTGCATGTTCCCAGGTGATGGATGGGATGGGGAACTGGCCCTTCTTCACAAGCTCCTGTGGGATCCGTGTAATCCAGAGTGCTGTTTTCTTTTCTCTATATAGACGGTACTCCTGGGTCTCCTGGCCCCCCTGACACCTGAGGGTCACAGGACTCCCCTGGGTGATCACAGAGCCTGGTTCAGCCCAGAGGGTGGGCTTGGGGAGGTGCCCTGGAAGGAAATCAGGAGTCGGATTCTAACTCATTTCCCACCCAACCCAGCAGATTCCAGCTCTCAGCCCAGGACCCTCCAGACGCCCCGATCAGTCAGCCCAGAACTGCTATTCCCCATCCCCAGCGGCACGGGGGTGGCCCCTTGTCCCCAGTGAGGAGGAGGGACCTGGAAGAGCTGGGGACAGACTCACCTGCCTGCACGTGGGTCCTGGGGCCCAGACTCAGCCCTGGAAGAGAGTTCCCGGTGAGGGATTTGCCCCCTGAAGCCTGGGCAGGTCCTCCCCTCCCTGGGATCTTTGTGAGCCCCTGGGGTCTCCTTAGGGACCAGAGTTTGGCTGTGGGGTGAGGTCCCTCTTAGGTTAGAAGCTCCCCTCCTTCTTCAAATCTCACCGAGACAGATCAGGACCGTGAGGATGGGGGTCATGGCGTCTCCTCCCACTGCCCTGCTCTGTGGATGGATGAGCCCTCGGTGCTGGCAGGATAGAGAGACACACAGAGTGTGGCCAATCGGAGGCTGGGTCCTTCTTCTCATGGGGTGCTGTCATCTGCAGCCACACAGGAAGTGGAACTGCCCTCCCCAGGACCCTTGCTCTCATTCCATTAGGGCTGAGGTGGGGGCAGTCACTAGGCCCTCTGCATCATTTCAGATGGTAATGGGCCCTTTCCTGACCCCCAGCCACCGTCTGTCTGGTTTGTTTTCATCCCACTGAGAGCCAGGATGTAGCAGCAAATAAAACTGGTTCCTTCCTGTGTCTGCCCTTCCTGACGAGGGTAGCGGAGGCATCTCCTTCCTTCTCACAGCCTCCCACATGGTCACCCTCCCTCCTTCAGCCGTCCATCAGCTCAGCGTTGTGGGGTCCTTACCATGGCAGTCGTCCCTCCAGCCCTGGAGATGCTTCAGGGAAGACCCAGGTCCATGCTGCAGGCAGACTCAGATCAGCAGAGACGCATCTCGCATCTGGCTGTGCCGCCCAGGCTGAGCTGCGTGTGGCAGCGAGCACAGAAGAGAAATGCAGGGAAATAGGGAAGAAAAGTTGACTTCTTTCTTGACACTGGATTGTGGGTTTTCTTTCAACCAAATAGTCCCCTCTTAACTTCCCCTTTTTAAAATATTTTGCTACAGTGTCCAACCCCACCCCCCGGGAACAAATCTCTGAGTCTTTCCTGCCTCCTCGGTGCCCTTTGCTTACTTGGCCGTCCCTCTGCACCTCAATCCCTGTTCAACGCTTTGGGAACAATGACTTATATTTGAGCTTTGATTTGGGGAGTTGGGGGGGAGTTATATTTATTCAACGACTGGTTATCATCCACTGCCTACGTGACCTCGGGCGGTAATGAACCATCTCTGAGCCTCAGATTCTTCCTTTGCCGACTGTTGTCACAAATCCCACTCGTGACAGTGGTTGTACGGTCAGTGGTGCTGGAACATTAGGAGGGGCTCATTTGTGCTTGATTTCCAGACCAGGGTAAGACCTGAGGTGTTTGGGACATAAGAGGATCTTGGCGTTGGACTCCACAGTCTACGTAGGTGATTGATGTGTCCACTCTGGATCTCACATCTGACCCTAATGGATAGATGGACGTGTATTTGTCCATCTATCTGGGCATTTCTGAAATACCCAGAGCATCAATGTCATGAGCAGAAAAAGAGATGTGGAAGTTCCCAAGTGTAGATGGATCCACAGGAAAGAACAGAGGCCACAGGTGAGATGCCACAGGGACCTGGGACCATCAAGGGCTCATTAGGGTGGAGGTTTCCACCACTGAGTGGAGCCAGGAGAGGAACCTCGGGATCTGCAATGACAGTGAGGGGCTCAGGGCTCCAGACCAAGGTGGGAGGCTGCGTCCTCCAGCTACACCTGAGGCTGGAGTGGACCCCAAGCAGCCCAGGGGAATTCCCTCAAGGGAGTGCACCAAACCGTCCAGTGACAGAGCTGCTGGGATTCCAAAGAAAGAAGCACTAAACACCAGGGTGTTCATAGATCATTTATTAGGGAGACTTCTGCACAGTGGGGCACCCTCGTCTCCTTGCCCAGTGTCTCCTTGTGGATCTCAAGGATGTGCTTCCACATAGCAGCATCTTCTTCAGATGGACAAGGAGACACTGGGTGTTCTACCCGAAGCTTTAACTTAAAATAAAAATAAAAACAAAAATAAACCCCTAGAGAATATGATCTCTCAGTAGAGTTGTTTCTTGGGATACACAGGCAATTCGTTTCAGTACCCCCTACATGCACCAACACCTGCTCGTACTCCAGCCCCGACATTGTCTCTGCTGGGCCTGCATATAGGAAAAGTCTGCCGTTCATATACACAAGTCTTGCATCCCACAAATGCTACAGTTTTGACCCCCGTTTGGTTGAAAAAAGTGTGCATATAAGAGACCCCAGGAATTCAAGGCTGCGTTGCTCCAGGGTTGTCTGGATTTTGAGTTTATTTGGGAGTGAGAAGCAAGGATTACAATCTGGAGTGCATGGCATGGCAAGCCACAGTGTGTCCGGAGAGGGAAGTGTGATGTTGTGATACACACTGGTTTTCACCTGCGGTTCCTGGCTCATAGCTCCATAGCCCTTGTTACAGTCTTTTGTTATAACATTGGCTGTGTTAGGCCTTAGGGGAGGCCTCTGACCTCCTCCTGCCCTTCCTTCACCTGCCCAAGGCAAGACTCTAATGTCCCTGCCTTTCTGATGGTGGCTCTTAAGACCCTCCCAGAAGATGGTCTCAGCCTGTTCCTTGTGGGAGGAAATACTGACATCATGAAGCTTCATAAAAACCCAAGAAGACTGGGTTTCGTGGGTTTCTGGGTGGTTGAGCATGTGGAGACTCCTGGAGGGTGATGCCCAGGGAGGGTATGGAAGCCCTGCGCCCCTTCCCCCATGCCTCCTCCTATGAGTCTCTTCATCTGTGTCCTCTGCAGTGTGCTTTGTATTCAACCAGGAAACGTCAGTGTCTCTCTGAGTTCTGTGAGCTGCTACAGCAAATTAATCAAACCCAAAGAGGTGGTCATAGGGTCCCCAACTTGAAGCCAGTCAGTCAGAAGTTCTGGAGGTCTGGACTTGGGAATGGTGTGGGGGCAGTGTTGGGGACTGAACCATTCAATCTGTGGGATCTGGGACTGTCTCTGGGTAGACAGTGTCAGAGCTATGCTAACATTCTCAAATATCTGCTAGCCGTGATAAATAAATCAATGTACTTTATGTTATTAGCTCCCACAATTTAGCCTAAATATTTGCCCTGGCATGCTTATACTGGTCCAAGCAAGCATTAGGTCATAGCCTGTTCCTCTTCCTTATTTGAAGGTGTTTTCACCTTTCTCAGCATTCCACAAGTTACTTCCTCCTTCCTTTGTTCTGCTCTACCTTTGCCTCTTTTCAGAAGTTCTAAGTTACTAGCCAATCGGGACAAATACAGAGTGTGAGGTCCTGTTCCAGCCAGTGGAAACCGGACAGAGCAGTAGGGTGGACGTGTCAGGTTATAAATGACCCTGTCTCTTTTGTTTTGTGTACTCTCGAAGCAAAACTGCTGGTGAGTGTACCCTTGCTGCAGAAAATAAAAATGGTCTTGCTGAGTAAATTAAATTTATGTTCAAGTGCTATTTGTTTACGGCACTGGGGAAGAAGCATTTAAACACTCAGCTGGCGTCCGCTACTGGGTCTAGGAAAAAAAATCCCACACATCTGGTCCTAGAAGTCTTCTTCTGTGAGGATGATTCCTGTGGTGTGAGAGTAGAGGAAAAGCACCATAGAGAGAGCTCTCTGACATACAGAAGTAAAGGAAGTTCTTATCAGCAACAAGAGAGAGGCTGACAGAGCTGCTTAGAAACAGAGTTCCCTGATTCCAGAGGTTCAAAGCCAGAGTTGCTGTCAGTCCATTGGAGGAGATGCCGTTGCTGGGCAAGTTTTTTCTCGAGAGCATCTTATCTGAATTCCTGACATCCTAAAGAATATCTAGTGATAAACCTTGTCAAAGCAGGAGGGGGTGAAGGACATGGAAGGGTTTCTTGTGGGGTTTTTAAAAAGTCCTTAGAAGCAGCTCTTATCTGAGAGCTGGAAGCATGGGCCTCCTCTCCTTCAGGCCTTCCTGGCCCTGTGGGGTCTGAGCTTGACCAAAGTCATCTCATCCTTGCACATGTGACTTTCCTATTGGGTGTCTGCAGTGAAGGGATTGGGTTACGAAGTTTAACCTGAGAGTTTCAGGAATTTCGTTGAGGGGAGGGCTTGTTTCTACCTCTTTAGCAAAAGGGTTAATTTTTCAGTGTTTTCTAAAAACAACCTAAAGTGCTTTATCAGTACTTGGGGATGCTGAAGACCTCAGCTTGGGTTCCAGCCTGCAGGTGAAAGCATGCATCTGTCCAACCCACAGAGCAGTCATGGCACTTTGTCTCTCTCTCAGAACAAAGCAAAAAATGGAGGAAACCGTGGGACCCTAGAGAGACTGTTGTTCTCCCTCTTCTGTGTTTGTGGACAGACCCTGGGATAGCTCCCCTCAGTGACCCGGGCCACACTCAGCATTGAGCCACCTTCCCGGGTGTGCATGACACAGATGCGCTTTATCACTGCTGGACCAGGCATCTCTAGCACGTGAGTGTGAGGCTCACATGGGCCCCACCATGCCGGACAGAACACAGAGCTGATTCTAAGCTTGGCAGCATGGACACCGCAGGGCAGGAGTGACCACAGCAATGCTCCTCATCAGCTTTCCTTCCTGAGTCAGCCCGGGGAGAAACTGTATGGAAGATCACATGTGTGGGAGAAAAACCCACCCAAGAGAAATAAAAATCAAAAAGTCCATTACAGAAAAAACAGGCAATTATAGAAATGAATTAGGAAGCTACTGTGAGGTGAAAAATAGTAAATCATATCAACACATTTAGAAATAATTGCATAAGAACAAGACACAGCTGAAATGATGAGCATAGTATTGGTGTGGAATATCTATTAAATTTTTCATTAGTCATCAGAGAAAAACTAGAAATGAATAAAGTAGAAAACATAATTAATGCACACAAGAAATGGAATGAGAAGAGGAAACAGGTATCTCTCTATGGATCACACTTTCAGAATGAAGGAAATAAGGAGTACGTTATTCAGTAAATATTGCAAAGAAAATGGTTGACATTTTTACAGAAATGAAGAAAGAACATGAGTTTAATGTGAACAAATTAATAAATAACATCAATGTCTTAACTATGATAGAGTAAAAGATACCTAGAATAGATACAAAGTAATTTTAAAACTACTGGAGAAAATGAAAATTATTCTCAAATGAAAGACAAGCACATTGGGACCGGATTTCCCAAGAGTAAAAAGTGACAAGAAAATGATTGTGGGCTGAGGTTCAAGTTGGCTGAATGGAAAGGGCTGGAGTCTGCCTACTCACTAAGAGGACCCAAAATAGTGAGTAAATACCAACAGGTCAAGTGGATCTTCCAAGAGGATGCTGGGGTTCACCTGAGAAACATGAGGACATGGAAAGAAGAGAAGAGAAAAGGTGGGAGCCAGGAGAGGCTCCTAACACAGGGAAGGGGTGAGTGAGTGAGAGATTCTCTAACACGGGGAAGGGGTGAGTGAGTGAGAGATTCTCTAACACGGGGAAGGGGTGAGTGAGTGAGAGGCTCCTAACATGGGGAAGGGGTGAGTGAATGAGAGAGTCCCTAACACGGGGAAGGGGTGAGTGAGTGAGAGGGTCCCTAACACGGGGAAGGGGTGAGTGAGTGAGAGATTCCCTAACATGGGGAAGGGGTGAGTGAGTGCGAGGCTCCCTAACCCGGGGAAGGGGTGAGTGAGTGAGAGGCTCCCTAACACGGGGAAGGGGTGAGTGAGAGGGTCCCTAACACGGGGAAGGGGTGAGTGAGTGCGAGGCTCCCTAACACGGGGAAGGGGTGAGTGAGTGAGAGGCTCCTTAACAAAGGGAAAGATTGAGTGGGTGTGAGGCCCCTGGGATCCACACCCCTGTCTTGGCCCTTTACAATCCTGGTCACAGGAGAGCCCCTGACCCCCCTTGGCCTACAGAGGCACAGGGAGTTCCCAGAGATGGTGCAGAGGCGCCTCTGGAGCCCACGTGGAATCCCACAGGCTTCTGATCCCTGAGCAGCCTGGGTCCAGCTGCCACTGCCTTAGCAGGGAGGGAGGAGGCCAGGCACCTCTGTGGGCCCCAGAATAAGTATGACAGCTGGGGCACAGGAGCAGCCAAGCTGAGCACCACACAGCTGCCCACCTCTGTTGCTTCCTGCGAAATGGGGCTTCCTTCCTGCTAATGGGGCTTGCCAGCTGCAGGGCCCCAGTCACCCGTCCTGCCCCCACCCGAACACGGTGGCCCTGGCTCAGTGCCCTCTGAAAGCCCAATGCTCAGAGGCCCCTGACAAGCCCTTTGCAGTCACTGCCACCTCTGCCTCTGCCCCTGCTGCCCCAGGCCCAGGGAGGGTGTGGGGAGGCCTGGCACTTTCACGTGTCCCCAGAGCAAAACCGAGTGACACTTCAGGAGGGAAGTGTGAGCGGGCCCTGTGCCTCACAGCTGCCAGTCTCCAGTGCCCCAGCAGAGGGGCCCTGCCCTCCCTAGTGACAGGCCCACAGCACAGCCACCCTGCCCCCACCTGGACATTTCAGCTGCAGCCCCCAGCCCTTCTGAGAGCCCAGTCCCCACAGGTCTGTGATCTGCCGCAGGCTCTACCACCTGAGCCTTCTGCCTGCCCCGCCTGAGGGTTCTGCCTGTGCCCTGGGGACCAGCCCATCCCTCCCCATCACAGCCAGCATCTGAACCCCGGAGCAGCCAAAACCCAGTCCAGCCCCTTCAGGACTCACACACGCTGTCCAGCCGGCCACCTAGGGGCCTGTGATCCGGGAACTACCTGCCCTTTCCTACCCTGCTGGCACCTGACCACTCACCCCAGGGCCTGAGGTCGGGCCCACCCAGCCAGCAACACCACCACAACTGACGTCCACTCTCCCATCCAGAGAGGCAGAAGCCCCACATCCCACCTACATGAAGCAGCTACCACGTCAGACAACAGACAGCCGCTCAGGGTCTGCACTGGGCTGAGGGAGGAGGCTCTGCCTTGGAACCACGCCTGCAGAGAGTGGCAAGGCAGGTGTTTCCCACGGCCCTCAGCCACACTGTGGCCTGGGGAGAGACAAGAGTGTGTGTCTGAACTGAGACTCATGAGCCCTGGAGCACGGGTGTGATAGGGAGACAGACAACGTTCCTCCCTATGGGACTGGAAACGGTGTAGCTCCTTCACCCCCCGCAGAGACCTCAGGGCATTTCACTAGGAGCTGCTCCAGCCATGTCCATCAGGACTAGTGCCTGCACTCATCACTGGGATATCTGTGGGCAAGCCGGGGGTTCCAGCTCTGCCCAGGGGTGTTCCCTCGCCCCTGTGGAACACAAAGCTCAGGGCACCTGACACTCCACGGTCCAGCCCTTCCCCTGAAACAACAGTCAGCACCTCACAGGAAACACACCAGGTCCATATCCACCTGCTTGTGCCGAGGGTGGCTCTTACCCTTAAGCACCAGCTCCTGGCCTGCAATTTGAGCTGCACAGCCCAACACAAACCCTGCTGCAGAAGCTCCCAAAGCCATGGGAAAAGCCAAAAGACCCTTCCCAACATGCTCTACAGTCACCCTCCCTGCGGGGCCAGGGGAAAATGTGCAAAACAAATCCCATCCAAATGAAAATAAATTCGAAGAGAGTAAGTGGAGGCCTCTCCAGAAGAGAAGGAATCAGTGTAAGGATTCTGACGCTGTGAAAAATCTGAATATTGTGGCACCACCAAAGGATCGCACTGGCTTGCTAGTGATGGATGCTGAAAACAATGGAAACTCTGAAAGGACAGATAAAGAATGAGATTGAGACAAAAACATTACAAAGAATCAATGAAAGAAAACGTTGGTTTTTTGAAAGTATAAATAAAATTGAGAGATGGCTGACTACACTAACCAAAAAAAGGAGAAGATTTAAATAAGCACAATCAGAAATGATAAAGTTGACATTACAACCAACGCCACAGAAATACAAATGACCATCAGAGACTACTATGAACACCTTTATGCACATAAACTAGAAAACCTAGAGAAATGGATGAATTCCTAGACACATACAACTTCCTAAGATCGCACAGGCAAAAAATAGAAACCCTAAACAGACCAATAACAAGTAACCAAAAAGAATCAGTACTAAAAATCTTCCGGCAAAAAAGCCCAAGAACAGATGGATTCACAGTCGAAATTTGCCATATACACAACGAAGAGCTGGTGCCAATCATAATGAAAGTATTCCAAAAAATCAAGGCGATGGGATTCTTTCCTAGCTCATTCTATGAAACCAATATCACCCTGATAGCAAAATCAGACAGGGATCCAACAGAAAAATAAAACTACAGGCCAAGAAACCTGAGGAACACAGGTGCAAAAATCCTCAAGAAAATGCTATTAAACGGAATCTAACAGTGTATCAAAAACATAATTCATCATGATCAAGTTGGCTTGATTCCAGGGATGAAAGGATGGTTCAATATATGCAAGCCAATAAAAGTGACTCATGACATAAACTAAGAACAAAAAGCATATGGTCATCTCAATAGATGCAGATAAAGCGTTCGAGAAAGTCCAATATCCCTTCATGATAAAATCCCTCAACAGACTAGGCATGAAAGAAACATACCCCAAAATAAGAGCCTTATATGACAAACGCACAGCCAACCTTAAAATTGAATGGGGAGAAGTGAAAGCATTTCCCCAAGAAATGGAACAGGACAAGGATGTCCACTCTCACCACTCCTATTCAACACAGTACTGGAAGTCCTAGCCAGAGCAATCAGGCAACAGAAAGAAAGAAAGTGCATCCACATTGGAAAAGAGAAAGTGAAATTATCTGTGTGTGCTGATGACACGATCATATACCCAGAAAACCCTGAAGATTCTTCCAGAAGACTCGTAGACTTGGTAAGTGACTTCAGTAAAGTCTCTGGATAAAAAAATCAAGCTACAAAAATCAGTAGCTTTTCTATACATCAGTACCGTTCAAGCTGAGAATCAAATTAAGAACACACAAACACAAACACACACTGAGGAGTATATTTAACCAAGGAGGTGAAAGACCTCTACACAGAGAGTGACAAAAGGCTGATGAAAGGAACTGTAGGCAACACAACCAAATAGAAAAATATTCCTTGCTCACAAATGGGAAGAATCAATATTGTTAAAATGACCATATTGCCCAAAGCATACTACAGATTCAACACAATTCCTATTAAATTACAAATGTCATTTCTTTAACAGAATTAGAGAAAAAGCAATTTTTAAATTCATTTGGAACCAAAAACCAGCCTGAACAGCTAAAACACTTCTATGCAAAAAGAACAAAACAGGAGACATCACATTGCCTGATTTCAAGTTATACTATAAGGCCATAGTAACTAAGACAGCATTTACTAGTACAAAAATATACACAGACATCAAGGGAACAGAATAGAGAAACTAGAAATAAAGATACATGCCTACAACATACTGAGCTTTGCTAAAGTCAACAAAGTAAACAATGGGGAAAGGACACCCTATTCAATAAAGGATGCTGGAAAAACTGGGTAGCCATATGCAAAAGAATAAAACTGGACCTTTATCTCCCACCATGTACAAAAATCAACTCAAGATGAATTAAAGACCTCAATGTGAGACCTGAAACTATGTAATTCCTAAAGCAAAATTTAGGAAAAACCCTTCTGGACATTAGTCCAGGCAAAGAACTTATGGTAAAGACCCTTAAAAATGCAACAAACCCCCGAATAGACAAATGAGACATGATTAAAATTAAAAGCTACTGCACAGCAAAAGAAACAATCAACAGAATGAACAGACAACCTACACAATGGAAGAAAATATTTGCAAATTATGCCTCCAACAAAAGACTAATGTCCAGAATCTGCAAGGAAGTCAAAGAATTCAACATGAAAAAAAAAACAAAAAACACAGACAACTTTATGGAAAACTGAGTAAAGACCATCAACAGACATTTCTCAAAACAAGAAATATAAGTGGCCAACAAACACATTAAAAAATGCTCAACATCATTAATCATCAGAGAAATTCAACTTAAAACCACACTGAGTATCAACTTACACCAGTCAAAATGGCTACTTTTAAGAAGTCAGAACCAACAGATGTTAGCAAGATACATGGTTGGTAGGAATGTAAATGAGTTTATCTTCTATGGAAAATAATATGGAGCTATCTCAAAGAACTAAAAATAGAACTACCATTTCACTTAGCAATCCCATTACATGGTATCCAGCCAAAGGAAAAGTCATTATATTAAAAAGACAATTGGGTCAGGTGTGGTGGCTCACGCCTGTAATCCCAGCACTTTGGGAGGCCAAGACAGGCAGATCACCTGAGGTTGGGAGTGTGAGACCAGCCTGGGCAACATGGTGAAACCCTGTCTCTACTAAAAATACAAAAAATTAGCTAGGCATGGTGGCGAGCACCTGTAATCCCAGCTACTTGGGAGGCTAAGGCAGGAGAATCGCTTGAACCCAGGAGCCGGAGGTTGCAGTGAGCAGAGATGGCACCATTGCACTCCAGCCTGGGCAACAAGAATGAAACTCCATCTCAAAAAATAAAAAATAAATAAATAAATAAGACAACTGCACTCATTATGTTTGTTGCAGCACTATTCACAACAGCACAGACATGAAACCAAACTAAGTGTCCACCAACGGTTGATTGATTTTAATGGTTACTTGGTTCATATGCTTCATACACCAGCCCCACCTGGCTCGCATACAAAGCATATTCACTGCTTCATCTGGGATGCTGCACTTGGTGTTTTATAGGGAGAGTTGGCTAGTCCCCTTCTCAGGGCCAACAGACCTTTCAGTGGCGTTTGTCTGGTCCACTAAGCTGGTTGTTCTCTCTGGAATAACCTCCTGTGCATTTGGATCTCATATACTCATTAGTGATTGTTTAATAGTGAGCTACGGGTCCTGCATCAATCCAAACAAGCTCTTAAATTCTGAAGCATTTAAAATTAAGAATGTGGGCGTGAACCTGGGAGGCAGAGCTTGCAGTGAGCCGAAATCACGCCACTGCACTCCATCCAGCCTGGGCAACAGAGCAAGACTCCATCTCAAAAAAAAAATTAAGAATTTGGCCCTTAAAGTGGTTATTTTTTACAATCTACCACATAGATTATTTTTAAGAAACTGATTATAACAATCTAAAAAGCAGAACAATTCCTTTGCATTATACCCTCTGGTTTTAATAGTTACTTGTTTTTGCCCTTCCTCTATATCAACTATCTTCTTGGTAATCACAGGTCTCAGAGTTAACTTTTGTTGTCCTGGCTAAATTGTTCTTTTTATTTAGTTTTATCTCCGTAATTTTTTCTTCATTTTAAAGCAACTCTTAAATAGTTTCTTAACTAGAAAAAAACCTACTTTTTTTTTTGCAAAACCTATATCCTTGTGTTTTATATGCATCACCAAAAACATTTTATACTCCTACTATTTTAATTTAGTAACCCAAATTTCAAGTGAAAAAAAAAAAAACGAGGTTTAACATAACATAGCTCTAATTACTGGAGAGAGTTTTAAGATTAAATTTACTAAATTAATTTTACTAAATATTAAAATCAGGTGAATTCAAAGGCATCTTAGCTAGTGTCTGCCAATCTGATAAGCACTTACTTTTTTTAAAAAAAGACAACTGATGAGCTGTTTCATGTAGTTTGGTAGTGAAATATCACTTCCAGATAACACATATGAAGATACAGATATAACAGGCATACAGAATAAAAAAAGCAGGTCTAAAGGATATTTCATTTTTCTGTTTTTAAATAAAAATTCCTCTCTTACTTTAGATAATTAATAAAAGTTACAGAAGCCAACACAAGGTGAAGGAGAGAGCTATCATCCAAGGCCTTTCAAAAGAGAAAAAGCTGAACTTTGATATATTCATTGGAAGAATTTCAAAAAGACAGATTATAGAATTTAAAAATTAAAAACTTTTTGCATTAAGAATAAGTTAATATTTTACTAAAACCTTGTTTTAACCAATTATTTAGTTTTGGATTAGGGTGTGTTTTTTAAATATCAAAGACCCATCTGTAGAATGACTATTATATTTCTTAATCATAACCAACTACATTACACTACCTTTCTTTTTTTAAAAAAAGTCTTATTGTGACTTACAGAGACCACTTACAACATGCTTAAACTGCCTGTTTTGTCCTAAATATCCCTCTTTCTTGAACTATCAGTTATTTTATTTCAGGACAAAAATTCACTACATAAGACTTTCTTGTGTAAAATTACTTTCCTTTTCATCTTTTTTACCAAAATTCCTCTTTATATTTATAACTGTCTTTACATCTCTTATTTCCTGTTTCCATTTATCTTGTTTTATACATAACTTTTAAAAAAGCTTTGAATTAAACACAGATATTTATCTTTTAATAAGAATTGTTTTTTAAAAATGTTTTCCTGTAATTTTTAAATTATAAATTACCCAGCTAGTCAATTAATATCTATTATTTAATATAACTTTAGATTGTAAATTATGTGACAAGTTTGTTTATAGGCATTTATTCCATTGCATTTACTTGATAAACTTATTTAATAGTTTACCTAGATTATTTATGAACACTGTGACAGTCATCACTTAAAGTTAATTCCCTGTTAACCAATGTTATAAACTATGAATTTCAGGTGTTTACCTAAGTAAGGAAACTTATGGTTAAATATAAAGTTATTTTTTTTAACCAATATCTCAGTAGTTAGCTGTTTTTATTTAACCAACAATATTACATGGCTTATTTATTAAAAATTATACAAGCAAAGATCATTCTGTTTTGGGCTGGGTTTATAATTTTGTTTTGTGTGTGTCAGGCTGCTCTTGAACTCCCAACCTCAGGTGATCCACCAGCCTCGGCCTCCCAAAGTGCTGGGGTTGCAGGCGTGAGCCACCGTGCCCGGCCAGGTTTATAGTTTTATAACCCTTATGGAAAATCTTATACTATTCTGCAGGGATAAGCACAAAACCACTTGTGCAATAAGTGCAAACAAAAATGCTAACAATTCTTAAGACATTTCTAATCTTATTTTACCAATAATTTTAAAGCCAGCTTATTTATTAAAGATTTTACTTAAGTGAACTTGAAGAAGCATCTTGTCCTGATAAAGTATTTGATTTAAGCACTTTTATTCTCTTTAAGCCAATTAATTAGAGCTCTTTTGTATATTTTTAGTAGTGAAACATTATGTACACCACACACAGATTCATGGACGCATTAGGCATGCTGATAGTAGTACATCTTATAGATTCAAAAAACCTCTTTTTTTCTATCTCAAACTTTCAAACTCTTTTTTTTTCTTTTTTTCTTTTTTTTTTTTTTTTGAGGCAGGGGCTCACTCTGTCACCCAGACTGGAATGCAGTGGCATGATCCCAGCTCACTGCAACCTACATCTCCCATGCTGAAGCGATTCTCCTGTCTCAGTCTCCCAAGTAGCTGGGATTACGAGTGTGCCACTACTGCCTGGCTAAGTTTTGCATTTTTAGTAGAGACAGGGATTCACCATGTTGGCCAGGCTGGTCTTGAACTCCTGATCTCACATGAGTCACCTACCTCAGCTTCCCAAAGTGCTGGGAATACAAGTGTGAGCCACCACGCCCAACCCTTTCAAACTCTTCATAACCTGTTTCCTTACCCCAGGCAGTTGTCAGCTAAATAACCCTAAATTTCCATGTTACAGGAAACACTTTTTAGGAGAAAAAATCAGCAAAACTTACATCTCAAAGTACAGAGGAAGAAGTCTGGTGTGTTAGAGGGAAATTAAAATGGGTTCACTGCCAATTAAACATAAAATTATAGAAATCTATCATAAAGGCTTTTAAACACACACACACCACACACACACACACACACACACACACACACACACACACACAGACATCCTGTAGCTTTTACTTCAAAACTCTAGCCATGAGATATTAATATAAATTTACCAGCTTGCAAAAAAAATTTGGATCTAAACAGTGGTTTTTATCTCAGTAGAAAGGTAACAGCAGATGTAAAGCAGGCAGAAAAGAAAATAGAGAAAGAGAGAACTTAGGAACTCTATAGCGTGCAAGCTGCCATTAGGGCTCTCTTACCTTGATGTAAATGTGCACAAAGACCATAATATTTTTGTTTTACACAAACTCCAGAAAGTAGAGGCGCCATAAAACCAATGGAGTGCCCACAAGGGGGTCACTCTTCTTGCTTTCTCCTCATTCTTAGATTATTTGTTTCCCACTTTTTCTTTTCTTTTCTTTTCTGTTCCTCCTCTCCTCTCCTCTTTTCTCTTCTCTTCTTAAAGGAGGAAGTGAGCTGTGGGCTAGAGGTTTGTGCAGTGGGTCACAGTGTGCTGGTTGTGGGTGGGACTCCACAGGGTCTCACCACTGAGTCATTTCTTCCCTCTCATGTGTCTCAGTTTCTCTCTCGGAAGGTCTAAACACCTCCAGGAGGGCCCAAAATGCAGAGTGACCAGCTCCCATATGTGCTTCCTGGACAAGCCTTTTTAAAACTCATTTTGTTGGGTGTTCCCTGTAGGCCACTCACATCACGATGGGGTCCACCCACCCCCAGACATTCCCACAAGCACCCCTCATCACTTCCCACATTTTGGCTGGGAGGAGCAAAATGCCCTTTCTTTTTTAAGCTGAGGAAACACAGTCTCTCGTTTCCCTATGAAAACAACAGTTCAGTTCCTCATGCAAATGTGAACAGACAAGCCAAATCGAGATTAATTTGGGGAGAAAAGCAATGGAGAAGACCCTTTAGAATGTATCTCCCAACTAGAAGTAGGATCCTTAAACAACAACTTCCTAGAAAGAAAAAGAAATAGTAGATCAGAATAAATAAAGGGCCGTCAACCAAAGGGAGGTCGGGGCTCAGGAGGACTTACCACTTCTGGCAGAGAAGAAGCTCAAAATCCTGGAGGCTTTCAGTGGGCCCCTGCTGGTACCTTAGCTCCAGGTTGAGACAACTCCTTTGGGGTCCTGAGTCTTATCTGAGGCCTCACGTGTTCAGGCACCAAATTATTGTGGACAAAAAGAGTCAAACTCTGTAATATATTAGAAGAGATTTTTCTGAGCCAAATATGAGTGATCAGCACTCAGGAGGTCCTGAGAACATGTGTCCCTTGACTTTTTAATAATAGCCATTCTGACAGGTATCAGATGGTATCTCATTGTGGTTTTGATTTGCATTTCTCTCATGATCAGTGATGTTGAGCTTTTTTTATATGATTGTTGGCCACATGTATGTCTTCTTTTGAAAAGCGTCTGTTCATGTCGTTTGCCCACATTTTAATGTGGTTGTTTGTTTTCTTCTTGTAAATTGGTTTAAGTTCCTTAAAGATACTGGAGAGTAGACCTTTGTTAGATGCACAGTTTGCAAAAACTTTCTCCCAGTCTGTAGATTGTCAGTTTACTCTGTTTACAGTTTCTTTTGCAGTGCAGAAACCCTTTGGTTTAATTAGATCTCATTTGTCAATTTTTGCTTTTGTTGCAATTTCTTTTGGCATTTTAGTCATAAAATCTTTGCCCGTGCCTGTGTCCTGAATGTATTGTCTAGGTTGTCTTCCAGGTTTTTATAGTTTTAGGTTTTACATCCATCAATCAATCCATCCTGAGTTAGTTTTTTTGTATATGGTGTAAGGAAGG
This sequence comes from Homo sapiens, assembly GCF_000001405.40. Taxonomy (NCBI): domain Eukaryota; kingdom Metazoa; phylum Chordata; class Mammalia; order Primates; family Hominidae; genus Homo; species Homo sapiens. Next base: position 598,363 of record NT_187693.1, on the reverse strand, counting down.
GGTCCAGTTTCAATTGTCTGCATATGGATAGCCAGTTATCCCAGCACAGTTTGTTGAATAGGGAATCCTTTCCCCATCACTTTTTTTTTGTCAGGTTTCCTAAAGATCAGATAGTTGTAGGTGTGTGGTTTTATTTCTGGGTTTTCTATTCTGTTCCATTGGTCTATGTGTTTGTTTTTGTACCAGTACCATGCTGTTTTGGTTACTGTAGCCCTGTAGTATAGTTTGAAGTCAGGTAACATAATGCCTCCAGCTTTGGTTTTCGGTTTTTGTTTTTGCTTAGGCTTGCCTTGACTATTTGAGCTCTTTTTGGGTTCCATATGAATTTTTAAATTTAAAACTTTTGGTTCCATATGATTCTTCTAGTTCTGTGAAGAATCTCAATGATAACTTAATACAAATATTACTGAATCTATAAATGGCTTTGAGCACTATGGCCATTTTTAAGATATTGATTCTTCCTATTCATGATCATGGAATATTTTTCCATCTATTTGTGTCATCTCTAATTTTTTGAGCAGTGTTTTATAGTTCTCCTTGAAGAAATTGTCCACCCTCCTAGTTAGCTGTATTCCTAGGTATTGTGTGTGTGTGTTTGTGTGTGTGTGTGTAAACTGTAAATGAGATTGCATTCCTGATTTGGCTCTCAACTTGACTGTTATTGGTATATAAATGCTAGTGATTTTTGCACATTTATTTTGTATCTTGAGTCTTTGCTGATGTTGTTTATCAGCTTAAGAAGATCTCAGGTTGATGTTTGGGTTGATGTTTTCTAGATACAGGATCATTTCATCTGCAGCAAAGATAGTTTGACTTCCTCTCTTCCTATTTGAATACGCCTTATTTTTTTCTCTTGCCCAATTGCCCTGCCTAGTATTTCCAATACTGTTGAATAGGAGTGGTGAGAGAGGGCATTCTTGTGCCAGTTTTCAAGTGGATTGCTTTCAGCTTTTGCCCATTCAGCATGATGTTGGCTGTGGGCTTGTCATAAATGGCTCTTATTATTTTGAAGTATGTTCCTTCAATACCTAGTTTAATTAGAGTTTTTAACAAGAAGTGATGTTAAATTTTATCAGAAGGCTTTTCTGCATCATTAATATAATCATGTGGTTTTTTGTTTTAGTTCTGTTTATGTGATGAATCTGTTTATTGATTTGTGTACGTTGAACCAATTTCAGGCTCATTATTGGTCTGTTGAGGAATTCAATTTCATCCTGGTTCAGTCTTGGGAGGCTGCACGTGTCTGAGAATTTACCCATTTCTTTTAGATTTTCTAGTTTATGTGCATACACGGGTTCATTATATTCTCTGATGGTTGTTTGTATTTCTCTGGGGTCAATGGTAATATTCCCCGTGTCATTCGTGATTGTGTTTATTCGAGTCTTCTCTTTTTTCAATTAGTCTAGCTAGCAGTCTATTTTATTATTTTTTTCAAAAAACCAGCTCCTGGATTTGCTGATCTTTTGAATGATTTTTTTGTGTGTGAAGGAACCCAATCTCCTTCAGTTCAGCTCAGATTTTGGTTCTTTCTTGTATTCTGCTAGCTTCGGGGTTTGTTTGCTCTTCGTTCTCTAGTTCTTTTAGTTGTGATGTTAGGTCATCACAACTAATGTGATGTGGACATTTAGTGCTATATATTTTCCTCTTAATACCCCCTTAGCTGTGTCCCGGAGATTCCGGCATGTTGTATCTTTGCTCCCATTAGCTTGTAATAACTTCTTAATTTCTGCCTTAATTTCATTATTTACCCTGATGTCATTCAGGAGCAGGTTGTTTAATTTCCATGTAATTGTATGAGTTTAAGTGAGTTTCTTAGTCTCGATTTCTAATTTGATTATGCTGTGGTCAGAGAGTGGTTTGTGCCAATTTCAGTTGTAACAAACTGAATTTGCTGAGGAGTCTTTTGCTTCCAATTATGTGATTGAATTTAGAGCATGTGCCATGTGGTGATGAGATGAATGTAAATTCTGGTTTGGGGGTGTGGAGAGTTCTGTAGATATCTATCGTGCTGAGTTCAGGTCCTGATTATCTTAGTCAATTTTCTGTCTTGATGATCTGTCTACTATTGTAAGTGGGGTATTAAAGTCTCCCACTATTATTGTGTGGGAGTCTAAGTCTCTTTGAAGGTCTTTACAAATTTCTTTTATGAATCTGGGTGCTGCTGTGTTGGATGCATAGATATTTAGGAAAGTTAGATCTTCTTTTTTATTTATTTATTTATTTATTTATTTATTTTTAATTATACTTTAAGTTTTAGGGTACATGCGCACATTGGGCAGGTTAGTTACATATGTATACATGTGCCATGCTGGTGCGCTGCACCCACTAACTCGTCATCTAGCATTAGGTATATCTCCCAATGCTATCCCTCCCCCCTCCCCCCACCCCACAACAGTCCCCAGAGTGTGATATTCCCCTTCCTGTGTCCATGTGCTCTCATTGTTCAATTCCCACCTATGAGTGAGAATATGCGGTGTTTGGTTTTTTGTTCTTGCGATAGTTTACTGAGAATGATGATTTCCAATTTCATCCATGTCCCTACAAAGGACATGAACTCATCATTTTTTATGGCTGCATAGTATTCCATGGTGTATATGTGAAAGTTAGATCTTCTTGAATGGAATGAATGGAATTCTCATGGGAACATGATCAGGGTTCTAAGATCCATGAAGGTGTCAGTTTGAGTGATACACATTTTTTTTTTTTTGAGACAGAGTCTAACACTGTCGCCCAGGCTGGGAGTGCAGTAGGGCAGTCTCAGCTCACTGTGACCTCCTACCTCCCAGGTTCAAGCGATTCTCCTGCCTCAGCCTCCCGAGTAGCTGGGATTACAGGTGCTTGCCACCATGCCCAGCTAATTTTTGTATTTTTAGTAGAAACGGGGTTTCATCATGTTGGCCAGGCTGGACTCAAACTCCAGACTTCAGATAATCTGCCGGCCTCTGCCTCCCAAAGTGCTGGGATTACAGGCGTGAGCCACTGCACCCTGCCTTGAGTGATATACTTTTTTATCTGCAACAACAGACTCTTAGAGATCATCACAGGTAGCTGGAGAAAAATGTAAGACCAGACCATTTGTAATTTCCCTTGGTCCAGACAATTGTTGGTCCTATGAGAAACTGAATCTGGTACTTTCTCAATGTGAACTAGGAATAGTTTCACTTCATAGGAAATTGCAACCTACTTATTTTAGAAAACTGAGTGATATTAGAGTATCACATCCTGTTTGTACTTCTCCATGGGGTGTAGAAAAAAAGACAAAAAGGGTTTTGTGTGATACTTGGGAGATGTGAGCTTTTATAAAGACAAATATATATATACACATATATATACACATGTATAGTTACTATTATAAGTATCTGGCATGAGAAAAGAGACAGGGAACCAAGATTCTTCTTTATAACACCTTTTTCTGACCAAGAATCGAACAGAAACACATACTTCTTCTCCTCAGACACCAAGACTCAGGGCTGTCTCCTTGCTCTCAGGCCAGTAAGGAGTCTCCACTTTCCACCTGTAGTTCTTACAGATGAAGCCCAGTTGTCCCTACATGCCTATATATACAATCACATTTATAGGTGTTTTAAATTTCAAAATCTCTAAAACGTGGGCCTCTTTCATTTTGTACTTGAGTTTATATTGCTAAGATGCATGCCTATTAATTTTTAGTTCCATATTATTATTATTGTTTTCAACTTTTATTTTAGAATGCGGGGGCACATAACGCAAGTTTGCTAGAAAGGTATATTGCGTGATGCTGAGGTTTGGAGAACGAATGAATCCGTTGACCCAGGTAGTGAGCATAGTGCCCAACAGGCACTTTTTCAGCCCTTGCCCTCCTCCCTCTCTCCCCACTCTAAGTGTCTCCGGTGCCAGGGCCAGACTCTGTCTCAAAGAAAAAAAAAATCACAGGAAACATCCTGTTGTTATAGGCATTGACAAAGTGTTTACAGCTAAGTCCTTGAACGCAATTAAACAAAAATAACAACTGATGAGTGGGACCTCATTAACCTACAGATCCAGTGAAGGCCTAATATTCAGAATCTAGAAGCAACTTACACAAATCAGCAAGCAACAAACAAACAGCCCCATTAGAAAGTGTGCAAAGGACATGAACAGACACTTATCTATGTCCACATGTGCCCAGTGTTTAGCTCCTGCTTACGAGAATGTGCTATGTTTGGCTTTCTGTTTCCACATGGCATCACTTAGGCTAATGACCTCTAGCTCCATCCATGCTGCTGCAAAGGACATGATTTCCATTTTGATTGCTGTGTAGTATTCTATGGTCCATATATCCAATCCATTGTTGGATGAACACCTGGGTTTATTCCACATCTTTGTTATTGGGAATGGTGCTGCAATGAACATATAGGTGCATCTGCCTTTTTGGTAGAATAATTTATTTTCCTTTGGGCATATACCTACCAATGGGTTTGCTAGGCCGAATTGTAGTTCAACTCTTAGTTCTTTGAGAAATCTCCCAACTGCTGTCCACAGTGGATGAACTAATTTACGTTCTCACCAACACTTGTTCCATTTTCTTTGCAGCCTTACCAGCATCTGTTATTTTTTGACTTTTTAATAATAACTATTCTGAGTGGTGTGGGTATCTCATTGTAGTTTTAATTTGCATATCCCTACTGATTAGTCATATTGAAGATTTTTTGATATGCTTCTTGGACATATGTGTGTCTTCTTTAGAAAAGTGTCTGTTCACGTCTTTTGCCCACTTTTTAATGGGGCTGTTTGTTTTGTGCTTGTTGATTTGTGTAAGTTGCTTACAGATTCTGAATATTAGACCTTTGCTGGATCTGTAGGTTTATTAGGTCCCACTCATCAATTTTTGCTTTCGTTTAATTGCTTTTGAGGACTTAGCTGTAAATACTTTGCCAATGCCTGTATTAAGGAAGATGTTTCCTATTTTTTTTTCTTTGAGATGGAGCCTGGCTCTGCTGCCGAGGCTGGAGTGCAGTGGTGTGATCTCGGCTCACTGCAACCTTTCCCCACCAGGTTCAAGCGATTCTCCTGCCTCAGCTTCCCAAGTAGCTGGGATTACAGGCACCTGTCACCATGCCAGGCTACTTTTTTTTCTTTTTTGTATTTTTATTAGAGACAGGGTTTCACCATGTTTTCTTCTAGGATTCTTATAGGTTTAAATCTTACATTAAAGTATTTAATCTGTCTTGATTTAATTTTTGTATATGGTGATATGTAGGGTCTGTCCAGTTTCATTCTTTTGCATATGGCTAGCCAGTTATCACAGGATTATTTTTTGAATAGGCCTGTTTTTGTTGGCCTTGTTAAATATCAGATGGTTGTAGGTGTGTGGCTTTATTCTGTTTCATTGGTCTATGTGTCTGTTTTTGTACCAGTGCCATAATGTTTTGGTTACTGTAGCCTTGTATTATAGTTTTTTTAAAAATGTATTTTATTTCAATAGATTTGGGGTACAAGTGGTTTCTAGTTGTATGAATGAATTGTATAGTGGTGAAGCCTGAGATTTTACTACACCCATCACCCAAGTAGTGTACATTGTACTTGGTACATAGTATTTCATTACTCACTCTCCACCCCCTCTCTCCCTTCTGGGTCTCCAGTGTTCATTACACCCCTTTACATGTCTTTGATTACCCATAACTTGGCTCCCACTTATAAAGTGAGAGCATATGGTATTTGGCTTTCCATTGCTGAGTTAGTTCACTTAGTGTCATGGCCCCCAGCTTCATCCAAGTTGCTGCAAAAGACATTATTTCATTTTGTTCAATGGCTGAATAGTGTTTTCTTGTGTATATGTGCCACATTCACTCATCAGCTGATGGACACTTACGTCGATTCCACATCTTTGCAATTATGAATTTTGCTGCAATCAACATTTGTATGCAAGTGTGTTTCTGATGTAATGATGTCTTTTCCTCTGGGATGTACACATTTGTTGACTGCAGTGGGATGCTAGTGGGTGCAGGGGTGCTGGCCTCCATGTCGGTGTTCAATGCGGTGGCGTCAGCAAGACTGGGTGGGGTGTGCGGGAGCCCCGCAGGCGTTCGTGTGCGCATTTGCACCGGTAGTGGTGTTAGCAAGGTGGCGGGGCTCCGGCCTCATGGGACTGTGTGCACCCTCTGTGTGCACTTCCACGCTGGCAGCTGCTGCTGTTTGCGGTGGGGGTGGATCCGCTGGTCTCCCTGTGTGTGATCACACTGGTGGTAGTGTTGGCGCCGGGAGGGTGGAGGGCAGGTGGGTACTGGACAGGGAATCTCTGTACCCACGAATGCTCTGACAGCAGTCCCAGTGCTCGGGGGTCGTTGGGTGAGTGGGTGAACTCACACCGGCAGCTGTGGCACTGCGAGGTGCACGTGCAACACACATGCCGTTGGGGAGGGGAGAGAAGGTCTGCTCAGGAGCACATAATGCTGGCAAAGCCCTGGCGGCAGTGGCTGTGGGCGAGCGAGTGCAAGCAAAGTGGCTCGGGGACACTGAGGTGGGGCGAGGGAGTGGGGCGGGCTGGTGAAGTTTGCAGGAGTGAGATACACTATGTGAGATTTCCTCGGTTATAAATAGCCTTGGGGTTTTGGCTTTCTCAAACACCAGCTTTGGTAATGAACCGGCCATGTGAACAGACTCAGGACCTCTTGGTTATCCAGGGGGTTGCTGGCAATGGTGATAGCTGAGGACATGCACACGTGTTCTCCTTCCTGGGTGCTGTGTTATTGAGCCTGCGGATGCTGTCCTGCACGGTGTCAGTCGGCCTCCAGCCCGGAGGCAGCGGTTGCAAAAGCGCTCCACATCTTTGCAATTATGAATTTTGCTGTGTTGGTCTTCATGGGCTTTTTGCCTTCCTTATGTTACGCAAGGGAGGCTGTCCGGTGTCTCAGGCAAAGGGCGAGGCCATTGAGCTCCCGAAAGTCTTTGTCCTTTGTGTTAACCTACCAGGGTGGGGGTATGGGCAGAGGCAGGTGCGGGCTGGGTCAGCCTAGTCCGTGCTCTCGCTTTCCAGGTGCTAAGTGGGTTCAAGCGAACCCTCCCCAGTAGCTGGAATTACAGGCGCACACCACACGCCAGGTTAATTTTTGTATTTTCAGTAGAGACGGGTTATTGTCATGTTGGCCAGGCTGCTTTTGAACTTCTGACCTCAAGTGATCTGCCTGCCTCGGCCTCCCAAAGTACTGGGACTACAGGTGTGAGCCACTGTGCCTGGCCGAAGATGGAACTCTTATTTCCAATATTGGAACTGTCAAATAGGACCTTTATTAGTGGAATTCTAGGAGAGAAGGAGGCACCGTGTTAAATGGGGCTCACACCTCCCACATCATCCCCCAGGCCTGGGCTCTGAGAGGCAAGATGCCCCGAAGAGCAAACCTCCTTCCTGAGGGCAGAGCCTGGGGCTGGGGCCCCTGAGTGTCCCCTCACTGTTACCACCAGCTGCAGGGGGTCTCTGAGTGCTCACCTGCCAGCAGGACTGAAATACTCACAGCAATATTCCCCTGCATGGTGCTTTGTCCTGAGTGAGACGGAGGACTCACGCTGTCCTGGGCTTCGGCGAGCTCTGTGTGCTCCTGAACACTGGGCTTTCCTCTTTATCCAGACCACACTCCTGAGCTTCTAGGGTCTCCTGACACCAGAGGGCCACGGGCCTCCCCTAGGTTATTACAGAGTCTGGTTCAGCCCTGAACGTGGGTTTGGGGAGGGTCCCTGGAAGGAAATCAGAAACTGGGTCCTATATCATTTACCACCCCTCAGATCCCAGCTTTCAGCCCAAGATCCCCCCATGATCCCTCTCAGTCAGCCCAGAGTTGCTGTTCTCCAGCCCCAGCTGCCCGGGGGTGGGACCCTGTCCCCGGTGAGGAGGAGGGACCTGGGACAGCTGGGGACAGACTCACCTGCCTGTACGCAGGTCCTGAGGCCCAGACTCAGCCCTGGAAGAGAGTTCCCGCTGAGAGATTTGCCCCTGAAGCCTGGGCAGGTCCTCTCCTTCCTGAGATCTTCCCTAATCCCCTGGGGTCTCCTACTGGACCAGGGCCTAACTGTGGGGCAGGGTCCCTCTCATGCTAGAATCTCCCATTCCCCTTGTCAAATCTCAGTGAAGTGGACCATGGCCGTGTGGGTGAGAGTCATGATGTTTCCTCCTACTGGCCCCGGCTGTGTGGGTGGATAAGACCATGGTGTCCACAGAACACACACACAAAGGAAGGGTTCTCTCCCTTACAGGATTTTCCCACCAGCATCTCCATGGGTAGTGTACTGTCCCGGACCCCGCCACGAGCCTGGCTCTTGTTTTCCTAGTGCTTGGCCTGAGACAGGTACCAGGCTTTCTGTTGATATTTCAGACACACATGGGGTCTCTCCTCATCTCCTTTCACTGTCTGCCTGTCCTGTCCTCTTCTCATTAAGGGCCAGGACGTGGCTGCAAATGGACGTGGTGCCTTCCTGAGTTGGTCCCTTCCAGGTGAAGGCAACGGAGGGTTCTTCCTTCCTCTCAGAGCCTCCTCATGGGGTTTCACTCTCTCCTTCAGCTCACCCATAAACACACTCTTGTGGGGAAACTACCATGGCCAGTCTTCTCACCAGTCCTGGGGAAGCTTCAGGGAAGATGCAAATTCAGGCTGCGGGGCAGACTCACATCAGCAGAGACTCATCTCACATCTTGCTCTGCAGTTCCAGTTGAGCTTTATTGCGGCAATGAACAGAAAGGGGAAATACAGGGAGACAAGGGAAGGAATCATGTCTCTTTTCCCAGAACTGGAGTGTGGGTTTTCTTTATGCAAAAACGTTCCCTTCACGAACTTCTCATTGACTCATCGCAACAGCATCCGCCCCCGTCTCCCTGGAAACAACATTGACCTGACTCTGCCTTCTTGGTGCCCCCGTCTTCTTTCAAACACTCCTGTTCCCATCCTGTGCTCCTGAGTTCAAGGTTCTGGGACAATACGTGGGGTTAGCACTCTGCTTTGAGGGGAAATCTTGTCTTTATTTAAATATTCTTGTGTCACCCCCTGCCTGTGTGAACTTGGGCAGTAACCTCCCATCTCTGAGCCTTGGTTTCCTCATTTGGAGCCTGTCATGAACCCCATTTATCACAGGGGAGCTGGGTCATTGGAGCCTGGGGGCTGCAGGGGGCTCAGCCATGGGTAATTTCCAGAGCAGGTGAAGACAGGAGGGGTGGGGGCATGAGGGGATGCTGGCGCCCACCATCAAGGCCTGAGATTGATGTTTCCACTAAGGAGAGCCCCTTTGTTCCTGCCCTTGAGAGATGCTTCTCATAATATTTCATCAACACCCCGGTTATCACAGTCATGTCCAGAAAATGAGAAATGAAAGTTCATCAGAAGGAGAAGGATACACACGAAACAGAGAGGGCATCTGTGTCTGGTGCCATTAGGGGTCATTAGGGAGGAAGTTTCCATTTCTGTGCAGAACAGAAAAGGGGCCCTGGGTCCTCACAGGCAGAGAAGGGCCAGGGCTCTGGGCAAGGCTGAAAGCTGTGATGGAATATGTCTATTTACCGACCCAGGCCCATGGCCACCACTGAGCCAACTCCCCTGGGTGTGTGTGAAACAAATTCATTCACTGCAGAGTTCTTACATGTGGGTATCTGTATCATGTGTGGGTATGAGTTTTTTTTTTTTTTTTGAGATGGAGTTTTGCTCTTGTTGCCCAGGCTAGAGTGCAGTGGCATGATCTCCACTCACTGTAACCTCCACCTCCCAAGTGATTCTCCTGCCTGATTCTCATGACCAAGTGATTCTCCTGCTTCAGCCTTCTGAGTAGCTGTGATTACAGGTGCCCACTACCAGGCCTGGCTAATTTTTTTGCATTTTTAGTAGAGACGGGGTTTTGTCATGTTGGCCAGGCTGGTCTTGAACTCCTGGCCTCAAGTGGTCTGCCCACTTCGACCTCCCAAAGTGCTGAGATTACAAGCATAAGCCACCGTGCCCGGCCATGAGTGTGAATTTCACATGCATTTTTTTCCTTCTGGGAGCAACCTGAGCAGACACTATGTTTGGGAAATGAATGCCACGTGTCATCAGTAGCTGGAACAGTCCCCCATTTTCAGTCCTGGATTACTAAAAACTGCCTTGAGAGGATCCCTCCATGGTAGCTCAGGAGTGTAGGAGGTGAGTGTCCAACAAAAATAGACAACCAAGAGCCATCCTTCTAATGATAAAAAGTGCTATGATCATCAGTCTACACATTTGTTGATAAGGATTATTATGTGCAAAGAAATAGAATACTAGGAACGCATAAGACCCTTTTTCAATTAAACATGTTTAAATATCTGAAAAAAATACAAGAGGAAATTAAATTTCTGAGACAAGAATATGGATTATACTGGCAAAAAATGAGCATCAGAGAAATGAGTTAGAAATCCTAGAGGCAAAAATTCAGTTGAAGAAGCACACTCAAAATATTTATTCTATCAAGGTCAAGATACAGCTAAAGAGACATTTATTAAATTGGAAAACAAAATTGGGAGAATTTTCCAGAATGCACTATGGAGACACCAAAAGTGAAAATTCACCATATTTGGGGGAATATTGTGAGGAGGGAGAACCTCATATCTATTGTACGTGTCAGAAGGAAAGAAGGGAGAATAATGTCTGGCAACAGCTCACGAATTAAAGAGTTGAACATTTGACAGAGACGAGGAAAGACTAATTAAGTGCTAAGATGCATACATTTAAACATGCAATGTAAACCTTGACCTACCATGATAAATTGAAAAATACCAGAAGTAGATTAAAAAGTATATATGCTAGACTGAAATTGTCTAGCATAAATTGTATAGTTTAAAACACATTTTTGTGTCCTGTGATTTTCAACTCAACATGTCAGTAGAATAGCATGATCACTGGGATCGGACTTCCCAACAGAAAAATGAAAGGCAAGGAAATGTTGAAAATGTACTCTCAAGGGATTAACAGCAAGTGAGGAACTCTATGCTTACTCAGGTTAATACCTAAAAGTTAAAGGGGTCAGCAGGGGACCAATTCCTAAGCAGAAAAAGGCTCAGAGCAAGACAGACCTGTGAAGCCCATTAGGTTGGGCTTCCCCTGCATGAGGGCTGAGGAGGGATTGGAGGGTGGATCCCTCAATCATCAGATGTGCTTTCTCTTCCAGGTGTTATATCTTACCCTTTAATTAATATAGAAATGTTTTCATCTATTTTGATAGAGAAAGTGGGAGGAAAAATAAAGCATTATCTGAGCTGCAAGTTACTAGATATTACTGTTTTCATACTCAGTGAAAGCAATTTTAAATGATGTTATCCAGATAGATCAATGAATCCAAAATGTAGGATGTGAGATGCCGGTGATGAAAAGTGGGAAACAGGCAAGTATTTGAAAATTGCATGCACGCACACACACGAATGTAACTACACACACATATAAGAGTACATGTCTTTTCTAAAGGACAAGGATAAATGAATCTTCATTCAAAAATATATAATCGAATACTTAACTAAATTCATGAAATTATTCTAAATTATTCATTTTTTACCCCGTATGTTAAAGAGTGATTCCCCTACTCAGGATGAGTTAAATAGCCCAACACCCCCAATAACACATTAGGCATGAGACACAATAGTATCATCTAATATAAAATCATAATTTAAAATCAGTAAGGGAAGAAAGACATGCTGTTAAAATTATCTATTAGAAACATTAATAGTCCACAAAATGTAACATAATACAAAACTTTTTTGAAAATAGTGAAGTTTTATGTTTTAATGAAGGTATTAAGTGCTGGGTACGGTGGCTCACACCTGTAATCCAGCACTTTGGGAGACTGAGGTGGGAAGATCACTTGAGCCCAGGAGTTCAAGACCAGCCTGGGCAACATAGTGAGACTCATCTGTGTTAAAAAAAAAAAAAAGAGAGAGAGACGGTATAAAAAATGATAAAATAATTGTAAACTTTCATTCATCTAACCATGGGTTATTGAAATATATACAACATAAATTTGTATATATTTGGTGATTCAAAGAAATATTTATCAAGAACTGAGAGGTTAAGAAAAAAAATGAATGAGTATACAACTTAATGTTCAATCTGAATTACATACATATGGTAAAACTCTCTAGTTACATATGTTATAGGGTTTGTATATAGAAAAACAAATTCTATGTATGTATACATATATATGTTAATTTGTGTATATATTTACCTATTATGTACATAAGCACTATATGTATACACACACGGTATATATGTGTGTAGATGTGTAAAGAAATGTTACACAGTTTGTATGGAAAAAGAATTCACATATATATTCTGATATATTGTATACATACACTTACTCTAGGTGTTATGTGTGTATATATTTACATATTGCATACAAATACATTATATGTGGATATATAGTATGTGTAGATGCCACTGTACAGTATATATGTGTGTGTGAGTATATATATGTGTGTATATTAATGAACACATACCTCAAAGGGGGGAATGCCCATATTTATGACATACATTGCACGTAAAATGTTAAGTATTTACTGGACAAGGAAGGAAAAATCTCCAAATTTTTCTAAATGACTATCTTATACATTTTATTCCCAGACATGATTGTTATTTAGTTTGAAGTTAACAATAAAAAGATATTATGAGAAAACCTCAATATTGCTCAAAATTAATAAAATCCTCAGTCATTTTGTACGATATATATTTGAATTCATGATGTACTAAGAAATATTTTGCTAGATGGGTGTTTGTATTTTATATTGTTTGGATAATTATTTTACTTTTTAAGGCATATGAAGAATTCCATTTCCATTTTATGAAATAGGAGTCCTGAGGAGATTGCCATGGATCCAGCAAGGAATTTCTGGCAGAGGAAAGTAGACAGCAGTACTGGGAAAAATCACTGTATGAAAAACCGAGGAAGAAGGAATTAGGGCTCCCGGATGGGGTGAAGACCCACCTGCAGAGTGTCTCCGAGCCCTGAGAGTGGAGCAGTGTGTTCAGGACCCTGAGCCTGTGGAAGGAATCTTCTCTGAGATGTGAGTCTATGGAATGTGTGTTGTAAGACCTGCCTTTTCTTAGTATAATCCAGCAAAAGCCCATGGGTGAGGACTCAGTTTTATTTTAGGGGATGTGGGGACAGTATATTTTCTATTCATATTTATGCAAATTTCATAGTGCTTGTCAGTCATGTAGAAAGCAGAGGTCAGTGTGTTCACAGGATTCATACCCAAGAGTCTGGAGACACACGTGGGGTCCATGGGAAAGGCTGGTGGCCAGGTATGGCGGGAAGGTAATCAGCGACAGACGCCAGAGTCTCCTGCTTGATCTTGCCGAAATCTGGCTCAAATGTTTGGCCTGGCACAACCAAACTAGAACTTGGAAGATGCTGTATAGGTAAAACATAATATTGTAATCATTCATATTCTGTTAAGGCTTTGAAAATGTCCTTAATAAGATTTCTTTATTCTAGAGGGTAGATGGCAAATGATAACATTTCTTTATTCTGGAGGGTAGATGATGAATGATAAGATTTCTCTATTCTAGAGGGTAGATGGCGAATGATAAGATTTGTTTACTCTAGAGGGTAGACGGTGAATGATAAGATTTCTTTATTCTAGAGGGTAGATGGCGAATGATAAGATTTCTTTATTCTAGAGGGTAGATGGTGAATGATAAGATTTGTTTACTCTAGAGGGTAGACGGTGAATGATAAGATTTCTTTATTCTACAGGGTAGATGGCGAATGATAAGATTTCTTTATTCTAGAGGGTAGATGGTGAATGATAAGATTTCTTTATTCTGGAGGGTAGATGGCAAATAGCTGCTCCCTTTGTCCTAGAAAGTTGAGGACTATTTGATCCCTCATGTTTTTCAGGATCCTCCCTCCAAATATTCCATCCTATGCAGCAGGGTTTTACATCCTTCAAACACAACAGTGGTCTTGGACCTAGACATGTTGAACTCTTTAATGCTAGGACTCAAGTCCTCTTGCTGTTTGCGACAATTCAGAAAAGAATCAGCCCCAGTCATTTTGCATACTTCTGCCTGACTGTCCTAGGTGAGTAGAAAAAAACAGCTCAACTGCTTGTCAAGATTCATCGACCTGAGGTCTTGTCTGCAGCTGGATTTCTATCCTGCTTCCGTGATTTTCCTTTCGTGGATCACCAACACACTGCAAATGCCTATCATTGCTTTTGACGTGGTGTACTTTGGTTCTGCCTGGAAAGGCAGGAAGTCTCGAAGTGAGGAGCTCACAGGTCAAAGGAGATTGAAATGTTTTCAGACAGAATAGGCAAATCCGTAGAGACAGAAAGCACATTTGTGGTTAGCAGGTGCTGGAGGGAAGAGGGAATGGGGAGTGGCTGCTGAATGGGTGTAGGGTGATGACCATGTGTGGAACAGGATGGCAGTGATGGTTACACAATGATCTAAGGAGAAGCTGCACAGGTAGCATGTGAGAAGGAGGGAAGGGCTCGTAGGGTTCAGAGAGGGTGTCAGGGCATCAGGGTGGATTTATCTTTTCCTGGTTGAAATCCGATACTCTCCCATTGATTTAGTTACTGAAGCACGTTTGGAACTCTGAATTGAAGAGATGGAGGCTCAGTAAAGCACACCAGGGAGTATGGCAATGAGTAATAAAGAAGACTGTGTTACACACCATGGACCAGAGCACACAGATGTGCAGAGGTGTGGACCCAACGCTGCCATGTGGGATGTAGCCTCATGTCTGTCTGGGGGTGGGGAAAGAAGAGGATCCAACCAAGGGAAGTCAACATTAATAGAGAGGAAAGGTATCACAGGTTAATGGTCCTTCATGGATCACTCCAGAAAATGTCTCTGCAATCCAACACTGATTCCTCCCTCTAAAAATGATTGGCAGACAGTCCAGATAGCATCAGCCCTAAATTGTCTCCCGGAACCTCCTGGCATCATCAGATCTGTTCCCAAGGCTCCACCACTCTGAAGGGTACATTCTTCTCTCTGCTGTTCACCTCCCGGCTGCATCTCAGAGGCTTCTCTGGCTGTGCTGAGCCTCAAATAGCAGAATCCCGAGGACCACCAGGACCAAGCCAGCTATGCCCATGCGGATGAGATTCTCCACTGTGTAATCCTGGGGGTGTGAGGCTGGGGATGGTGGGCAAAGAGGTCACAGAGGTCAGGGCAGATCAACTTCACCCAGGACCTCTGGATGTCCACCCAGAGCACCTCCTTACCCTTGACAGGACCCAACCCTTGTGCCCAGCACCGTAAACGAGAGCATCTCCTCACTCACCAGTCTTGTTTTGTGATGGGCTGAGGGTGTTAGCTGCTCCTGAGAATAAAAACAGAGGGGAAGAGCCCTGAGCCAGCCTCTCCCCTGGGCTCTGCATTCTTATCTTCCCCTATGTCTTCTGACATGAGTTCTAGGGAGTTCCTCAATAAACCCTTCCTGTGTAGCAGGGTTCCCTCCAGTGTCCTTATTGAATTATTTCAGATTTCTTGCATTCTAGAAATTCGAATGTTACTCCTGAGGCATTTGGGGAGGGCGTTTTCCTGCACTCTGGGAGCTCAGGATCTGCAAGGGAATACAGAAGTCACTGAGCCCTGTGCGCTGTCTGTGCAGCCAGGGACACAGGAGCACATGAGCCAATTCCCCCAGAGATGAGAGTTTCACTTATCCACCAGCGGAGGACCCAGGCTCCATGCATGGGAGGTTGGTCTGCAGGGGCTCCCCAGTGTCAGAAGCACAAAGGGGTGAAAGTCTGGGGGTGCTTCTTCTTCACACAGCCTCAGCCAGTTCACCTGGGGTTTCATCTTCCATTTAATCTCTAGTTAACTAATTCCTCATATAGGCAGTAACACCTAGAATGCAATACAGTTTCCCACATTCACACACACATACAAACATATATATATATATGCTAAATGGAGATGTCACTCAAGGTTCATAAATCAGTATTTGTTTTTATGAAGTGTGAATCTAGGTGAATCTAGACCAGGAACAAACATGTAAACACCTACCGCATCAAATATATTAAGCATATGCATGAATATACATCAAATGAATTTGGATATACTTACACACATATTCAAAAGTATCTTACTTAACCACACATAAATATGTATATATGTAAAACTTCAGATATTTATTTAAGATGTAGTAACATATATATTGACATTTAAAGTGAGAAATATTGGCACATAATTTAGAAATAAAGAAGTAAAATTTCCCATTGTCTTACGGTTTATACAAATTGTATTAGTAAATTAGAGGAGATCCATTGAAAAGCAGTTAGAACAGAGCAATTTAGTAGTGAGTTAGCATGAAATACAATGAATATACTCAAAGCAGTAGCTTTCTCATGGATAGTTATCTCTTATTTTAAAAATGTAAAGGAATGAAATACTTCACTTATAAATCATTAAAGGTGTTGAAGAATTCTTTAAATTAGAATGAATGTAATTTTTTAAAATGTCCACCCAGGACACCCAGCTCCCCTTGACAGGACCTGACCCTCTGTGCCCAGCGTCATCACGGCAAGCATCTCCTCACTCACCAGCCTTGGAATCGGACTTGTTTTGTGGTGGGCTGAGGGTCTCAGCTGCTCCTGAGAATCAAAACAGAGGAGAAGAGACATATTCAGAGGTAACTTATATAACAAATTCTATATAAGATTATGTATAACTTATATAACCTCCCTGTCAAGGAGAGGTGGGTGTCCTGGGTAGACATTTAAAAAATTATATTCAGGCCAGGCACCGTGGCTCATGCCTGTAATCCCAGCATTTTGGGAGGCTGACGTGGGCAGATCATGAGGTCAGGAGTTCAAGACCAGCCTAGCCAACATGGTGAAACCCTGTCTCTACTAAAAATACAAAAATTAGCGGGGCATGGTGGCGGGCACCTGTAATCCCAGCTACTCGGGAGGCTGAGGCAGGAGAATTGCTTGAAACTGGAAGACGGAGGTTGCAGTGAGCCAAGATTTCACCACTGCACTCCAGACTGGGCAACAAGAGCAAAACTCCATCTCAAAAAAAATTTTTTTTAATTATATTCGTTCTAATTTAAAGAATTATTCAACACCTTTAACAATTTATAAGTGAAGTATTTGATTCCTTTACATTTTTTAAAACGAGAGATAAGTACTCATGAGAAAGCCACTGGTTTGGGTATATTCATTGTATTTCATATTAACCCACTACCAAATTGCCCTGTTCTAATTTAAATCTAAATTAACAATTTAAAGCACTTTTTTCATATAAAAGACGTTTATTTAGATGTTAGAATTATCCAGTGATTGGACAAGGTTGGGCATGAACCCCCCAGGCCCAGGGCTGAGCTGCACTGTAGCTCCCGCTGACCTCCCCCGGGTTTCTCATGCCACAGGGAGCCGCCCAGTCAGTTTCGCTCGGGCCATTGTGCTTTGAAACATCCAAACATTTCTGAAGTTCGTTAAGGAAACCTCGATTTTTAATATGTACAGGAGGAAGACTTGAGGTTAATGAAAAATGGATGTCTACATTGAATATATAAATTAAATCAAGCCCCAATGAAAGGCAAAGTAAAATTAAATGTTTTTAAATAATAGGTTCATATAATTGAAATAAAAAATATAAATTTATATATTGAAGTATTGCTTTAAAAGTTTTAGTAAAGGAGAGAGCATACATATAGAAAGCATACGTACAGAAAATACAGTGTAGAAATGAATGACATATGAGACGTGCTGTGAATCATTCCCTAACTCATCCAGGGAGCAGGTGCACGGTCCCTCCTTAGTCTCCGGGTGCCCTGAGCACAGAGCCTTGGTGGGATCTGACTGTGGTGAGGGTTGAGTCCACCCAAAACGTGCTCCTTTAGAGAGAAGCACTCCAGCTGTGGGTGCCGCTCACACGGCCCCTCCTGTGCTCACCTGGTGGGCTTGGGCTCAGGGCACCCCTGAGACTAAGGAGGGGCCGTGCACTTGCTCCCTGGCAAGTTAGGGAATTATTCACAGCACGTGTTGTGTATCACTCATTTCTGCTCGGGGTGGACTTCACCCTCATCACAGTCAGATCCCACCAAGGCCTCCTCTCTTGTCTTGAGATGGCCCAGGGACCCTACAGGTGTGGGTGAGGGGTTCATCCTCAGGGGCCCTTGGAAATGAGAAATGAGAGCTGCCAAGGGACCGTCTGTCTGTCCTCTTTCCAACTCGCCCGCCTCTGTTCCTCCTCCATCAGCCCCAGCATCTTCCACGTGTCCAAGTCAGGCTGGACCCCAAATCCTGCTGACCCGACCTGTTCTCCCTCTTCTACTCGTCACACATCCTGCAGGACAAGGTCGGGGTGTGGGGTCCTGCAGAGCTGTGCCACGTGTTGCTTTCAGTAGAAAATTGGAGAGATTTTGTTATGTACATGAGACAGTGGAGAGTCTCAACCAGAGGTGATGTCTCCTGGAATCCTGCTCGGGGAGGGGGAAAGACCCCGCTGCTCCACTCATCAATGCTGAACCTCAGACACCTCTCTCCCCTCTGAACACCACGGAGGGAACACCTGCCCCATCCCTGGAGCACCAGGAAGCCATGCAGACCACACCCTTACTGTCCACCCTCCCCTCTGCTGCCCTGGAAATCAGACCCTGAATATTAGAGGTAGCATTGAGATGAGTCTAGAAACTTCTTTAGAGCTGGGAGTGACTGGGTTTTTGTCACCCATGGGGTCAGGACTTAGAGGTTGGGATCCCCAGAGGCTCTGATTCTGAGGTGGAGACATCAGGAGGGGAGCAGGTGGGGCCTCTGTCTTTCACCCTCAGTCTACTCTCATCTCCTCTGAGGTTCACCCCCATCTCCTCCCAGCCTTCCCTGCTCTTTACCCTACTGAGACTACAAGGGTGGGAGCCAGGGGTGGGAGGCCCCGTCTATTTCCACCCTCCCATGGGCTCGACCCTCCCCCGCAGACCTTCCCCCTTCACTCCACTCTTTTCTTTTCCTTTTTTTTTGAGATGGAGTCTCGCTGTCTTGCCCAGGATTGAGTGCAGTGGCATGACATCAGCTCACGGCAAGCTCCGCCTCCCAGGTTCATGCCATTCTCCTGCCTCAGCCTCCCGAGTACCTGGGACTACAGACACCTGCCACCACGCTTGGCTAATTTTTTCTATTTTTTAGTGGAGACGGGGTTCACTGTGTTAGCCAGGATGGTCTCGATCTCCTGGCCTCCTGATCCACCCGCCTGGGCCTCCCAAAGTGCTGGGATTACAGGTGTAAGCCACCGTGCCCAGCCAACTCCCCTCTTTTCTTAGTGTCCAGAGCTCTCCTGGGGGGCAGGGCCTGAGCTGATCCTTTGAGCTCGGAGAGGACAGGGTCAGGGCCCTCACCTGAGACCATGAGCTCCAGGGAGTCACTGGGGTGAGACAGCAGGTAGGGGTTGGAGCTGAGTGAGCCGTAGCACCTGTAGGTCCCCGAGTGGGCTGAGGTCACAGGACTCATAGGGAATTCAGCCTGGTACTTAGGATATTCGTGTATTGATCTGAGACGGAGGGGGGCATCAGCTGCTCCCGCCTTGGTCAGAAGGAAAGTGTGGAACGGCCCCCATGACTGACACAGCAGGGTCACGTTCTCTCCTGAGGCCACCGTGGGGCCCGGATGCACCGAGATGAAGGGTCTGCCACGGAACTGTCCTGGAGAGAAGAAGGATGGGTGAGAGGCTGCCCCACCTTGTTCTGAGCTGACGCCTCCCCAGGCTTCTATCTGGGACCCTCAGTCTCTATCTCTGTTTTCTCTGAGTCTTCCCCGCCCCGCCCATCCCCTGTCTCTGTCTGTCTCTCCCTCCCTTGGGACCCCCACCCCTCATTCCGGCCATCACCACCTGGGCTCCCCTGGCAGGGCCTGTGCGGAGCCTGTGTCCCTGACTGAACCCGCTGGGCTCCTCACCTGCGATCAGGATGTCCAGGGGGTCGCTGGGGGCCGACCACTCGGAGGAGAGGTTGTATGCACCGGAGCATCTGTACTGGCCCCCGTAGGAGCGGCTCACAGGGCCCAGGGTGAAGTTGGCCTGGGAGAGCCCAGCCTGGGGCTGTGGGCCAGGGAGCTGGAGGAAGTCACGTTCTCCCTCCTTATACAGAACAAATCTGTCGTAGCTGACATCAGAAACACACTGGAGGGTCAGGCTCTCCCCAGGGGCCACTATAGGACCTGGCTGCACTGAGAGTGATGGCTTCTTAGAAACACCTGGGAAAAGGTGCTCATGGTTTCCAGGAGCCGACCCTCAGGCTTCCCCACATATCCTCCCTCTCCCCCGGGGCCTCACCACTGCTGATCTTCCTGTGTCTCCGGCCCCAGGAGCCCTGAGCCCTCTCGCCCCAACATCATCCCACCTGGAGCTGCCCTGAGACGTGGCTGCTCCCCACCTGCCTGGAGACTCAGGGAGACTCAGGGAACTCCAGGCAATGCTGTGAATTTCTCACCTAGGACCAGGAGCTCCAGGAGATCACTGGGTAGAGACCACACATGGGGAGAGTTCGAGTCATAAGCATAGCACCTGTACGACCACCTGCGACTCGGGCTCACGGGGCCCACAGAGAAGATGGCCCGGGACCACCCATGGGTACGGGGCTGTGAGTTCAGGCATTGTGGGTGTTCATCTTCTCCTTCCTTACACAGAATGAAGCTGCCAAATGCCACCTGTGAGACACAATGGAGGGTCACGTTCCCTCCTGAGGTCACCACAGGGCTGGGTAGAGCTGAGAGGGTGGGTTTGATGTAGGCTCCTAGGAGAGAAGGAGGCACCATGTTAAATGGGGCTCACACCTCCCACTTCATCCCCAGGGCTGGGCTGTGAGAGGGAGATGCCCCTGAGAACTGACTCCCTTCCTGAGGGCAGAGCCTGGGGCTGGGAGCCCTCAGTGTCAGCTCACCTGTCACCACCAGCTCCAGGGGGTCACTGGGCTCTGACCAGCCTGCAGTGTGGCTACCGTAGAAACAGCGATACCGCCCTGTGTGTTCCCAGGTGATGGATGGGATGGGGAACTGGCCCTTCTTCACAATCTCCTGTGGGATCCGTGTAATCCAGGGTGCTGTTTTCTTTTCTCTATACAGACGGTACTCCTGGGTCTCCAGGATCCCCTGACACCAGAGGGTCACGGGACTCCCCTGGGTGATCACAGAGCCTGGCTCAGCCCAGAGTGTGGGCTTGGGGAGGGTCCCTGGAAGGAAATCAGAGTTCAGATTCTAAGTCATTTCCCACCCAACATATCTCAGCTCTCAGCCCAGGACCCTCCAGATGCCCCCATCAGTCAGTCCAGAACTGCTATTCCCCATCCCCAGCTGCACGGGGGTGGCCCCTTGTCCCCAGTGAGGAGGAGGGACCTGGGAGAGCTGGGGACAGACTCACCTGCCTGCACGTGGGTCCGGGGGCCCAGACTCAGCCCTGGAAGAGAGTTCCCTGTGAGGAATTTGCCCCTGAAGCCTGGGCAGGTCCTCCCCTCCCTGGGATCTTTGTGAGCCCCTGGGGTCTCCTTAGGGACTAGAGGTCGGCTGTGGGGTGAGGTCCCTCCTAGGTTAGAAGCTCCCCTCCCTCTTCAAATCTCACTGAGACAGATCAGGACTGTGACGATGGGGGTCATAGCGTCTCCTCCCACTGCCCTGCTCTGCGGATGGATGAGCCCTCGGTGCTGGCAGGACAGAGACACACAGAGAGAAATAGCCTCCCCTCCTTCCCACCCAGTGTGGACACTCGGAGGCTGGGTCCTTCTCATGGGGTGTTGTCATCTGCAGCCACACAGGAAGCAGAACTACCCTACCAGGAGCCTGACTCTCATTCTTTTAGAGCTGAGGTGGGGGCAGGAACCAGGCCCTCTGCAGACATTTCAGACTGTAATGGGGTCTTTCCTGACCCCCAGCCACTGTCTGTCTGGTTTCTCCTCTTCTCACTGAGAGACGGGATGTAGCAGCAAATAGAACTGGTGCTTTCTGCGTCTGCCCTTCCAGATGAGGGTAACGGAGGCTTCCCTTTCCTTCTCACAGCCTCCCACATGGTCACCCTCCCTCCTTCAGCCATCCATCAGCTCAGCGTTGTGGGGTCCTTACCATGGCAGTCGTCCCTCCAGCCCTGGAGATGCTTCAGGGAAGACCAAGGTCCATGCTGCAGGCAGACTCAGATCAGCAGAGAAGCATCTCGCATCTGGCTGTGTAGCTCAGGTTGAGCTGCGTGTGGCAGTGAGCACAGAGGAGAAATGCAGGGAAATAGGGGAAGAAAAGTTGACTTCTTTCTTGACACTGGATTGTGGGTTTTCTTTCAACCAAATAGTCCCCTCTCAACTTCCCCTTTTTAAAATATTTTGCTACAGTGTCCACTCCCACCCGCTGGGAACAAACATCTGAGACTTTCCTGCCTCCTCGGTGCCCTTTGCTTACTTGGCCATCCCTCTGCACCTCAATCCCTGTTCAACGTTTTGAGAACAATGACTTATGTTTGAGCTTTGATTTGGGGAGTGGGGGAGGGAGTTGATATTTATTTGATGACTGGTTATCATCCGCTGCCTACATGACCTTGGTTTGTAATGTCCCATCACTGAGCCTCAGTTTCCTCCTTTGCAGATTGTTGTCATGAATCCCACTGGTCACAGTGGTTGTTGGGTCAGTGGTGCCTGGGACATTCGGAGGGGCTCATTTGTGCTTGATTTCCAGACCAGGGTAAGACCTGAACTGTTTGGGATGTGAAAGGATCTCGATGTTGGACCCCCCAGTCTGTGTAGATGATTGATGTGTCCACTCTGGATCTCACATCTGACCCTAATGGAGAAATGTACATGAGGCATTTCTGAAATACCCAGAGCATCAATGTCATGAGCAGAAAAAGAGGTGAGGAAGTTCCCAAGTGTAGGTGGATCCACAAGAAAGAACAGAGGCCAGAGGGTCCCAGGACCTTCAAGGGGTAATTAGAATGGAGTTTTCCACCACTGAATGGAGGTGGGAGAGGAACCTCGGGATCTGCAATGACAGTGAGGGCCTCAGGGCTCCAGACCAAGGTGGGAGGCTGCGTCCTCCAGCTACACCTGAGGCTGGAGTGGACCCCAAGCAGCCCAGAGGAATTCCATCAAAGGAGTGCACCAAACCGTCCAGTGATAGAGCTGCTGGGATTCCAAAGAAAGAAGCACTAAACACCAGGGTGTTCATAGAGCATTTGTTAGAGGGACTTCCATAGAGTGGGCCCTGCAGCATGTCCTGGAGGTAGACAAGGTGACACTGGGTGTTCTATCCAATGCTTTAACCTAAAATAACAAAACAAAACAAAAATCTAGAGAAAATTATCTCTAAGTACAGTTGTTCTTTGGTGTACAAGGGAACTGGCTCCAGTCCGTGGCCCACATGTCACAAAACCTGCCTGTACTCCAGCCCTGAAGCTGGCTCCACTGCACCATGTATAGGGAAAGTCTGCCATTCGTATACACAGGATTTGCATCCCACAAATGCCATAGTTATGATCCCCGTTTGGTTGAAGAGAGTGTGCATACAAGAGACCCCAGGAATTCAAGGCTGCATTGCTCCAGGGTTGCCTGGATTTTGCTTGTATTTGAGAATGAGAAGCAAAGATTACAATCTGGAGTGCATGGCATGGCAAGACACAGTGCATCCGGAGAGGGAAGTGTGATGTTGTGATACACACTGGTTTTCACCCGCGGTTCCTGGCTTATAACTCCATACCACTGGTTACAGTCTTTTGTTAGAGTGTTGGCTGTGTTAGGCCTTAGGGGAGGCCTCTGACCTCCTCCTGCCCTTCCTTCACCTGCCCAAGGCAAGACTCGAATGTTCCCTGCCTTTCTGATGGTGGCTCTTAAGACCCTCCCAGAAGATGGTCTCACCCTGTTCCTTGTGGGAGGAAATGCTGATGTCACGAAGCTCCTTAAAAGCCCAAGAGGACTGGGTTTCATGGGCTTCTGGATGGCTGAGCATGCGGAGGTTCCTGGAGCGTGGCGCCCAGGGAGGGCATAGATGCTCCGGTCCCTTCCCCCATGCCTCCTCCTATGAGTCTCTTCATCTGTGTCCTCTGCAGTGTGCTTTGTATTCAACCAGTAAACGTCAGTGTCTCCCTGAGTTCTGTGAGCTGCTACAGCAAATTAATCAAACCCAAAGAGGTGGTCATGGGATCCCCAACTTGAAGCCAGTCAGTCAGAAGTTCTGGAGGTCTGGACTTGGGAATGGTGTGTGGGGGCAATCTTGGAGAATGGGCCTTCAATCTGTGGGATCTGGGACTGTGTCTGGGTAGACAGCTCGGAGCCGACTTAGAGGACACCCAGCTGCTGTTCGCTATTGGGTCTGGGAAACAATCCCACACATCTGATCCTACAAGTCTCCTGTGTTGATGACTGTTGTGGTGTGAGAGTAGAGGAAAAACATCATAGAGAGAGCTCTCTGTACATAGAGAGGTAAAGGAAATTCTTATCAGCAACAAGGGAGAGGCTGACAGAGCTGCTTAGAAGCAGAGTTCCCTGGTTCCAGAGGTTCAAAGCCAGAGTTGCTGTCAGTCCATTGGAGGAGATGCCATTGCTGGGCAAGTATTCTCTCGAGAGCAGCCTATCTGCATTCCTGATGTCCTAAAGAATATCTAGTAATAAACCATGTCAAAGCAGGAGAGGGGTGAAAGACATGGAAGAGTTTCTTATGGGGTTTTTAAAAAAGTCCTTAGAAACAGTTCTTATCTGAGACCTGGCAACACGAGCCTCCTCTCCGTCAGGCCTTCCTGGCCCTGTGGGGTCTGAGTTTAACCAAAGTCATCTCATCCTTGCTCATGTGACTTTCCTACTGGGTATCTGCAGTGAAGGGATTGAGTTACAAAGTTTAACCTGAGCGTTTCAGGAGTTTGGTTCAGGGCAGGGTTTGTTTCTACATAATTAACAAAGGGTTAATTTTTCAGTGTTTTCTAGAAACAATCTAAGGTGCTTTATCAGTACCTGGGAATGCTCAAGACCTCAGCTTGAGTTCAAGCCTGCAGGTGAAAACAGGCATCTGTCCAGCCCACAGAGCAGTCATGGCACTTTGTCTTTCTCTCAGAACAAAGGAAAAAGTGGAGGAAACCGTGGGATCCTAGAGAGACTGTGGCTCCCTCTCTTCTGTATTTGTGGACAGAATCTGGGATTGCTTGGTTTGGTGACCCAGGCCACATTCAGCACTGAGCCACCTTCCCGGGTGTGCATGACACAGTCTCGCTTTATCACTGCTGGACCGGGCATCTTTGGCACTTGAATGTGAGGGTCTCATGGGCTCCACCATGCCAGGCATAACACAGAGCTGATTCTAAACTTGGGAGCATGGACACCGCAGGGCAGGAGCGGGTACAAAAATGCCCCTCATCAGTTTTCCTTCCTGAGTCATCCCTGGGAGAAACCCTGTATGGAAGATCAGGTGTGTGGGAGAAAAACCCACCCCAGAGGAATAAAAATCGAAGAGTCCATTAGAGAAAAAACAGGCAATTATAGAAATGAATTAGGAAGCTATTGTGATGTGAAAATAGTAAATTATATTAACACATTTAGAAATACTTTCATCAAGAACCAGACACTGCTGAAATGATAAACATTGTATTGGTGTAGAATATTTATTAAATTTTTCATTAGTCATCGGAGAAAAACTAGAAATGAAAAAAATAGAAAAGATAATTAATGCACACAAAGAATAGAGTGAGAAGAGGAAACAGATATATCTCTATGTGTCACACTTTCAGAATGAAGGAAATAAGGAGTATGTTAGTCAATAAATACTTGCAAAGGAAATAGTTGACATTTTTACAGAAATGAAAGATCATGAGTTTAATGTGCACAAATTCATAAATAACATTAATGTCTTAACTATGATAGAGCAAACGATATCTAGAATAGATACAAAGTAATTTTAAAACTACTGGAGAAAATGAAAATTATTCTCAAATGAATGACAAGCACATTGGGACTGAGTTTCCCAGGACTGAAAAGTGGTAGAAAAAATGATCGGGGGCTCAGGTTCAGGTTGGATGAATGGAAACAGCTGGCATGTGCCTGTCTCGTTAAGAGGAGTCAAAATGGTGAGTAAATACCGAAATTCTAAGTGGATCTTCTAGGACAGCATGATGGGGCTCACCAGAGAACCACAGGGACATGGAAAGCACAGAGGAGAACAGCTGATAGGCAGGAGAGCCTCCGAACAAGGAGACGGGGTGAGTGTATTAGTCTAGGTTCCCTAGAGGGAGATAACTAATTTTAAGCCTTTTGATTTATGATACTGGGATGACTTTTTCCTCATTTAGGTCTTTTGTTATTTCTTTGAGCAGTATTTTAAAATTGTCAATGTATACGTATTGCATCTCTTTGGTTAAATGTATTTCTCTTTTTTTGAGACAGAGTCTCACTCTGTTGCCCAGGCTGGAGTGCAATGGCAAGATCTCAGCTCACTGCAACCTCTGTTTCCTGGGTTGACGCGATTCTCCTGTCTCAGCCTCCTGAGTAGCTGGGATTACAGGCGTGTACCACCACACCCACCTAATTTTTGTATTTGGTTAAATGTATTTCTATGCATACTTTTCTTGTAGACACTGTCATAAATTGACTTGTTCCCCCTAATATACACGTTGAAATCCTGAGCCCCATTAGCTATAAATGTGAACATAGTTGGAAATAGTCTTTGCAAATGCATTTAAGTTATGATCAAGGGATCATAACGAATTAGGATGAGTCCTAATCTGATCTGAGTGATATCATAATCTGAAGAAGAGAAAAGACACACACAGAAGAATGGGTGTGAAGACAGAGGCAACCAGGTAGGTGTAAGCATTGAGAAGATGGAGGCAGAAACTGGTGGAATGCTGCCCCAAGCCAAGGAGTGCCTGGACCAGCAGAAAGTAGAACGAGTCATTTAAGAATTCTTCCATCAGCCGGGCACAGTGGCTTACACCTGTAATCCCAGCACTCTGGGAGGCTGAGGCAGGTGGATAACCTGAGGTCAGGAGTTCAAGACCAGCCTCACTAACATGGCGAGACCCCCGTCTCTACTAAAAATACAAAAAATAGCCGGGAATGGTGGTGCACACCTGTAGTCCAGTAACTCGGGAGGCAGAGGCAGGAGAATTGCTTGAACCTGGGAAGTGGAGGTTGCAGTGAGCCGAGATTGCACCATTGCACTCCAGCCTGGGCAACAAAGCAAAACTCCATCTCAAAAAAAATTCTTTCATCGAAACTGCATAGTTCTGTTAACATTTTTCTTATGTTGTACTTGGATTTTTTTTTTTTTTTGAGACGGAGTCTTGCTCTGTCGCCCAGGCTGGAGGGCAGTGTCGCAATCTCGGCCCATTGCAAGCTCCGCCTCCCAGGTTCACGCCATTCTCCTGCCTCAGCCTCCTGAGTAGCTGGGACTACAGGCGCCCACCACCACGCCCGGCCAATATTTTTTTGTGTATTTAGTAGAGACGGGGTTTCACCATGTTAGCCAGGATGGTCTAGATCTCCTGACCTCGTGATCTGCCTGCCTTGGCCTCCCAAAGTGCTGGGATTACAGGCGTGAGCCACCGCGCCCGGCATGTACTTTGATTTTTAGGTGAGCCGTGTTATCTCCCACATCAGATATTAATAGGTTTGTCTTTTGTGGATATGCTAGGATAACAGTGTCAGAATTTCATTTGACCTGTGCCATAACACTGAAGTAGAAGTGATCATTGCCTCTGAAATAGAAAGGACTGTAGGTATATGGGTGAGCTCTCAGTGGGATGTGCCACAGGTCCCTGGTGCTCATTAGTGAAGACAGTTCTGTCCCTTGCTTCCCAACCCTGTATTCAGTGAGAACCCATTGGCACCTTGATTTGGGCCATGAGAAAAATATTTATGTCACAGAAATTGGTAGATACCACTAATTACAGTATTTTAGAGATGTCTTTTTCTGAATCAGCATAGCTGTGGTGTCACTTGAAATGCCAGTGTGATGATTCCAAGTGGTGATATTTCAGGAGAAATTACACAGATAGCATCTGAGAAAGAGGGAAGGGCTCATAAGGTACAGAGAGGGTGTCAGGGCAGCAGGGTGGATTTATGTTTTCCTGGTTGGAATCTGATCTCCTGTCGTTGATTTAGTTGGTGGTTCAGGTTTGGATCTCTGAACTGAAGAGACGGGGACTCAGTAAGTGACATCAAGGAGTGTGACAATGAGGAATAAGGAAGACTGTGTCACATGCCGTGGACCAGAGCACACAGGTGTGTGGAGGTGTGGACCCAACGGTGCCATGTGGGATGGAGCCTCATGTCTGGGGATGGGAAAAAAAGGGGATCCAGTCAAGGGAAGTCAACATTCATAGACAAAAAAATGTACCACAGTTTAATGATCTTCTAGGAATCACCCCAGACAGTTTCCTTACACTCAAATATTGATTGCTGTCTCTAGAAATGACCAGCATACAGTCCAGATAATGTAGGTCCTAGATTGTCCTCCAGAGCCTCCTGGGATCATCAGATCTGTCCCTGAGGCTCCACCACGCTGAAGGATGCATTGTCCTCTCTGCTGTTCACCTCCCGGCTGCATCTTGTAGGCTTCTCTGGCTGTGCTGAGCCTCAAATAGCAGAATCCCGAGGACCACCAGGACCAAGCCAGCCACACCCATGCGGATGAGATTCTCCACTGTGTAATCCTGGGGGTGTTGGCCTAGGGATGCTGGACAAAGAGGTCACAGAGGTCAGGGCAGATCGGAATCACCCCGGGACTCCTGTATGTCCACCCAGGGCACCCACCTCCCCTTTACAGGACCTGACCCTCTGTGCCAGTCCCATAACTGAGAGCATCTCCTCACTCACTAGTCGTGGAGTCTGTCTTGTTTTGTGATGGGCTGAGGGTCTCAGCTGCTTCTGAGAATCAAAACAGTGGAGAAGAGCCCTGAGCCCAGCCTCACTCCTGGGCTCTGCATTCTTCTTTTCCCCTGTGTCTCTTGACATGAGTTTTATGGAGTTCCTCAATAAACCCTTCCTCTGCTGTAGCAGGGTTCCCTCCAGTCTCCTCATTGAATTATTTCAGACTTCCTGTGTTCTACAAATCCAAACTCAGCTCCTGAGTCATTTGGGAGAGTTTTCCTGCATCCCGGGAGCTCAGCATGGATATGGTAAGTGGTCCCCAATACAGAAATAACCAGGACCTTATGTGCTCTCTGTGCAGCCTGGGACCTTGTGTGCTCTCTGTGTCCTCTCTGAGCCCTAACTGGCTGCAAGGAGCAGGTGCAGGACCACAGAAGCCAATGCTCCCCAGAGATGAGTTTCACGGATCCGCCAGCTGAGGACCCAGGCTCCATGGAGGAGGGGTTGGACCTCAGGGGCTCTTGAATGTCAGGAACACAAAGGGGTGAAAGTCTGGGTCTGCCTCCCCTTCATGCCCTCAACCACTTCACCTGGGGTTTCATCTTCCGTTTAATCCTTAGGTAACTAATTCCTCATACAGGCAGTAACCCCTAGAATGCAATACACGTGCATGCACACCCACCCACACACACAAATATGCATATGTTAAATGCTGGTGCTATCCGAGGTTCATAAATGAATACTTCTGCTCCAGCAAGTGTGAGTCTAGATAAGAAGACCAATAACAAACCTGTAAAGACCTGTCATGTCAAATATGTGAAGCATATGGATGAATACATATAAAAATGTGTTTAGATATACCTCCACTCACATCATGTGTAATGTATAGAACCTGTGTATATATGTAAAACTTCAGAAATGTATTTATTATGTAGTTATATACACGTTAATATTTGAGAAATATTGGCATGTAATTTAGAAATAAAGAAATAAAATTTCCATGTATTATGATTTCTAAAATTGTACCAGAAATTAAAGGAGATCATTGAAGAGTAATTAGAAAGGAGCCATTCTCTAGTGGGTGAATAACAAATAAAAAGAACATAATGAAACCAGTCACTTTCTCATGGATACCTATCCTTCTTTAAAAAAAATATAGGTGTCGCTTCCAAGATGGTCGAATAGGAATGGCTCCGGTCTGCAGCTGGATTTCTGCATTTCCAACTGAGGTACCTGGTTTATCTCATTGGGACTGGTTGGACTGTGGCTGCAGCCCACAAAGGGCGAGCTGAAGCAGGATGGGGTGTCGCCTCACCTGGGAAGCACAAGGGGTCGGAGGATTTCCCTTTCCTAGCCAAGGGAAGCCGTGACAGACTGTATCCGGAGAAACAGTACCCTCCTGACCAACTACTGCACTATTCCCACAGTCTTAGCAACTGGCAGACCAGGAGATACCCTCCCGTGCCTGGCTCGGCAGGTCTCACACCCACGGAGCCTTGCTCACTGCTAGCGCAGCAGTCTGAGATCGACCTGCGATGCTGCAGCTGGATGGAGGGAAGGGCATCCACCATTGCTGAGGTTGGAGTAGCTCACAGTGTAAACAAAGATGCCTGGAAGCACGAACTGGGTGGAGCCCACCACAGCTCAGCAAGGCCTACTGCCTCTACAGATTCCACTTCTGGGGGCAGGGCATAGTAGAACAAAGGGCAGCAGGTAGCTTCTGCAGACTTAAACGTCCCTGTCTGATAGCCCTGAAGACAGCAGTGGTTCTCTCAGCACCGCATTAGAGCTCCAACAACGGACAGACTGCATCCTCAAGTGGGTCCCTGACCCCCGTGTAGCCTGACTGGGAAACACCTCCCAGTAGGGGCCAACAGACACCTCAAACAGGTGGGTGCCCCTCTGGGATGAAGCTTCGAAAGGAAGGGTCAGGCAGCAATATTTGCTGTTCTGCAGCCTCTGCTGGTGATACCCAGGCAAATAAGGTCTGGCTGGACTGGACCTCCAGCAAACACCAACAGACCTGCTGCTGAGGGGTCTGACTCTTAGAAGGAAAACTAACAAACAGAAAGGAATAGCATCAATGTCAACAAAAAGGACATCCACACCAAAACCCCATCCCTAGGTCACCAACATCAAAGACCAAAGGTAGATAAAACCACAAAGATGGGGAGAAACCAGAGCAGAAAAGCTGAAAATTCCAAAAACAGAGTGCCTCTTCTCTTCCAAAGGATCGCAGCTCCTCACCGGCAACAGAACAAGACTGGATGAAGAATGAGTTTGACAAGTTGATGGAAGTAGGTTTCAGAAGGTCGGTAATAACAAACTTCTTCAAGCTAAAGAAGCATGTTCTAACCCATTGCAAGGAAGCTAAAAACCTTGAAAAATGGTTAGATGAATGGCTAACTACAATAAACCGTGTAGAGAAGACCTTAAATGACCTGATGCAGCTGAAAACCACGGCACAAGAACTTCGTGATGCATGCACAAGCTTCAATAGCTGATTCGATCAAGTGGAAGAAAGGATATCAGTGACTGAAGATCAAATTAATGAAATAAAGCAAGAAGACAAGATTAGAGAAAAGAGAATGAAAAGAAATGAACAAAGCCTCCAAGAAATATGGGACTATGTGAAAAGACCAAATTTATGTTTGACTAGTGTACCGGAAAGTGACGAGGAGAATGGAACCAAGTTAGAAAACACTCTTCAGAATATTATCCAGGAGAACTTCCCTAACCTACAAAGGCAAGCCAACATTCAAATTCAGGAAATACAGAGAACACCACAAAGACACTCCTTGAGAAGAGCAACCCAAAGACACATAATTATCAGATTCACCAAGGTTGAAATGAAGGAAAAAATATTAAGGGCAGCCAGAGAGAAAGGTCTGGTTACCCAAAAAGAAAAGCCCATCAGACTAACAGCGGATCTCTTGGCAGAAACTCTACAAGCCAGAAGAGAGTGGAGGCCAATATTCAACATTCTTAAAGAAAATAATTTTCAACCCAGACTGTCATATCAAGCCAAACTAAGCTTCATCAGTGAAGGAGAAATAAAATCCTTTACAGCCAAGCAAATGCTGAGAGATTTTGTCACCACCAGGCCTGCCTTAAAAGAGCTCCTGAAGGAAGCACTAAACATGGAAAGGAACAATCAGTGCCAGCCACTGCAAAAACATGCCAAATGGTAAAGACCACTGACACTATGAAGAAACTGCATCAATTAATGGACAAAATAACCAGCTAACATCATAATGACATGATCAAACTCAAACATAACAGTATTAACCTTAAATGTAAATGGGTTAAATGCTCCAATTAAAAGACACAGACCAGCAAATTGGATAAAGAATCAAGACCCATCAGTGTGCTGTATTCAGGAGACCCATCTCATGTGCAGAGACACACATAGGCTCAAAATAAAGGTATGGAGGAAGATCTACCAAGCAAATGGAAAGAAAAAAAAAAAGCAGGAGTTGCAATCCTAGTCTCTGATAATACAGACTTTAAACCAACAAAGATCAAAAGAGACAAGGCCACTACATTATGGTAAAGGGATCAATTCAACAAGAAGAGTTAACTATCCTAAATATATATGCACCCAATACAGGAGCACCCAGATTCAAAAACCAAGTCCTTAGAGACCTACAAAAAGACTTAGACTCCCACACAATAATAATAGGAGACTTTAACACCCCTCTGTCAATATTAGATCAATGACACATAAGGTTAACAAGGATATCCAGGACTTGAACTCAGGTCTGAACCAAGCAGACCTAATAGACATCTACTGAACTCTACACCCCAAATCAACAGAATACACATTCTTCTCAGCATCACTTTGCACTTATTCCAAAATTGACCACATAATTGGTAGTAAACCACTCCTCAGCAAATGTAAAAGAACAGAAATCACAACAAACTGTCTCTCACACCACAGTGCAATCAAATTACAACTCAGGATTAATAAACTCACTCAAAACCACACAACTACATGGAAACTGACCAACCTGTTCCTGAATGACTACTGGGTAAATAATGAAATGAAGGCAGAAATAAAGATGTTCTTTGGAACCAATGAGAACAAAGACAAAACATAACAGAATCTCTGGGACACATTTAAAGCAGTGTGTAGAGGGAAATTTATAGCACTAAATGCCCAAAAGAGAAAGCAGGAAAGATCTAAAATCGACACCCTAACATCACAATTAAAAGAACTAGAGAAGCAAGAGCAAACAAATTCAAAAGCTAGCAGAAGGCAAGACATAACTAAGATCAGAGCAGAACTGAAGGAGATAGAGACACAAAAAACCCTTCAAAAAAATCAATGAATCCTGGAGCTGGTTTTTTGAAAAGATCAACAAAATTGATAGACCGCTAGGAAGACTAATAAACAAGAAAAGAGAGAAGAATCAAATAGATGCAATGAAAAATGATAAAGGGGATATCACCACCGATTCCACAGAAATACAAACTACCATCAGAGAATACTGTAAACACCTCTACACAAATAAACTAGAAAATCTAGAAGAAATGGATAAATTCCTGGACACATACACCCTCCCAAGACTAAACCAGAAAGAAGTTGAATCTATGAATAAACCAATAACAGGTTCTGAAATGAAGGCAATAATTAATAGCCTACCAACCAAAAAAAATCCAGGACCAGAAGGATTCGCAGCCGAATTCTACCAGAGGTACAAAGAGGAGCTGGTACCACTCTCTCTGAAACTACTCCAGTCAATGGAAAAAGAGGGAATCCTCCCTAACTCATTTTATGAGGCTAGCATCATCCTGATACCAAAGCCTCGTAGACACACAACAAAAAAGGATAATTTTAGGTCAATATCCCTGATGAACATTGATGCAAAACTCCTCAATAAAATACTGGCAAACCAAATCCAGCAGCACATCAAAAAGCTTACCCACCATGACCAAGTCAGCTTCATCCCTGGGATGCAAGGCTGGTTCAACATAGGCAAATCACTAAATGTAATCCATCACATAAACAGAACCAATGACAAAAACCACATGATTATCTTAATAGATGCAGAAAGGGCCTTTGACAAAATTCAACAGCCCTTCATGCTAAAAACTCTCAATAAACTCGGTACTGATGGAACATATCTCAAAATAATAACAGCTATTTATAGCAAACCCACAGCCAATATCATACTGAATGGGCAAAGAAGTATTCCCTTTGAAAACCGGCACAATGCGGGCTCTTTTTTGGTTCCATATGAACTTTAAAGTAGTTTTTTCCAATTCTGTGAAGAAAGTCATTGGTAGCTTGATGGGGATGGCATTGAATCTGTAAATTACCTTGGGCAGTATGGCCATTTTCACGATATTGATTCTTCTTACCCATGAGCATGGAATGTTCTTCCATTTGTTTGTGTCCTCTTTTATTTCCTTGAGCAGTGGTTTGTAGCACTACCTGACTTCAAACTATACTACAAGGCTACAGTAACCAAAACAGCATGGTACTGGTACCAAAACAGAGATATAGATCAATGGAACAGAACAGAGCCCTCAGAAATAATGCCGCATATCTACAACTATCTGATCTTTGACAAACCTGAGAAAAACAAGCAATGGGGAAAGGATTCCCTATTTAATAAATGGTGCTGGGAAAACTGGCTAGCCATATGTAGAAAGCTGAAACTGGATCCCTTCCTTACACCTTATACAAAAATCAATTCAAGATGGATTAAAGATTTAAACGTTAAACCTAAAACCATAAAAACCCTAGAAGAAAACCTAGGCATTACCATTCAGGACATAGGCGTGGGCAAGGACTTCATGTCCAAAACACCAAAAGCAATGGCAACAAAAGACAAAATTGACAAATGGGATCTAATTAAACTAAAGAGCTTCTGCACAGCAAAAGAAACTACCATCAGAGTGAACAGGCAACCTACAACATGGGAGAAAATTTTCGCAACCTACTCATCTGACAAAGGGCTAATATCCAGAATCTACAATGAACTCAAACAAATTTACAAGAAAAAAACAAACAACCCCATCAAAAAGTGGGCGAAGGACATGAACAGACACTTC
Source organism: Homo sapiens (assembly GCF_000001405.40). Classification (NCBI taxonomy): domain Eukaryota; kingdom Metazoa; phylum Chordata; class Mammalia; order Primates; family Hominidae; genus Homo; species Homo sapiens. Next base: position 563,587 of record NT_187693.1, on the reverse strand, counting down.
TCAAAAGAAGACATTTATGCAGCCAAAAAACACATGAAGAAATGCTCATCATCACTGGCCATCAGAGAAATGCAAATCAAAACCACTATGAGATATCATCTCACACCAGTTAGAATGGCAATCATTAAAAAGTCAGGAAACAACAGGTGCTGGAGAGGATGCGGAGAAATAGGAACACTTTTACACTGTTGGTGGGACTGTAAACTAGTTCAACCATTGTGGAAGTCAGTGTGGCGATTCCTCAGGGATCTAGAACTAGAAATACCATTTGACCCAGCCATCCCATTACTGGGTATATACCCAAATGAGTATAAATCATGCTGCTATAAAGACACATGCACACGTATGTTTATTGCGGCACTATTCACAATAGCAAAGACTTGGAACCAACCCAAATGTCCAACAATGATAGACTGGATTAAGAAAATGTGGCACATATACACCATGGAATACTATGCAGCCATAAAAAATGATGAGTTCATATCCTTTGTAGGGACATGGATGAAATTGGAAACCATCATTCTCAGTAAACTATCACAAGAACAAAAAACCAAACACCGCATATTCTCACTCATAGGTGGGAATTGAACAATGAGATCACATGGACACAGGAAGGGGAATATCACACTCTGGGGACTGTGGTGGGGTCGGGGGAGGGGGGAGGGATAGCATTGGGAGATATACCTAATGCTAGATGACACATTAGTGGGTGCAGCACACCAGCATGGCACATGTATACATATGTAACTAACCTGCACAATGTGCACATGTACCCTAAAACTTAGAGTATAATAAAAAAAAAAAAAAAAAAAAAGAAAACCGGCACAAGACAAGAATTTCCTCTCTCACCACTCCTATTCAACATAGTGTTGGAAGTTCTGGCTAGGGCAATCACGCAAGAGAAAGAAATAAAGTGTATTCAATTAGGAAAAGAGAAAGTCAAATTATCTCTGCTTGCAGATGACATGATTATATATTTAAAACCCCATTGACTCAGCCCAAAATCTCCTTAAGCTGATAAGCAACTTCAGCAAAGTCTCAGGATACAAAATCAATGTGCAAAAATTACAAGCATTCCTATAAACCAATAATAGACAAACAGAGAGCCAAGTCATGAGTGAACTCCCATTTGCAATTACTACAAAGAGAATAAAATACCTAGGAATCCAACTAACAAAGGATGTGAAGGACCTCTTCAAAGAGAACTACAAACCACTGCTCAATGAATTAAAAGAGAACACAGACAAATGGAAGAACATTCCATGCTCATGGATAGGAAGAATCAATATTGTGAAAATGGCCACACTGCCCAAAGGGATTTATAGATTCAATGCTATCCCCATCAAGCTACCACTGACTTTCTTCACATAATTGGAAAAAACTACTTTAAAGTTCATATGGAACCAAAAAAAAGCCCGCATTGCCAAGACAATCCTAAGCAAAAAGAACAAAGTTGGAGGCATCACGCTACCTGACTTCAAACTACCCTTCAAGGCTACAGTAACCAAAGCAGCATGGTACTGGTACCAAAACAGATGCATAGACCAATGGAACAGAACAGAGCCCTCAAAAATAAAACCACACATCTACAACCATCTGATCTTTGACAAACTTGACAAAAACAAGAAATGGGGAAAGAATTCCCTATTTAATAAATGGTGCTAGAAAAACTGGCTAGCCACATGTAGAAAGCTGAAACTGGATCCCTTCCTTACACCCTATACGATAATTAAGTCAAGATGGATTAAAGACTTAAATGTAAGACCTAACACCATAAAAACCCTAGAAGAAAACCTAGGCAATACCATTCAGGACATAGGCATGGGCAAGGACTTCATGACTAAAACACCACAAGCAATGGCACCAAAAGCCAAAATAGACAAATGGGATCTAATTAAAGAGCTTCTGCACAGCAAAAGAAACTATCATGAGAGTGAACAGGCAGCCTACAGAATGGGAGAAAATTTTTGCAATCTACCCATTTGGCAAAGTGCTAATATCCAGAATCTATAAAGAACTTAAACACATTTACAAAAAAAAAAAATCAAAAAGTGGGCAAAGGATATGAACAGACACTTCTCAAGAGAAGACATTTATGCAGGCAACAGACATATGCAAAAATGCTTATCATCACTGGTCATCAGAGAAATGCACATCAAAACAGCAGTGAGATACCATCTCATGCCAGTTAGAATGGCAATCATTAAAAAGTCAGGAAACTACAGATGCTGGAGAGGATGTGGAAAAATAGGAACGCTTTTACACTGTTGGTGGGAGTGTAAATTAGTTCAACCATTGTGGAAGACAGTGTGACGATTCCTCAAGAATCTACAACTAGAACTACCATTTGACCCAGCAATCCCATTACTGGGCATATACCCAAAGGGTTATAAACCATTCTACGACAAAGACACATGCACACATATGTTTACTGTGGCACTAATCACAATAGCAAAGACTTGGAACCAACCCAAATGTCCATCAGTGGACTGCATTAAGAAAATGTGGCACATATACACCATGGAATACTATGCAGCCGTTAAAAAGGATGAGTTCATGTCCTTTGCAGGGACATTGATGAACCTGGAAACCATCACTCAGCAAACTGTCACAAGAACAGAAAACCAAACACCGCATGTTCTCACTCATAATGGGAGTTGAACAATGAGAACACATGGACACAGGGCGGGGAACATCACACACCGGGGCCAGTCTAGGGGTGGGGGGCTGGGAGAAGGATAGCATTAGGAGAAATACTAATGTGAATGACGAGTTGATGGGTGCAGCAAACCAACATGGCACCTGTATACCTACGTAACAAACCTGCACATTGTGCACATGTACCCTGGAACTTAAACTATAATAATAAAATATATATATATATAAAAAGAAATCAAATACCTCACTTATCAATTGTTAAAGATGTTGAATAATTCTTTAAGTTAAAATGAGCATACAATATTCTTAGGAGTAAAATTTCAAAACATGTCTTAAATTCATTAAGAAAATCTTCATTTTTAATGTGTGAAGGAGGAAGAGTTGATATTAATGAGAAATTTGTTTCTACATTGAATGTATAAATTAAATCAAGACTCAATTAAAGGGGAGTATAAATAAGGATTTTTAAATAATATATGCATACAATTTTAAGTTCATATATTATAAATTCATATATTCAAATACTGTTTTAAAAGTTTTAGAAAAAAAGTAACAAAGGACAAGTGCATACAGAAAATGCAGAGTAGAAATGAGTTAAACAGAAAGACGTGCTGTGAATACTTGCCTGACTTGTCCAGGGAGCAGGTGCAGGGCCCCTCCTTATTCTCAGGGATGCCCTGAGCACAGAGGCCTCCAGGTGAGCACAGGAGGGGCAGTGTGAGCGGCACCCACAGCTGGGGTGCTTCTCTCTAAAGGAGCACATCTGGGGTGGACTCCAGCCTCATCACAGTCAGATCCCACCGAGGCCCAAGCAGCCTCCTCTCTTGTCTTGAGATGGCCCAGGGACCCCGCAGGTGTGGGTGAAGGGCTTATACTCAGGGGCTCTTGGAAATGAGAAATGAGAGCTGCCAATACACTGTCCATCTGTCCTCTCTCCAACTCACCTGCCTCTCTTCCTCCTCCATCAGCCCCAGCATCTTCCCAGTGTCCAAGTCAGGCCTGGACCCCAAATCCTCCCCACCCAGCCTGTTCTCCTTCCTCTACTCATCACACATCCTGCAGGACAAGGCCAGGGGCTGGGGGTCCTGCAGAGCTGTGCCAGCTATTGATTTTGGTAGAAAATTGGAGACATTTTCTCTTGTACACGAGAGAGGGGAGACTCTCAACCAGCGGGGTTTTGTAAACTTTTGTTTTTTCCAAAATATTGTGTCTTTGTCTTACTAAGCTGAGATTCCAGGAGGGATGGGTAAAACTGCATGCACCTGCCCCCATCTCCGTTGGTTTTTTAACTCTTAACAAGTCTCAGTTATTGGGAGAATTAGGAGAGGGCCAGAGAGGGCTGTAGACGGGAGCAGGTCTAGGATGAGCCACATCCCAGATGCCCCAGAAGGTCAGAAATGAAGGGGCTTTGGGGCAGTCACATCCAGGCAGCTCCCCCTTATTCAGATGAGGAGTCCAGGGTGCAAGGGGAATGGGCTCTTTCAGAAGTTCCACCTCCCAAGGAGAGGCTGAGCCATCACAGACCCAGCCCCACCTCCCCGGGCTCCTCCCACCTGACTCCTAGACCAAGTACCTGACTGTGATCTCCCCTGACCCTGGCTCCCCCATGAGAGGTGACGGCTCCTGGGAATCCTGCTCAGGGAGGGGGAAAGATCCCTCTGCTCCGCTCATCAATGCTGAACCTCAGACACCTCCCTCCCCTCTGAACACCACGGAGGGAACACCTGCCCCATCCCTGAAGCCCCAGGAAGCCACGCAGACCACACCCTTACTGTCCACCCTCCCCGCTGCTGCCCTGGAAATCAGACCCTGAATATTGGAGGTAGCATTGAGATGAGTCTAGAAACTTCTCTTGAGCTGGGAGTGGCTGGTTTTGTCACCCATGGGGTCAGGACATAGGGTTTGGGACCCCCAGAGGCTCTGATTCTGAGGTGGAGACATCAGGAGGGGAGCGGGTGGGGTCTCCGTCTTCCACCCTCAGTCTAATCACATCTCTGAGGTTCACCACCCGCCCCCCCGCCCCCGTCTCCTCCCAGCCCTTCATGCTCTTTACTGAGACTTCAGGGGTGGGAGCCAGGGGTGGGAGGTCCCTGCCTATTTCCACTCTCCCATGGGCTGGACCCTCCCCTGTGGACCCTCCCGCTTCACTCCCCTCATTCATTATTGTCCCAGAGCTCTGCTGGGGGCAGGGCCTGAGCTGAGCCTTTGAGCTCGGAGAGGACAAGATCAGGGCCCTCACCTGAGACCACGAGCTCCAGGGGGTCACTGGGGAGAGACAGCAGGTAGGGGTTGGAGCTGAGTGAGCTGTAGCATCTGTAGGTCCCCACGTGGGCTGAGGTCACAGGACCCATGCGGAATTCAGCCTGGTTCTGCTGAGCTTGGTGCTCTGATCTCAGATGCAGTGGGGGATGGCCTGCCCCCTCCTTGGTCAGAAGGAAAGTGTGGAACTGCCCCCGTGACTGACACAGCAGGGTCACGTTCTTTCCTGGGGCTACTGTGGGGACCGGCTGCACCGAGAGAGAGGGTCTGTCATAGAACTGTCCTAGAGAGAAGAAGGATGGGTGAGGGGCTGCCCCACCTTGTTCTGAGCTGAGACCTCCCCAGGCCTCTCCCTGGGACCCTTAGTCTCTCTGTCTCTGTTTTCTCTGAGTCTCCCCTCCCCGCCCATCCCCTGTCTCTCTCTGTCTCTCCCTCCCTTGGGACCCCCAACCCTCATTCCGGCCATCACCACCTGGGCTCCCCTGGCAGGGCCTGTGCAGAGCCTGGGTCCCTGACTGAACCCGCTGGGCTCCTCACCTGTGATCAGGATGTCCAGGGGGTCACTGGGGGCCGACCACTCGGAGGAGAGGTTGTGTGCACTGTAGCATCTGTACTGGCCCCCGTGGGAGGGGCTCACAGGGCCCAGGGTGAAGTTGGCCTGGGAGAGCCCAGCCTGGGGCTGCCAACCAGGGCGCTGGAGGAAGTCACGTTCTCCCTCCTTATACAGAACAAATCTGTCGTAGCCGACATCAGAGACACACTGGAGGGTCAGGCTCTCCCCGGGGGCCACCATAGGACCTGGCTGCACTGAGAGTGATGGCTTCTTAGAAACACCTGGGAAAAGGTGTTCATGGTTTCCAGGAGCCGACCCTCAGGCTTCCCCACAAACCCTCCCTCTCCCCCGCTGATCTTCCTGTGTCTCCGGCCCCAGGAGCCCTGAGCCCTCTCGCCCCAACATCATCCCACCTGGAGCTGCCCTGAGACGCGGCTGCTCCCCACCTGCCTGGAGACTCAGGGAGACTCAGGGAACTCCAAGCAATTCTGTGAATTTCTCACCTGGGACCAGGAGCTCCAGGAGATCACTGGGTAGAGACCACACATAGGGAGAGTTCGAGTCATAAGCATAGCACCTGTACGACCACCTGCGACTCGGGCTCACGGGGCCCACGGAGAAGATGGCCCAGGACCACCCACGGGCATGGGAATGGGAGTTCAGGCGTTGTGGGTGTTCATCTTCTCCTTCCTTACACAGAATGAAGCCGTCAAATGCCACCTGTGAGACACACTGGAGGGTCACGTTCCCTCCTAAGGTCACCACAGGGCTGGGCAGAGCTGAGAGGGTGGGTTTGCTGTAGGCTCCTAGGAGAGAAGGAGGCACTGTGTTAAATGGGGCTCCCACCTCCCACATCATCCCCAGGGTTGAGCTGTGAGAGCGGAGATGCCCCTGAGAGCCGACCCCCTTCCTGAGGGCAGAGCCTGGGGCTGGGACTCCTGAGTGTCCTCTCACCTGTCACCACCAGCTCCAGGGGGTCACTGTACTCTGATGAGTGATTGTGGCTGTAGTACTGACAGTGATACCGCCCTGCGTGTTCCCAGGTGATGGATGGGATGGGGAACTGGCCATTCTTCCCAGGCTCTTGTATCCGTCTAACCCAGGATGCTGATTTGTTTTCCCTATATAGATGGTACTCCTCAGCCTGAAGGCTCCCCTGACACCTGAGGGTCACAGGACTTCCCTGGATGATCACAGAGCCTGGCTCAGCCCAGAGGGTGGGCTTGGGGAGGTGCCCTGGAAGGAAATCAGAGGTCGGATTCTAAGTCATTTCCCACCCAACAGATCTCAGCTCTCAGCTGCAGGACCCTCCAGACACCCCCATCAGTCAGCCCAGAACTGCTATTCCCCATCCCCAGCTGCACGGGGGTGGCCCCTTGTCCCTAGTGAGGAGGAGGGACCTGGGACAGCTGGGAACAGACTCACCTGCCTGCACGTGGGTCCTGGGGCCCAGACTCAGCCCTGGAAGAGAGTTCCCTGTGAGGGATTTTTCCCCTGAAGCCTGGGCAGGTCCTCCCCTCCCTGGGATCTTTGTGAGCCCCTGGGGTCTCCTTAGGGACCAGAGTTTGGCTGTGGGGTGAGGTCCCTCCTAGGTTAGAAGCTCCCCTCCCTCTTCAAATCTCACCGAGACAGATCAGGACCGTGAGGATGGGGGTCATGGCGTCTCCTCCCACTGCCCTGCTCTGCGGATGGATGAGCCCTCAGTGCTGGCAGGACAGAGAGACGCACAGGGTGTGGACACTCGGAGGCTGGATCCTTCTTGTCATGGGGTTTTGTTATGTGCAACCACACAGGAAGTGCAACTGCCCTCTCAGGAGCCTGGCTGTCATACCTTTAGGGCTGAGGTGGGGGCAGGCACCAGGCCCTCTGCAGACATTTCAGACAGAAATGGGGTCTTTCCTGCCCCCCAGCCACTGTCTGTCTGGTTTATCCTCATCTCCTTGAGACCTGGGATGTAGCAGCAAATAGAACTGGTGCCCTCCTGCGTCTGCCCTTCCAGATGAGGGTGAGCAGAGGCTTCCTCTTCCTTCTCAGAGCTTCCCCATGGGGTCTCCCTCCCTCCTTCAGCCCGTCCATCAGCTCAGCGTTGCGGGGTCCTTACCATGGCGGTCGTCCCTCCAGCCCTGGAGATGCTTCAGGGAAAACCCAGGTCCATGCTGCAGTTAGACTCAGATCAGCAGAGACGCACCTGACACCTGGCTGTGTAGCTCAGGTTGAGCTGCGTGTGGCAGTGAGCACAGAGGAGTAATGCAGGGTCTACCATGGTGGCTCATGCCTGGAATCCCAGCACTTCAGGAGGCTGAGGTGGGTGAAGGCTAGAGGCCAGGAGCTTCAGATTACCCTGGGCCACATAGCAAGACCTTGTCTGTATAAAAAAAGCAAAAAATTAGCCAGGCATGGCAGCTCACATCTCTAGTCCCAGCTACTCAGGAGGCTGAGGTGGGAGGAATACTTCGGCCTGGGAGGCGGAGGCTGCAGGGAGCTATGATCACCCCTTAGCATTCCAGCCTCAGTGACAGAGTGAGACCCTGTCTCAAAAGGGGAAATGCAGGGATTAACTATAATAAAACATATTTGTTCTGTCTTGAGAGTGTGTGTTTCCTTCCTACCAAACCGTCCCTCTCCTGTACTTCCCCTTTTCTCTTTGTTGCAACATCACCCACCCCCACCCCGGGAATGAGGCTCTGAGTCGGTCCCGCCCCCTCAGTGTCCCTTGCGTCCTTGGCCTTCCCTCGGCACCTCCGTCCATGTTCAGAGTTTTCAGAAGAATTTGTTAGGTCTGTAATCTGATTCTGGGGAAGGTGAGCTGATTTGTATTTAATTCCTGATTATCATCCAGGGTTTATGTGACTTTGGACATGAATGTCACCTCTGAGCCTGCTGTCGTGAACCCCACTCATCACAGTGGCTGTGGGGGTCAGTGGTGCCCAGGACATGGGAGGCTCAGCCATGGTGAATTTCCAGACCAGTTCAGACAGGAGGGTGGGGACGGGAGAGGATCCTGGTGCTGGGCTCCACAGTCCAGGAGGATGATTGACGCCCCCACTCAAGAGCCCACATCGGCTCCAAATACCATGAAATTCTCCTTGTGATACATCTGAAATATGCAGATCATCACAGCCACGGGCACAGAAAGAGGAAGAACAGTTCCTCACATTGAGACGCATCCCCTTCCATGAGCAGAGTTCAATGCTGAGTGGCCACAGGTGTCTGGGACCACCCAGGGTCATTAGGGAGGAGGAGGCTCCCACCTCCGTGTGGGACAGAAGAGGAACCCCACGTCCTCCCAGGCAGGGAGGGGTCAGGGCTCTGGGTGACGCTGGAAGCTGTGGCTCCCCCTCCCCTGTGTGTGTGGACAGGCGCTGGGGGGTCTCTGCTCACTCACTGGAGGCCATGGTCAGTGCTCAGCCCCTCCCCTGTGTGTGAGAAACAGATTCAATCCACGGTGGTCTGACATGGGCGTCTGCTCTGCCCCACAGGTGAGTGTGAGACTGGCGTTGGTCCCATCCCTGCTGGGCACAATCTTGAGCTGACACTGAGTTTGGGGGAGTGGGGAGGAGCAGCGGCAACAATCCCCTTCATCAGGCTGATGCCTGGACAGCCGTGGGAGAAACCCTTTATGAAAGGTCAGGTGCGTGGGAGGAGCCGCCCCACAGGAATGACAACCAAGATACATGAGGAAAACACAGACAGTTGTTGAAATGCATTAGACAGACATTGTGAAGGTGAATTAATTTTTATATTAATTTATATATTATATAAAAGAGTCCCAAGCCCTTCTCAGCCTTTTCCCCTGCTATCATTGCTACCGAAACTTTGGGGCTTCTGTCTCCACCCTCAGGTGCCCCCCTCTTCCTGTCACAGAAGTTTTCTTCCTGGACATCAGCAGCTGGGCTGGACCCGGGGAAGGACATGGGAGTGTGAGGGCCAGTGAGGAGGTTGTGGGGGTAGGTGGGCGTCTGGGGTCTTCGGGCAGAATTACCTCCTCCACAGGCCTCTGTCGTTCTCTGACTCCACAGTCCCCACAGGACTTTGGAAATCAGCCTCCCTCTGGGCTGGGTGAAGAGGGACAGAGCTTCAGCCTTGGGATCATGAGAGCCACCTGCCCTGCACAGAGAACTCAAGAGAAAAGAAGGAAAGCTGAAAACACACTTGCATAGATGTTTTAAAAACGTCGTTAGATGAAACAACCAAAAGAATAAGGTATGTTCATGTATGTTCACATTTATTCTCTTCTTTCTAGGTTTTCTCACTGGGAAATGCTGGAGCCGTTTTTCTGAGCTGAACTTTCCCATCTGGAATCTGTCTGGTTGGTGGTGCCCTGACCCCACCTTCAGTCAGCCCATGGGTCTCCCCGCCAACTTCCTACTCACCCAATGTCCTGTGTTGGCCCTGAGGCCAGTGTCAGAGGAGAAAGAAGAGGAGGAAGAGCACCAGCTGAAGGCCACTGAGACCCCGATCACAACCCCCAGGTGCTTTCCCAGACCCTGAGGTAGGACTGTGAAGGTGTACTGATGCCCTTGCCAAATGAAAGGAAACTGTTCCTGATGGTTCTTATTAACAGTGATGGAGAAAAAAATATTTAACACATCAATGGCTGAATACTGGGTATCAGGGGATGTATTAATTTGCTCAAACTACAAAACCACATCTGTTACAACATCTTCAATTGGATCTGATTAAGCTTACAATAATCTAATATCATTATCCAAGATCCCTGCGTCTTCTGTGGAGGTAAAATAGGAGAGGTGAATGGCAAGGTTGTGGGAATCACTGTCTCTGCACGCTTCAAGTCCCAATATATGGAATTCCTCCAGGAATGCAAGACTGCTTTTGGTTTACAGTTTAGCTGGGAAGAGGCAGTTCTAGTGGCTCCCACTGGGCCCACTCTAATAACCCTCACTCAACAAGTGAGGGAACCACTGTGGGGGTTGTGATAGTTGTTGAATATGTCTATTCCAATGTTGCCCTCTGGAACTGGGGATACAGCCACAGGGTGGGTTTAGGGATACACTGGATTCACTATGGAACACGTGAGCTCAAACTCCACCAATCACCTTGCCTCTAGCAGCCACTACTCTGACTGGAGGGCCACAGTGACGTTTCGGGTCTCCTGGAATTAATGTCAGTTCATACCCCATTTCCAGTAATGCCCAAATTATCTGATTATTTTCCCCAAGGCTCCATTGCCATTGTAAAAGGCTGCAGGTCCCTTTAACCAAAGTCCAGGAGAAAGATTAAGAGTATATATTCTTGGTAGTGTACCAGGGACAGTGCCCTCACGGGAACCCTGCCTGGGATCCCTTTAATTCAGGGGATTCTGGCTCTATGAACTGACTCAGTGCTAGCCATTGATTGAGAGACTGTGGCTCTCTGCTTTTATGATTTGGGTTGACTTTTGTTCACTTGACATAGAAATTTTCTGCTTATACAGATCAAGTGAGAATTTAGTAGGTTTCCTATCTATCTCCCTTGTTAGAATGCCGTGATCAACTAGCCAACACCATAAGTCTGCGGGACTATTCCGATCGCTGGTTTGACTTTGCTGTCCATCATGGTAACCAAACCCACCTTGCCTTTGGTGGCTGAGTTCCTCTACTTGGCCCCTGTCTCTCTGGGGGCCAAGAGGTAGGGGCCAAATTACTCCCATTACATTTAGATTTTTTAAAATTCAGCAGTTCCACTGTAGGTTCCAGCTTCCAGAGAAGAGAAATCACAGAGCTCCTCAAGGATGCCAGAGCTCCCTTTGCAATATTGTTGAAAGATACATCTTCTGATGCTTCCAATGTGGGTTACTAGGTTTGATACATGCATGGTAACATTACAGTCTTCCTAAGCCTTTAAGTTAATTCCTCTGCAGCAAACCAAGGCATGTCTGGCATTTTGAGTTTATTTACTGCAGGCCAGCTTTTGCTCCATGTTTCAGCCAATCAACCAGACAAACTGGTAGAATCATTTCCGGTTCTCCAAGATGCAACATTAAATGTGCAATCTCTGTTTAGTGAGCTTATATATATAAATTCGGTCCGACTCAACTTTATGTTCTTTTCACCATTATCCTAAACCCTTAATATCCACTCTGACACGTGTTCCTCAGACTTCTGTATGGATAAATTAGAAAAATAAATAAATTACTTTGGAGTGTAGCACAACTTCTCATGAGCCACACTTTGTAACACACTTTTCAGGGCCTGCGAGACTTGAATCTAGTTATAGGTCTAGAAGCAAAGAGGGTTGGTCAGGATGTATCCTAAGGAGAATCAGCATAGCCTTGCATGGCAACTGCCTCAGGGGAGGCCAGTATTGTTTCCTCAGACAGTACAGGGTTAATCTCCTCCCTTGCAGATAGAGAGGATGCTTCTATTGGCAAAGAAGACTCATTCAAAGTTAGGGGCTTGATATCCTCAGCTGTATCAGGGTCTTAATATACATCCTCATTCCATCTTTCAAGATCTCACCCATTCCTGACCAATGGCATTACTTGAACAGTAGATACCCTGTGAGGCTGGGGACTCCGCTTGAATTGTAATACAGCCACTTCAAGGATGAGATTCTCGGTTTGATTTTCAGCAATCTCACCCCTACAGCTACAGATGATAAGAGTCTCTTTCAGGGCACACATAGAAACCTCAGATATTTATGTAGTGGTGCTTGAACTGGAAATTCTAATCTCTGGGCTCATCTTTTTCTTTACCTCTTTATCCAATGACAAAACAGCCACACATACTATACTTAATAGTTTGACAACAATCTTCAAAGGTGTATGCAAGGCCACCCAGATTCTCGTTCCTTATAAGTGTAGGATTAGGAGCATCTAGTGGTGTACCCCTAATGCCACATCATGCCACGGACTATCACAGACTTCCTTCCTTCCTTCTTCCTTCCTTCCTTTCTTCCTTTCTCTTTCTTTCTCTTTCTGTTTCTGTCATACTGTCTTAATGTCTTTAAATCTAATCAGACAGCCAGTTCCATAAACCTCAGAAACAGTAGACAAAACATATTAAGATTCAGTTCATCTAGAATCATTCCTATGATCAAATTATGTATTTGTAAGTGTTCTCCAGAGAAACAGAACCGATATATGTACATATGTGCATATCTATATCTACTTATCTTGCTATCTAGGAATGGGTTCATGTAATTGTTGGCACTTGGTGAGTCCAAAATCTGCAGGACAAACAGCCTGAAGACTTGGGGAAGAGTTTCAGCTCCAGTCAGCCAAACAACCTGCTTGCAAAATTTTTTACTATTCTGTGGAGCACATTACTTCTTTTCCTTCTCACAATGCACTTATTATCTTTTAACACAATGCATACTCTATCTATTATTTATTGTGTGTAATGTCCACTTTTCTTGACTACAATATTGACTTAATACAGGCAGGCTCTTTGGAAGTTTTCATGTCCTTTATTCTGAGACATCTCATACACCATGTTTGACACAGATCAGATACTTCACATGTGCCTATGGAAACAGGGAATAAAAGTTTCTCCACTCCTGCCAAGTTCATTTCTATCACAGAGACAATTTGTTCCAACTTGATTCTTTTCTTCTCCCTTCCAGGCAGCCTTTTGTACAAAGTTCTCAGAATAGAAAAAGAATAACATTCAGGAGGCAAGACCCCAAGGTTGGGAAGAAACACATCCAGACTCATTGCCTCCTCCTTCATCTCAGTTCTTAGACATCAGGGTCCTCATCTGATATCTTATTTCCATGTGGTTTCTCCAAGAATTTCAGAGATGTTTCTTTCTTTCTTTCTTTCTTTCTTTCTTTCTTTCTTTCTTTCTTTCTTTCTTTCTTTCTTTCTTTCTTTCTTTCTTTTTCTTTTTCTTTCTTTCTCTTTCTTTCTTTTTCTTCCTTCCTTCCTTCCTTTCTCTTTCTCTCTCTCTCTCTGTTTCTGTCATACTGTCTTTATCTTTTTTCTGTCTCTCTTTCTCTCTATCTCTTTCTATCTCTGTTTCTGTCTCTTGCTCTCTTTTTCTCAGTTGAATGGATCTAATCACTACTATTAGCTCTCAGTCATTTGAACATTTCAAAAATGTTTTTCTGAGAGCATCTCAAATCCCCATGCAAATACTGTCAGTGTACTCACAGATGATATAATAATTACCTGTCAGCAAGAAGATGACCTCATGGTGTCCCAAACCTTTATATCAGGGATAAGATGTCCCCTTTTGCACAGGTGCCCAGACTGTGACCATGAAGGCTACTTCTTCAGCAAGAAATGGCATTTGGTAAGAGGAATTTTCTTTGATACAGAGCCATATTCTCAGGGAATTAGAGTGTTTATCATAAAAAACTTGGTGTGTACACAAAATTATTGTTTAGTCCTAGCATCAGCATGGACCATTAAAAAAAAACCCTTAAAGTAATAATATTTTCTGAGGGTTCCTGAGACATAGAATTGCCCCAGCCTTCCCGCTCAAGAGTTGCCTGGCATCTCTTATTTTCCTCTTCTGTCATAGCCCCATCCGAAACACTGTCTCTGAATGAACACGCCAAGCCTCACAGTCTTCACTCTGCTGCTTGTATGAGGGTTAAGAGTGTGTCAGCTCTTGCCACCTGCTTACACACTTCCTGTCTAATGACACCTGCAACTTAGGAGATTTAAAATTACCTGTGGTGGTTGCGTGTTGTGCTTTGGTTGGCAATGGCATATGTCTCCGGAAACTTTCTGTCATAAGTGCAAAGCCATACACCTCCATCTCTTTCCCATGGGTTCTGGGGATTACCATGCACTTAACTGCAACAATAATTTCATGTCCGTAGAAAATCCTGGAACCAGTGTAAAGAAGGTAAACTCTATCTCTCACTTCACCAAATAGAATCTCACCTTTTAAAGTGAGTGACTGTTTTCAAGGCTTAGGGAGCAGGGATAATCAGGGACTATAAATGTGTTCAGGTATAAATGCATCTCTGACTCTTAGCCAGCTTTAAAAGTGCTGTGCTACACCCCAAACCTTTGCACCTGGTCCAGATCCGTTGGAATTTAAAGATCAAGCGTTCTAAAGCTGTCACTCCACTCAGTCTTAAAACAGTGAGCACTTAGTCTGTTCTGACAGCTAAGATCCCAGCCAGAAGAGCCGTGGGGTGGGGATTTTCCTGCCAGGATCTCAGGAAGTAAGATGTGCCTCATTTAGCCTACTATTGTGCCTCTCTGCAAATCACTTTGATAAGAGATGAAACAGAGGTTTTCATTTCCCCACGAATGACTGCCATTCTTAAAGAGCAGATGAGACCCATAGTCCCAGCTGGTCTAGGACTCACAGATATTTTCTTGTGTCCATGATTTTCCATCATTTTGTTGTTCTCACTGCTGCTCAACTAAGTTTAGTGGAATTTAAATTTAGTTGTATGTTTCCTTTATGATTCGTGCATAGCTCCTTTCTTTCTCTTGTTTGGATTTGCTGACCAATGTCTACTATAAATTTGCTAAATTTCTCATACTTGTCACAAGACATTTTCTTTCCAAGAAAATTTTGAATAAGTTTGTGTGTATATGCTACATAAAATGCATGGTTTTATTTCTCACTCTCCTACTTTTCTCCCTGTCCACTGGGACCAAACTGTTATCATTATTATATAGCCTTCCAGAAACGGTTTTGATTTTCTAAAGCATCTATTTCTCTAAACTAATCTACACTTTACCAAGATTCTAGTATTTTCCAAATTTTAATGACAGTTAAATCCCATTGTAGCTTAACAACGTTTTAATTATTAAACCAGTTAAAAAATTATTATAAAAATGCTGTTCTTGTTTTGGTAAGTCCTAATGTTTTTGCAATGCATCTACATTTTTAGGTATTATAAAATAGTATGTCAAGTTAAATATGGCTAAAATACTCTATCTTCTACTTCATAGTATCATATAAGGTTTCACTCGCATCTCACATTCATTCATTTCAAACTGAGAAACCATTACTCTTCATTTAATTTTCACCCAGATATAAAAATCCATAGCTGCAAGAAGAATAGTAATTATGGGCCAGGCACGGTAGCTCATGCTTGTAATCCCAGCACTTTGGGAGGCCAAGGCGGGTTAATCATCTGAGGTCAGGAATTCAAGACCAGCCTGGCCAACATGGTAAAACCCCTTCTCTACAAAAATGCAAAAATTAGCCAAGCATGATGGTGGGTACCTGTAATCCCAGCTACTCATGAGGCTGAGGCAGGAGATTCGCTTAAACCCAGGAGGCAGAGGTTGCAGTGAGCCAAGATTGTGCCACTGCACTCCAGCCTGGGTGACAGAGCAAGACGCCATCAAAAAAAAAAAAAAAAGAAGAATAGTAATTATGTACAGTGACGCTATGACCATAAATTAAACATGTAACAAAAAAATGGATTTCAAATTTAAAGAAATCTTTTTTAAATTTTATTTTGCATTTGGTTGATAATCTCCGAGAAAAACATATATTTGTGAGGCTTTTTTTCTTACCCACAGAAATCCTTGTTTACATAATTTCCCTACTTAGATAACAAATGATATTTTATTTTACTGTTTAGAATGAGCACTTAAAATATTAATGACAGCCTCCTTTTTTCAATTTTGATATATAAAATATTTCTAATATTCTGAGTTCCATATTATATGTCGTTAGTCTTAAATAAGTTTTACTATTTGAAATATTGTAATATTTTTAATTGTTCTATGGCTCATGTTTTAAAATTGCTTACTAAGTATTTGCCTCAACTCATGTTTTAAAATATATATACCTGTTTCTATATGCTTAATCTACTAGATATTAATTTATATGGTTATATGCCTTTACATAAATATTTTTATTTGCCTAAATGGCATCCAGTAGAAACTGGTTTTAGTTTTTAAACTAAATGTCAAAATATTTAAATCCATGTATTTAACAAATATTCTTCCAACTCATTTTGGAATTAACTTTTACTCAAATACTAAGTTCTTAATTTTTTTATACCTATAATTCTCCTGGTCTCTAATCTTTGGAATTCAAAGATCAAACAAAATTTCTATCTCTGATCTGCATCTATTTCTTTACATATCTACCTATCAAATACTTCACATTATTTTGTAGACTGTTTTTTTCTTTGGTTTACTATAACCAATTTTTATCTGTAATTTTAAAATATTAGATAAAACTATTTTTAATATTATAATTAATTTTCTTTCTGTGTCTTTTTTTTTTTTTGACCAGTACAGGACATTTGGGAATGTTAGTATTTGGTTGTAAAATACATTGTTGATGCACACATATTTTGTTGGTCAAATTATTTAAGATATTGACTCACTTCACGCAGTATAGTGGTTTATTGCATTTTGTCAGGTCTTAAGCACCCTTTCTTTTTTTTTTAATAGTATTTCTTCCAGGGGCCGGGCGCGGTGGCTCACGCCTGTAATCCCAGCACTTTAGGAGGCCGAGGCGGGCGGATCACGAGGTCAGGAGATCGAGACCATCCTAGCTAACAGGGTGAAACCCCGTCTCTACTAAAAATACAAAAAAATTAGCCGGGCTTGGTGGCGAGCGCCTGTAGTCCCAGCTACTCGGGAGGCTGAGGCAGGAGAATGGCGTGAACCCGGGAGGCGGAGCTCGCAGTGAGCCGAGATCGCGCCACCGCACTCCAGCCTGGGCGACAGAGCGAGACTCCGTCTCAAAAAAAGTATTTCTTCCACATTTACTCAATTGAGTGGTTGATTTGTACAATTACATACATTTTCTTAAGCCATTTTTTCATCAAAATTGCAAATACAATACTGCCTCTACAAAGAAGAATTTACAAATTATTTTTTACCCAGTGTTGTATGTATTTGCACAACTCATAAATATTAATAAATATCTGTTGTATTCTATGTAGCAGTTTATTAAGCAACTATGAAACAGAATTGTGTCCAAATGTTACAAAGGTAATATTTTGATTGCCAAAATATACATTCATGTTTAAACATTTTTTTTCAATTCTTAGTTGGATTTACTAGAGATATATTATATTTTAGAAATGGGTGAGGCACTGTGGCTCATGCCTGTAATCCCATCACTTTGGGAGGCCATGGTGGGCGGATCACCTGAGGTCAGGAGTTCAAGACCAGCCTGACCGACATGGTGAAACTCCGTCTCTACTAAAAATTCAAAATTAGCCGGGCATGGTGACACATGTCTGTAAGCCCAGCTACTCAGAAAGCTGAGGCAAGAGAATCACTTGAACCCAGAAGGTGGAAGTTGCAGTGAGCCGACATTGCACCATTGCACTCCAGCCAGGGCAACAAGAGAGAAACTCCATCTCAACAACAACAACAAATTAAAAATTAAAATATGGTGAATTTCAGGGTTGCGATCTTGTTTCTGAACAATTTCCATGTGCTGCTAATTATATAACTGTAATAGTAAAAAGGGGTGCTTTTTAATATTGAAAAATAGTAAAAATAGTAGAAGAGATAGTGACCCTTAATATATCACAGGTTTGTCCATCACTGAGCTCAGGAGGCAGTGCTCGTAGGTCTCACCTAAATAACAGACTCATTTTGTTTTTCCACTTTGAGTATTTTTAAGGCACATATTAAAGATGTATACCTTGACGACTTTATATATATAGTGAAATAATCACCACAATCCATCACCTCACTTGTGTGTGTGGTAAAACTACTTAGAATCTACTATTTTAGCAAATTTCAAGCGTATAGTACAGTACTCTTACCAATAGTTTTCATTCTATACATTAGATATCGATAATTTATTCATCTTGGAGAATTAAAACGTTGTACCCCTTGGCCAGGCACAGTGGCTCACGCCTGTGATCCCAGCAGTTTGGGAGGCTGAGGCGGAGGGATCACCTGAGGCAAGGAGTTCAAGACCAGCCTGGGCAACACAGCGAGACCCCCATCTCTACCAAGGATACAGAAGGTTAGCCAGGCGTGGTGGTGCACGCCTGTAGTCCCAGCTACCCAAGAGGCTGAGGTGGAAGGATTGACTGAGCTTGGGAGGTTGAGGCTGCAGTGAGCTGTGATCACACCACTGGGCTCCAGTCTAGGAGACAGAGCAAGACCTTGCCTCAAATAATTAAGTAAATTTGTTAATGCTTAAAAAAATGCTGAATAATATTTTATGATAGGTATATATCACATTTTCTCTATCCATTCATCCATCGATGAACATTTATGTTGTTTTCGTATCTTGGCTACTGTGAATAATGGTGCAATAAATATAGGCGTGCAACACCTCCTCAGTATTTTGATTTCAATTGCTCTGGCGAAGTATCCAGCAGAGAAATGCTGTGTCGTGTAGTTCCATTTTAATTTTTTGAGGAATCTCTATGCGTTTTTCAAAATGGCTGCACCAATCTGCATTTTTATTAATGGTATTCCAGGGTTCCTTTTTCTTCACGCCCTTCGAAGCACTTACCTTCGTTTGCCTTTGTTATCATCCTAACCAGAGAGGTGATGCCTCACTGTGATTTTAATGCGTTTTCCTCATGATTAGGTATGTGGAGCCTTTTTCTAAACCTGCCGTCCATTCCTGTGTCTTTGGAAAGATGTCTATTCGGCTCCCATGAGTCTGTGGGTCAGATCTGCAGCCATTTTGTTAGATCTGCGTGATGGCTGCTGTGAGCGCTCACAGCTTCCGGTGCTCCCGCCTCCTCCAAGACTATTCCGCCATTCCAGTCCCCTCGACGATCTGGTGCTGAGAGGCTGACGTGGGCAGTTTCCCCTGAGGCTGAGGAACCTGGGTGTTCCCTCTGCTTTCACTTTCCTCTGTGGGAGAGCTCGCAGCCCGCGGAGTCTCTCCTGGCACTGAACTGTGCCTCCCTGGGGAAGAAGAGATGCAGAAAGAAGAGAAAAGCTGTTCTTTCTCTTTTCTTCAAAAATCTTTTTTTTAATTTTCAAATATATTGCTTTATGCCATTTCAAAAACAAACCTGCACGTTGTGCACAAGTACCCTAAAACTTAAAGTATAATAATAATAAAATAAAAAAAGAAAAAATAAAAAAATAAAAATAAATGCAAGACACTGGGAATATATTGCAGATCAACATAACTCTCCCTGTCTCCAATGAGTCTAGACGTTTTGAGTAATAAAAAAGTGAAACAGGGCTAGTGAATAAAGCTTGATTATAGCATTCTGCTATACTATTACCTAATTTTGTAACTATTTCTTGTATCTTATTCTGCAATTTTTTGCTCGTTGTGGTGCTGGCAACTCTCACTGCACTTCTAGGTTGTCACAGAAATATTTCTGGTCCTGGATGGCGGTCACAGCTGATGTTTCTGTGGGGCTATGAGGAACAGAATCACGTAATCCACCGTCTTGGAATTCCACTCCTCCTGCCTTGGTTTTAGCGGTAATTTTTTAAACAAAAATTAAAGATTTTGAAAATATGAATCTGAGGGCAAGATAACACAAAAGTTTTTTTAAAAAATTAGATCTGACACAGTAAGTGACTCATTTGTTTGCGTCTTGCATTCTCCAGCTTGCATTCCTGCCCCCATGGCTTTGTCATCAACAGGATCCATCCAGTACTACATTCACCACGAACCTGAAGTCTAAGGGTTTGGGAGGCCATTGATGTTTATTGCTTGTACACTCAGTGTACAGATTTTGCAACTCTGTCCATCTTCCAGTTTGGAAACTATGTCCTGTTTCACTTTGGAAGTATACACATATTTTCATGAATATACGTGCAGTGCAAAAATATTTTCGGCCGGGCGCGGTGGCTCACGCCTGTAACCCCAGCACTTTGGGAGGCCGAGGCGGGCGGATCAAGAGGTCAGGAGATCGAGACCATCCTGGCTAACACGGTGAAACCCTGTCTCTACTAAAAATACAAAAAATTAGCCGGGCGTGGTGGCAGGCGCCTGTAGTTCCAGCTTCTCGGGAGGCTGAGGCAGGAGAATGGCGGGAACCCGGGAGGCAGAGGTTGCAGTGAGCCGAGATGGCGCCATTGCACTCCAGTCTGGGGGACAGAGTGAGACTCCGTCCCAAAAAAAAAAAAAAAAAAAAAAATTCACATATAATTCATAAACCCAAAGACAAAACCTAGGTAAAAAATAAACTAATCTTATACCAAGTTAAGGTTTCACTAAACAAAGATGAATTATTCCCACAGAATAATCTGTAGATTATTCAGATTATGCAGATTATTCAGACTAAAAATGGTCTGAAATTTTCTGCAGAAATCTTCTACAGAGAAAAGAATGTTTCCTGTGGAATACTTCAGATAGAAAAGGGAGATACTGGTTCTTGCGTCCATTTCCACTTTTGGAATGTGGTAATTTGGTGCTGTAAATGAGGTATTTTGTTTGTTTGGCTTATTTTCTTTTGTTTTAGCACTAGTAAACATATATGGTTTATATATATTCATTTATTTCAATCCATTGAAATATTATTTGATGCTATAAATATTCCATTCTTTGTCAGTGGGATCCTTCATGATTGCCTTTCTGTTTAAGTCAAATGAATTTGAAGGTAATTGTGACTCCTTTGTTCTCTTGTATAATAAGGGGTTCTGAGTTCATTTCATGCATTCTGTCTTAATGTGGACTCACCTATTTCCTCAAACAGAAATAAAAAACATTTCACTATCTAAGTATATTTTAAGATTAAATATTTTCGATGATATATGTATTTACTATACATCGTCAAAATTATTTATTATAATAATCATATATATTATTTGATTATTTAAAAATTTTAAAAAATTATAATATAAAATGAGGTATATGCAATCGTCAAAATTCTTTATTACAGTAATAATTATAAATCAATATATTATATATCATATTTGATTATTTTAAAACATTAAAAATCTATAATATAAAATGATGTATAATATGTATTACTTATAAAACATAGTTAAATAATTTTGCTTAAAATTCAGTGGAAATAATTCACCTTTGTTTAGTAAAATCTTAATTTGGTGTTAAGATTAGTTTCATTACTCTTTTTACTTAGGTTTTGTCTTTAGGTTCATAAATCGTATGTGAAAATATTTTGGCACTACACCTATTCAAGAAAATATATGTCTATTTCCAAACTGAAACAACAAACAAAGCACAATGAGGTTAGTCTAGCTTCATCCCATCTCCTCTGCTGTTTTCTCCCTCCGTCACAAGTACCTAGGGTTTTGTTGTGGTTTTTGTTGTCGTTTTGATTTTGTTTTTATTTTTGTTGAAACGGAGTCTCGCTCTGTCACCCAGGCTGGAGTGCAATGGCACGATCTCAGCTCAATGCAACCTCCGCCTCCTGGGTTTAAGCCATTCTTCTGCCTCAGCCTCCCAAGTAGCTGAGTGTACCCAGTTTTAAAGGTTTTCATGTATTCTTTCATTTTTAAAATGTAAAATACAAACACACACACAGAAAAGCATAGCAATATACTAGTTCTCTCTGGCTCTTTCTCAAAGAAAGCTAATGACTAATAATGTCCTGAGTGTTGTCTTTTTCTTTTCTAACTCCCCACATAGCTATGTGTCCTGGAGGGTCATCCGTCAGGAGAACTTCCCCATGACATCCACAGCTGCCCAGTGCCCTATTGAGGGGACGCCTTGGGATTGATTCCGTTTCTCTTTGATCCAAGTCAGGTGGGTTACAGTCATGGTTTTACAAATAACAACTCCATAAGAAATAGCTTCGAACTTGTAAAAGACTTGTTTTTTGTTTTGTTTTGTTTTGTTTTGTTTTGTTTTGTTTTTGACAGATTCTTGCTCTGCCACCCAGGCTGTAATGAGTGCAATAGTGCGATCTTGGCTCACTGCAAGCTCCGCCTCCCGGGTTCATGCCTTTCTCCTGCCTCAGCCTCCCAAGTAGCTGGGACTACAGGTGCATGTCACCATGCCCAGCTAAATTTTGTATTTTTAGTAGAGATCAGGTTTGGCCATGTTGGCCAGGCTGGTCTCAAACTCCTGACCTCAAGTGATCCACCCGCCTCAGCTTCTCAAAGTGCTGAGATCACAGGCGTGAGCCACTGTGCCCAGCCATAAATACCGTATTTTATGTCACATTCACAGGCCAATTGGCTAAATTTAGATCTGGGCATCCCAGGGTGGAACTATCCAAGACCCAGTGCTGAATTCATTGTTACAGTCTGAGGATCCCCATACAAAGTGAGAGGCAGTAAGGGAGAAGTTGCTGGTCCATGGTCTCAGGGAAAACCCTCTAGATTCTCATGCATATCTCTGTTCAAGGCTAGATCAGGTCCAGTTCAGCTCATCTTTCCTGCAAGTAGGAGAGATGTCCTGACCTTGGTATTCTAGGGTGAAAATTTTGAAATCTCTTGGCACTACCGAGTTGGCAATGTTCATAAATCAGAAAAAGTGCTAAACTCCCACTGGGCAGTTTTATAGATGAGCTTTTGGTGAAGAATTTCTTAGTAAAGTGAAGTTCAATCGGCAATACTGTCTCAAAGGTGGAGCATATGTTTTTTTTTAAAAAAAAGAACATTAACGGCAAGCTTCCCGAAGAAATCTTGAGATAGAAATAGAAGAAAAATGAAAAATGTATAATAATATAGACCATCCTCCTGACATTATTATCTTGATGACTGGTTAAGAGTAATGATCAGGGCCGGGTGCGGTGGCTCACGCCTGTAATCCCAGCACCTTGGGAGTCCGAGGCGGGTAGATCACGAGGTCAGGAGTTCAAGACCAGCCTGGCCAAGACAGTGAAACCCCATCTCTGCTAAAAATACAAAAATTAGCCAGGCATGGTGGCAGGTCCCTGTAATCCCAGCTACTCAGGAGGCTGAGGCAGAGAACTGCTTGAACCTGGGAGGTGGAGGTTGCAGTGAGCTGAGATCACACCACTGCACTCTGACAAAGCGAGACTCCGCCTCAAAAAAAAAAAAAAAGAGTAATGATCAAGCAGTTCAGAGGGTCAATATTATCAGATGCTTCAGAGAATTCCAGGCTGAGAAATAACAATAAAAGCCAAGTTAATGTTTCCAATGACTTAACTAGCTTTATATCTGCACCACACACTTCAGTTCACCTTTCAAGTGTCTTCATAAAATCAATTAACTAAAATTAATCCATTAAATATAAGTTAGAACAAAATACACTTAAGCTTTTAATTAAGACAACCAAATGTATTCAACTTCATTGGAAACAAAAAGAATATGAAGCACCAGTTAAAAGCAGTGTGTTGTACTCAATGTAGGATTCTTGATTGTGATTCATTTGAAAGACTATTCCCAGATTCATTTGTACTAAATCATGCTGTTTGTTTAATGTGTTGTGTAGCATTTTCTGAGTGGTATTCTATTTACAATATACAAAGTTACTCTAACAAATTAATTTATAAGTGCATTAATATCACATATTATTTGTAGCATAATAAATTCAAAATATTTTTGCACCCACATCTTTTCACCAGCAGCAAGATAACTTGAGTTATAGCACAAAATAGTTGAATATTTCTATGTCAAAATAAGTTTCTTGGGAGGTATGTAAAACCTTGTCGCATAGGATGAAATGTGTGGATGGAAGAATCTGAGAATCAGAAATGCCCAAATAGTTCTGAACTTTCCAGGACAAAAGAAGCAATTTAGTCCACTTGTACTTGCTAAAGTCAAGCAAATTTCTTGCAAAGTCTTCTTCTGCAGCTGCACCAAAAAATTACCTACACCATTGGAATTCGACAGGATTAGTAAAGACCAATATATGAAAATTCTGGCTATAAAAATAGTTTACAAAATTATCTTATAGATCAAAAAAGAATCTCTCTATATACATCTGTTTTCAACACCAGTAGACTACTTCTTAGCTTAAATATAAATTACTAGAGTATAATTAAATTTAAAACACCAAGAAGAAATAGGCCAAGGAATAATTAGGAGGCGCTTTTTTGTAATACATACTTTAAGTTTTAGGGTACATGTGCACAACGTGCAGGTTTGTTACATATGTATACATGTGCCATGTTGGTGTGCTGCACCCATTAACTCGTCGTTTAACATTAGGTATATCTCCTAATGCAATGTTCTCTTGTCAAACTAATACATAAATATTGTTACCATCATGATCCTCTTTGCAGAATAAAAAGGAAATGTGTCCTCCACCTAATGTTAGTAGGCTGAATATTTGCAATTCCCTTACTTCTCCTGACAAATAAAACCAGTTAACTAGAAACTTCGGCATTTCTAGAAGAGAATAGGGCATGCAAATACCAGCTGGTGGTGTTTTATCTGAAACCACACTTTAGCTATGACTCAAAACTCAGTTCCTTCTGTCTCTCAAACAAACAAACAAAATTCATGGCACATGTGTGTATAGAAACACACATACACTACATAAGTATGAATTCAGAGAGAGAGGGGATGGGGGTTGGGGGAGATGAGCAATTAGTTTTCTAGGCTGTCATAACAAATTATTATTGGGTGGCTTAAGACAACATAAATTTATTCTCTCAGAGTTGCGAAGCTAAAAATCAAGGTGATGGCAGGGCCAGGGCCAGCGTTCTCTCTGGAGGCTCTTGGGGAGAACCCTCCCTTGCCCTTTCCAGCTCTGGGTGGCTGTTGGCATTCCCTGTGGCTCCTTCAGATAGAGAGATTAACTGATGAACAGATCCATAGGAATACAGGTAAATAGGTAGGCAGATAGATAAGTCAATGAGTCGATTCACAAAGTCTGCCATATTTGACATTGTCGGATTCCATGGTTTTTCCTGTTTTCCAGCTAAGTTCCATGAGACCTGTAGATGGATTTATTGGTACAATTTAGTTGAGCTAAATTATCTGCCAGGAGGGGATGGATGGATCTACAATATAATTATGTATTTGACTAAGCGACTCTTTAACTTGTGATTAAACCTTTTCAAAAATTAAAAAAAAAATGCATGTTAGACATTAAAGTGACCACTCTGATTCCCAAGCTGAGTTACAAGGTTATTGAAAGAGAAGTGGATACAGGAATCCCAGGACATCATAAGGAGAGGCTGCTGGAAAGACACCCCCTAGAGAAACACAGGACCAAGGACCTGCCGGAAATGAAGAAGGTTATAGTGCCTAAACACGTGAAGAGCGTGTAATTGCAGATTTTGCTTACGTGTCTGGAAAGATGTTTGTGGGTGTGTTTGCTTGTTTGTTTTTGCCAGAAAAATTGGGTCATGGTGTTTATATATTTAGAGAATTTTTTTTTAACTGTGTGAAGTAGAAACTTCCGGAACGACAGAGCTGGGGCATGGGGCAAACCATTCCCCAGGAACAAGGGAGAAGCTGGACGAAATGCTCCAAAACAACCACCTCAGGAAGCCCAGGGCTCACACAAGCTGAGAAGCGTCTGCCCACGAACACGGCTGGACTTCAGCAATGAGAGTGCGTCCATGGTGCTGCTGCTGGTGAACTCTGATGGAGCGACAGTGCCTCTGCCCCGATAGGGGTTCTGCCCTGGCTATAGGCGCTCTTCACCTGGAGCGCTGTCTATAAACATGGCCAGGGCAGGGGAACGTTGCAGCTGTGGCCGTGCAGGCTTTGGAGCCAGGTGCATGGCAGCGCTGGAATCGTAACCACAACCCTTCACAGAACGCTGAGTCTGGGAGTCCAACCTCGGTGGGTGGAGGCTCAATGATCTCAACTTTAAAAGCTGGGTTGCTCCCCACCTCTAAGGTGTGCCGTGAGGATCCGCTAAGAAGATTCGGGATAATGGGTGCGCATAACGTTTTGGGTTTTTTTGTTTTGTTTTGTTTTTTGTTTTGTTTTTTATCTGAGACAGACTCTTGTTCCGCTACCCAGGCTGGAGTGCATTGGCACAATCTCGGGTCACTGCAACCCCCACCTCTCAGGTTCAAGCGATTCTCCTGCCTCAGCCTCCCGAGTAGCTGGGATTACAAGTGCCTGCCAACAGGCCCAGCTAATTTTTGTATTTTTAGTAGAGATGGGGTTTCACCTTGTTGGCCAGGCTGGTCTTGAACTCCTGACCTCAGGTGATCCTCCCTCCTCAGCCTCCCAAAGTGCTGGGCATACAGGCGTGAGCCACCGTGCCTGACTGATTTTTGTATTTTTAGTAGGGACAGGGTTTCACTATGTTGGCCAGGCTGGTCTTGAACTCCTGACCCCAGGTGATCCGCCCGCCTCACCTCCCAAAGTGCTGGGATTACAGGCATGAGCCACCGCACCTAACTAATTTTTGTATTTTTAGTAGGGATGGGGTTTTGCCATGTTGGCCAGGCTGGTCTTGAACTCCTGATCTCACATGATCCACCCGCCTTGACCTCCCAAAGTGCTGAGATTACAGGCGTGAGCCACTGCATCCGGCCAAACATTTTGTAAAGGAAAAATAGAACAAAACCTCAGGACTCCCAAATTCCTAATGTAAAAGGGGAGGTCAGCCTGGAGGCTGAGTCAGCAGCACCCTCTTCCAGTTGGACAGCGGTTGCTGGCATTTGGCATCAGCCAGATCCCCCACGGGAAGAGGCTCCGGGCATCCACCGAGGCCCTCACACATCATTCATAAGGAAATTCCTTGCTGGCCTCCAGGTCTGCAATCTAAGTCTAGCTAAAACTCAGGTCTGTTTTATTCCACACTGATAATGTCCGTTACAAGCTTATCTTCCCAGGCACAGAGCAAAGACAAGATGAGATCAGCCATTCTTCCACCTACCCAGAGACGTCTGCGTAATTGATTTTTCCTTTACTCCCCTTTTCTCTTCAAGCATGCACCTTATCTTAGGTAAAAGGTAGATTTACTGGGCAGTAACTGGAACCATTCACCTCACCACCTACCTGCCCCTCGGCCTCTGTGCCTGTCTTTCTTTAAGGAAATGAGTAAAGAATAAATCTTCGGAGAGCCTCTTTGGAAAAAGGAGACACAGATGTGTCTGTGGCTTGCGTTTTTCCCGGCTGTGCCTTAAAGCTGGCTTAATAATGCCTCCATTGAGGCCGGGCGCGGTGGCTCACGTCTGTAATCCCAGCACTTTGGGAGGCCGAGGCAGGCGGATCACGTGAGGTTGGGAGTTCCAGACCAGCCTGACCAACATGGAGAAACCCCGTTTCTACTAAAATACAAAATTAGCCGGGCGTGGTGGCGCATGCCTGTAATCCCAGCTACCCGGGAGGCTGAGGCAGGAGAATCGCTTGAACCCGGGAGGCGGAGGTTGCAGTGAGCTGAGATCGTGCTGTTACACTCCAGCCTGGGCAACAACAGCAAAACTCCGTCTCTAATAATAATAATAATAACAATAACAATAATAATCCTCCATTGATTGAGACTTTTGCCTCGGTCACTCATTCTGGTCGTCAGTTTGATGATGCTCCTGACTCTGCTGTGTCCACGTCCGCAGCTCAGGCTCTACTGAGAGATGCCCGCCCACCCACGTCCTGACTCTGAGGGACAGGGTGCAGGTCTGCGGTGAGGGGACAGCAGAGGGTCCGTGGTCCTGCGTAGGGCCGTCCCGTCCTCCACAGGACCAGAATGTCCTTTAAAAGGCTAAAGCTGCAGGGCGCTACGTCACTAGCACCCAGGATGAGGCGGAGTCAGCCTTGTCTGTCTCTTCCCGCCAGTGGACATCATTTTTCCAGGCAGTCTGGGGGTGTATCCAGGAGTCTTGGCCCTGCCACAGCCCAGGCTGCCTGGCCCTGTGCAGAGAGCAGGTGGGCAGGGTTTTACAGAATCTCAGATGCTGCTCCTGGCTGTCGGAGATCCCTCAACTCAGCGTTTCCCCAACAACACGGTGACATGGCGGAAGAACCAGGCGCACCTCGTGACCATCTGTGCTATGCCGTCTACACACATGCATGCACACACACACGCACACTCACAATCTCACACACACTCACATACACACACACAACATGCACACACTCATACAATCTCACACACTCACATACACACATGCGCACTCACACACAATCTCACACACACACGCACACACACCATGCAAACACTCATACAATCTCACATGCACACACACACGCACACACATGCACACTCATGCAATCTCACACACTCACATACACACACATACACATGCACATACAACATGCACACACTCATACAATCTCACACACTCACACACATGCACACTCACACACAATCTCACACACACGCACACAACATGCAAACACTCATACAATCTCACATGCACACACGCACACACAATCTCAGACACACAACATGCACACACATACAATCTCACACACTCACATACACACACGCACACACAACACACACACACATACATATACTCACACACACTCATACACATACAAATAAACCCACACAGAAACACACTCAAACTCACACACACACACCTACACACACACACACACCTCCCCACATACACACAGATGCATGCAAATGCAACTACAGAGAGAGAAACAAAAACACACAAATTCAAACACGTACAGACAAAAACACACAAATCTACACAGACACAAAAATACAAACATGCATACATATACACACCCAAACACATACAAACACACACACACAAGCACACACAGAAACACCCCTACAAACGCACACGCAGCTCTGCACAGAATTTTGGAACTTGTCTGAACCCACTGGGCTCCAACCTGCGATCAGGATGTCCAGGGGGTCCCTGGGGGCCGAGCACTCGGAGGAGAGGTTGTGTGCACCATACGTAGCATCTGTATTGGCCCCCTTGGGAGCGGCTCACAGGGCCCAGGGGGAAGTTGGCCTGGGAGAGCCCAGCCTCGGGCTGCTGGCCAGGGCGCTGGAGGAAGTCACGTGCCCCCTCCTAGTACACAGCGAATCTGTGGTAGCCGACATCAGAGCTGCACTGGAGGGTCAGTCCACGCAGGGTCCTTGGGGGTCAGGAGGGAGGGCTTCCTAGACACACATGGAGGGAACAATGACCTGAAACTGGAGGAGGCGGCTCCTCACAGACACCTCAGACCCTCCTCCGGACTTCCCATCTCATTATCTCTCATGGCTTATGGGAAAATGAGCTATTTTTGAGACCGTTTATGGTATAATGTAGGTTTGCTGAGGATCTCCCCAACAGCTCTGAAAGAATGTATTATATCTTTTTTAGGTCTTCAGAGTCTAAGGTGCTTTTGGGAACATTTGTTGAAAATATTTTTGCTGACGATGTTAAGAACCTGTTGAAAGGTTATTCTTAGGAGAGATACTGGAGAAGTGGGTCTCCATATTCAAATGACCTGGAGAAACCCCAAGAGGATGATTATTCATTAGAGCGGCAAGTATTTAGCATAATGCCGTTGAACCTGACTGTATCTAGAAGACACACACACACACACACACGCACACAAACAACCCTATGCACAACTAGTAAATAGCAAGCTCGGCTTTCATGTGGTTTTACACTTTCATGCAGATACGGAGGTGTTTGTGGAGGGGTCTCTGTGGGTTTCCCGTGAGTACAGAGAAGGAACAGCTGTGTGTGTGTAATGGGCACTGTAATTTCTAAAAATATAACTCACTGTAAGCAAGGTATTTGAGGACACACTGCCATTACAAAATGTTCCCAAATCTGGTGGCTCACGCCTGTGATCCCAGCACTTTGGGAGGCCGAGGCGGGCGGATCATGAGGTCAGGAGATTGAGACCATCTTGGCTAACACGGTGAAACCCCATCTCTACTAAAAAAATACAAAAAATTAGCCGGGCGTGGTGGCGGGCGCCTGTAGTCCCAGCTACTCGGGAGGCTGAGGCGGGAGAATGGTGTGAACCCGGGAGGCGGAGCTTGCAGTAAGCCCAGATCACGCCACTGCACTCCAGCCTGGGCGACAGAGCGAGACTCCGTCTCAAAAAACAAACAAACAAATAAAAAGTTCCCAAATTTGCCTCTGATGATT
This sequence comes from Homo sapiens, assembly GCF_000001405.40. Taxonomy (NCBI): domain Eukaryota; kingdom Metazoa; phylum Chordata; class Mammalia; order Primates; family Hominidae; genus Homo; species Homo sapiens. Next base: position 533,388 of record NT_187693.1, on the reverse strand, counting down.
AAACATTACTGAAGTCCTAGATCTGTGCACACTTCCCTGAAACTTAGCATCACTCAGAGTTGCCAAGAGGCACATCATGTAACCTGGGATGAGTTCACAGCGCATGGTGGGCCTGAGACTAAGCTCAGGTATCTAAGCAGACTCAAATTAGGAACTTCGTCATTCTTGCACCGGAAATTATGGTTTTGTTGCTCAAATATTCTAAGTCAGAGAATGGGAAAGGAAAAAAATGGAGAAATCATGATTTTATATATATATATATATATATATTTTTTTTTTTTTTTTTTTTTTTTGAGACGGAGTCTCGCTCTGTCACCCAGGCTGGAGTGCAGTGGCGTGATCTCGGCTCACTGCAAGCTCTGCCTTCCAGGTTCACGCCATTCTTCTGCCTCGGCCTCCCGGGTTGCTGGGGCTACAGGTGCCCGCCACCATGCCCGGCTAATTTTTTTGTATTTTTAGTAGAGACGGGGTTTCACTGTGTTAGCCAGGATGGTCTCAATCTCCTAATCTCATGATCTGCCCACCTTGGCCTCCCAAAGTGCTGGGATTACAGGCGTGAGCCACCACTCCCGGCCATCATCATGATATTTTTAAAAGTTAAAAATATCAACTCGTTTTCTTTTTTAAAAAAAATAATGCAAGCTAGTAAACTACAAAAAGTTCAACATAAAATAAAAGCAACCATCGTGACTTATATTTACTGAGTTGGTGGATAAGCAAGAATTAGGACCTGGCTCTGGGTAGCTGGGAATGGAGGTGCTGTTCTCAGCGTGCAAATCTACATTGACTGTTTTCAGGAGCTTTCATTGTAGAGACCTAGGGAACAGCTCCTCATAACGGCCGCAGGGATGGTCATTCTGACTTCCCGTTCCACTGCACATCTGTCCTGTGCAGCTGAGAGGCGAGGCTGTGGCTCACTGCAGCATTATTGCACACGAGTGCTGTTCTGCCCCATAGAAGGCTCCAGACTACGCTCCACATTTAGGTCTTTTTCTTTCTATCTACCCTTTTCCAGTCAAAATGTTCATTTTGTGTTTAAGCTGTGGTGGACAGTGAACCCCCTACACACATTCCAGGGACTGGAAGCCTGCACACGGCTCATGTATCCCCTCACTTCGGGGCCTAGGTGCTGGCCGGGGATGTTAATGTTTCTGCCTGTCCAGGTAGCAGTGAGGGAGCCAAGGAGCGGTGCTGCGGGAATTCGCCAAAGCTCAGAATGTAATCATTTCCCAGGAAGCAGAGAGTCTAGGGGGAATGAATCTTCCTGGGGCCCTGAGCGAAGACAGAGGCATCAAAGGGACCCACATCCATGATGAGAGAACGCAGAACAGAAAGATTCCGTCAACAGCCACCCCGTGGGCAAGGCCCTCTTCCCTGGTGTGTTACCGGCTTCTGCTCAGTGAGACAAGTCCTGGTGGTGATAGGAGCTCGGCTGCATCACAGTCCTCCACCTGCGACCTGATGGTCTTGAGTGGCCGCTCCTCAGGGTGGGAAATGCTCTGCATGTCCCTGTGGCAGGGAAGTGCTCGGGTGCACGTTGCCCATGGTCACCTCTGTCGTGCTCTGAATCCCTGACACTCCAGACTGGATCCAGCAGAAGAGACGCTGACAGAGACTCCCTGGATCACAGAGCAGCGTGGTGACCCGAAGCAGAACAGGAGACTCATCTGTCCTCAGAAGTGATTCACCTGCAGCATGCGCCCTAGCCCGCGTCCACAGTCCAGAAACAGAACCAGAGACTCCTCTGCCAGGTGAATGTCCAAGGGGCTGCTCGGGGAAAGGCGCTGAGGCTGTTCCGGGAAACACGTGAGATGGGTGTGCACCCAGATCTCCACGTGTGGCTCTTACGTGATGGGATGGAAGCTGATTGGTGCTGCTGCCCCAAGGTTGTCAGTGCCCTCGACTGGAGGACAAACACCAACCCCGCCATCCCTGGATGGACAGACAGGTATAAAGACGCCGGCTATGCAAGGGTTCTGCAGGGAGCACCTGCAGTTCACGTGGTTCAACAACCCCAGTTGCCCCACAGTTGAGACCAGCCTGGTTGGTATCATGCAGGTGACTAAGCCTTAAAAAATGTTAAGACTGGGCCGGGCTCGGTGGCTCACGCCTGGAATCCCAGCATTTCGGGAGGCCGAGGCGGGTGGATCATAAGGTCAGGTGTTCAAGACCAGCCTGGCCAACATGGTGAAACCCCGTCTCTACTAAAAAAAAAATACAAAAATTAGCCGGGTGTGGTGGCAGGTGCCTGTAATCCCAGATACTCAGGAGGCTGACGCAGGAGAATTGCCTGAACCCAGGGGGTGGAGGTTGCAGTGAGCTGAGATTGGGCCACTGCACTCCAGCCTGGCAACAGAGTAAGACTCTGTCTCAAAAAAAAAAAAAAAAAAAAAAAAAAAAAAAAAAAAAAGTTAAAATTGAAGCTGGAAGCCATCATTCTCAGCAAACTAACACAGGGACAGAAAACCAAACACCACATGTTCTCACTCATCAGTGGGAGTTGAACAATGAGAACACATGGACACAGGGAAGGGAACAACACACACCAGGGCCTGTCTGGGGGTAGGGGAAGGGGAGGGAGAACATTAGGACAAATACCTAATGCGGGGCTTAAACCTAGATAACAGGTTGATAGGTGCAGCAAACCACCATGGCACATGTATACCTATGTAACAAACCTGCACGTTCTGCACATATATCCCAGAACTTAAAGTAAAATAAGTAAATAAGAGTACAACGTGAGAGTTTTGAGAGAACTATTAACTTTTTGGTTATCTCAAATTTAAACCTGTCAAATGATTGTCAAGAATTTGAAGTATTCAAAAACTAAAAGTAAATACAGTAAAAATAAAATCAAAAGAAAGTATGAAGGAACATGGAAAAATGGACAAACCAGGAGAGTAAGTGCAAACAGGCCGGGCACGGTGGCTCACGCCTGTAATCCCAGCACTTTAGGAGGCCGAGGCGGGCAAATCACGAGGTCAGGAGTTCGAGACCAGCCTGGCCAACAGTGTGAAACCCCATATCTACTAAAAATACAAAAATTAGCTGGGCATACTGATACGCACCCATATCACTCATATATGGGATTACATATGAGTAATCCCATAGACTCAGGAGACTGAGGCAGGAGAATCACTTGAACCCAGGAGGTGGAGTTTGCAGTGAGCTGAGATCGCACCATTGCACTCCAGCCTGGGTGACAAGAGCGAAACTCCATCCCCCCGCCCCACAAAAAAAGTGCAAACAATTTTCGTCCCAAATAATTATGAAATTTATAATTTCTCAGGGCACATAATGTTTCTTGATAGAAAGGAAAATGAAGAGTAAAACACTCATGTGTGGAAAGTTGGTTGATTCATTTTTCCACCAGATAAATGTTGAAGCTACACTTAACTATGAAGTGTAGGAACATGGAATACTTGAATTATCTTATCAGGTCACATTTATCATTGGTTGTAAATCACTTTTTAAAATGCTCACTTTTGGCCAGGTGCAGTGGCTCATGCCTGTAATCCCAGCACTTTGGGAGGCCGAGGCAGGCAGATCACAAGGTCAGGAGTTTGAGACCAGCCTGACCAACATGGTGAAACCCTGTCTCTACTAAAAATACAAAAAGTAGCCAGGTGTGGTGGTGGGTGCCTGTAATCTCAGTTACTCCAGAGGCTGAGGCAGGAGAATCGCTTGAACCCGGGAGGTGGAGGCTGCAGTGAGCTGAGCTCGTGTCACTGTACTCCAGCCTGGGTGACAGAGAGAGACTCCAGAAAAAAAAAAATGCTCACTTTCTGTTATTTTTGAGAGGATGGTGTGGAAGCAAAATTAAAATCATTTCTGGCTTGCATAGTTTCCCTTTAGCATCAGTTGACTCTGCGGCATAACCACCCTGTGTGCAGAGGCTCAGAGAGAAGACACGTTTTGGTCTTTCACTTTTACCCTGCTTATCAAAACGAGATTGCTGCAGGACCAACCTAGCTGTAGAATATACAATAGTAAGGGTAGGGCCGTCATGCAAATAGCCAGGCTGGGAGTGTGCCTGCCATTCACCCTCACATCCACTAACCAGCATTTGTCTCTTAGCTCACATATCCCAGACTGTAGAGGAAGCATGATCCTCCCTTTGGCCCAGGGAGACAGAGAAACTACTTCTGGGTAACATCAGAGGATCTCTGATGTTTGCTCCACGCTCTGCTCCCTGGAAGGGTTGGGTGTCCTCATCACTTACCAGACCTGAGTTGCTGATACCTCCTCCTATGGGCAGGATCCTTGGAGGGTTGCATTGAGTCCCAGAGGTTAATCAGACTCAGTCCTGCCTCAAAAATCTCATAGTCCCATCCTGGCCAACATGGTGGAACCCCGTCTCTCCTAAAAATGCAAAAATTAGCGGTGCGTGGTGGCACGCACCTGTAGTCCCAGCTACTCGGGAGGCTGAGGCAAGAGAATCTCTTGAACCTGGGAGGCAGAGATTGCAGTGAGCTGAGGTCACACCACTGCACTCCAGCCTGGCAACGACAACAACAAAAAAAACTCACAGTCCACACATGAAAGACCAGTGGGGATCAGGCCATAAAAACTCAGCCTATTGGGCACAGACACTGTGAGTCAATCAACCTCCTCACTTAGCCTATGAGATAAAGACATGTGTATGAAGGTGGATGTCTGCACTGAGATGCTCAAAAAAGGGAGATAATTACCAGGTGAAGAAACAGCATGTGACAATTCCATGAGCCAGTGACAGCTCGTTGCAGGCAGCAGTTTGTGAATTGCTCTGGGTAGGTGCCAATTCAAGTAGAAAGAAACAGAATAAAGGCTCAGAGGAAGACGTCATCAGAAAGCAGCTTCCAGAGCATGTTCTGTGCGGAGAATGGATGTGTGCTTTCTCTCCATGTGAAACCAGGGGACGAGAAAAGGTACAAATAGGAGGTTGTCATGAGTGTCTGTGTGAAGAGACCACCAAACAGGCTTTGAGTGAGCAACAAGGCTGTTTATTTCACCTGGGTGCAGGTGGGCTGAGTCTGAAAAGAGAGTCAGCAAAGGGTGGTGGGATTATCATTAGTTCTTATAGGTTTGAGATGGGCGTACAAAGTACATTCTCAAGGGCGGGGAGAATATTACAAAGTACCTTCTTAAGGTCGTGGAGGGGGCTGGCGTTGGGGGGAGGATATTACAAAGTACCTTCTTGGCGGGGGGTGGGTGGCAGTGGGGAGAAATATTACAAAGTACCTTCTTTTTTTTTTTTTTTTTTTTTTTTTTTTGAGACAGAGTCTTGCTCTATCGCCCAGGCTGGAGTGCAGTGGCGCGATCTCAGCTCACTGCAAGCTCTGCCTCCTGGGTTCACGCCATTCTCCTGCCTCAGACTCCCAAGTGGCTGGGACTACAGGCACCCGCCACCATGCCCAGCTAAGTGTTTTGTATTTTTTTAGTAGAGACGGGGTTTCACCACATTAGCCAGGATGGTCTCGATCTCCTGACCTCGTGATCCACCCACCTCGGCCCCCCAGAGTGCTGGGATTACAGACATGAGCCACCGCACCCAGCCTTGAAGTACCTTCTTAAGGGGAGGGGAGAATATTACAAAGTACCTTCTAAAGTTGTGGGGGAGAATATTACAAAGTACCTTCTAAAGTTGTGGGGGAGAATATTACAAAGTACCTTCTAAAGTTGTGGGGGAGAATATTACAAAGTACCTTCTAAAGTTGTGGGGGAGAATATTACAAAGTACCTTCTAAAGTTGTGGGGGAGAATATTACAAAGTACCTTCTAAAGTTGTGGGGGAGAATATTACAAAGTACCTTCTAAAGTTGTGGGGGAGAATATTACAAAGTACCTTCTTAAGGCGGGCGAGCGGGGGCAGGGCGGTGGGGGGTAAGGGGGCGAGGAATATTACAAAGTACCTTCTTGGGCGGGGCAGAATATATGGTATCAGTTAGTGGGGCGGGAACAAGTCACAGTGGTGGAATGTCATCAGTTAAGGCTATTTTCACTTCTTTTGTGAATCTTCAGTTGCTTCAGGCCATCTGGATGTGTACGTGCAGGTCACAGGGGATAGGATGGCTTAGCTTGGGCTCAGAGGCCTGACAGAGGTGACCTTCTCAAAGTTTGGGAGAAAATCTCTATGGCAGAAATTTGCATGAGGATAAGAGGTGATAAGACACTCCACAAGAGAACTCTGCTTGTTCCCCGCATTTCGTAAGATAAAGACATGTCACCATTGATGTGAAATATTATCGTTTTGTTACATTAGGTCTCTTCCAGGAGCCTGCACTGCATGAGAAAATAGGCTCTGCATCTTCAAATTTGCACCTTTAATCTAGAACAGCTAGAACTTCCTCTGACAAGGAAAACATTTTGTGTTCATGCTATTCTCTCCCACAGCCAGCAGCCACACGTGGCTCTGAGAACTCAAATTGTGGCCATGTGGCTGAGGAACTGAATTTTAAACTTCATGGAATTTGATCTATTCTAATTCTAAGTTAAAAAGCCATATTTGGCTAGTGGCTACCATATTAGATGACTCAGATATAGAATACACTTCATCTCTGCAAAATTTTGTTGAGTAACAGCAAAGACGTGGAATCAACCCAAATGCCCATCAATGATAGACTGGATAAAAATAAAGTTGTACATATACACCACGGAATACTACGCAGTCATAAAAAGGAATGAGATCATATCATTTGCAGAGACATGAATGAAGCTAGAAGACATTATCCTCAGCAAACTAATGCAGGAACAGAAAACCAGACACCGCATGTTTTCACTTATAAGTGGGAGCTGAACAATGAGAACACATGGACACAGGGAGGGGAACACATTCACTGGGGCCTGTCAGAGGAGGGCAGGGGGTATGGAGAGCATTAGGGAAGAGAGCTAATGCCTGCTGGGCTTAATACCTAGGTGACGGTTTGATAGGTGCAGCAAACCACCATGGCACACGTTTACCTACGTAACAAACCTGCACATCCTGAGCATGTACCCCAGAACTTTAAAAAAATTTTTTTAAAAAAACCTTATTGAGTAATTTAGAGATTAAACTGGCTGAGCATATACATCGGCTTTCCAGAAGCATGTCTGTAGAGTTTCAGGATAACTCAGATGATATTAATGAGATATCCAGGATGAGTGTGTGGGTAGAGTCAAATCACCTTAAATGGTTGGATGCTCAAAATAGAATTGTAGAATGGCTAGTTGTCTGTTCAGCAGTGCTGGAATTTTAAGATAATCCCACAAGCATTCAGACACTGCTGTTGCCAGCTTCGAGGTGTCAAGATGGTACCAGAAGGAGGAAGAATGTCCGTGGAAAAAAAATCCTCCTAGGAATAGATCCAGGTCCTTGCGTATTAATGCCCTTTGTGCCAAAGACTGGGGGCAGCTCTGGCCTCAGCCTGGGCTTGGTGGACAGTGATGTAGATACTAGGATCCTCCGAGAGGTAGTGGGGACACTGGGAGGCAGGAGGGAATCCTGTCTGTGAGAGGGCCTGGTGGTTTAACTGGGCATATATGATCTCCTGTGTCTCTTCTGCTGCAGGCTCCTGAGAGGATGAAGGTGAAAAGAGGAGCATATTTAGTGGCTGAAGGCAGGGGCACTGGGAATGGGAGGGGATGAAGCTGTGGTGATGGTTTCGGCTGGGAGAACTCACCTCTTCATCCGTCCGTTGGCCTTCCGTGGGCTCTGTGTTTGCCATGGTGGTGTCTGTGGGGTGAAAAAGAAAGTCTTCCAGATCTTCACTTCAGAGGTGGCAATACCAAGACCAAAACAAGGCAAGGGCGTGCCTGAGGCTGCAGCGTGATCCAGCCTCCCCCACTAAATTCAGAGAACCACCCATCAGCAACCTTGGGGCAATCTTGACTGCCCCAGGACCGCTCCGATAGATGGCCCCCATCCTTCTGCCTCTCTCATGGACCATCTCCTGCAGGTCAGTGGCCTCCCCAGAGGTGAGGTGGAGGTAGGGGAGGGGTTGGGGTGATTGGTCAGTGAAGGGAAGGAGCAGGGTTTCTCCATCAAGAACCTCAACGGAGGCCGGGCACACTGGCTCACGCCTGTAATCCCAGCACTTTGGGAGGCCGAGGCGGGCGGATCATGAGGTCAGGAGATAAAGACCATCCTGGCTAACATGGTGAAATTCCATCTCTACTAAAAATACAAAAAATTAGCCGGGCATGGTGGTGGGCGCCTGTAGTCCCAGCTAATCGGGAGGCTGAGGTGGAAGAATGGCGTGAGCCCGGGAGGCAGAGCTTGCAGTGAGCCGAGATTGCGCCACTGCACTCCAGCCTGGGTGACAGAGCAAGCCTCCATCTCAAAAAAAAAAAAAGAACCTCAGCGGAAACACAGATCAACCCACAGGACGTGAATAGCACCCCCGTGCCCCAGTCACATCCCCACGGGGCTCACATGATACTGTCCTCCCCTCCCTGAGACTTACGATATTTTATGTAACACCAGAAACCAATAAAAGCAGAGAGGCAAACGCCAATGGAGATGATGGCTACTGAGAGTCCAGTGAGCATATGCAGGTTGCTGGACTGTCCTTGAGGGCGAGGTGTGTCTGTCAAGAAGCAAATGATAAACCCTCTCATTGACTGGTTGCCTGTTTTGTGCCAATACATACTGAACACACAACATGCTTTATCTGAAGCTCTTCCAAGATCCCTACACCCGAACAGTTACTTTCTCCATTTTCCATCACTTACACAAAAAATTCCAAGAGAAGTGAAGACACGTGTCCAAATCAAATGGCCAGTAAGAGAGATGCAGAGGCCTGGTGTGGTGGTTCACACCTGTAATCCCAGCACTTTGGGAGGCAGAGGTGGGCAGATCACCTGAGGTCAGGAGTTAGAGACCAGCCTGGCCTACATGGCAAAACTCCGTCTCCACTAAAAACACAAAAACTAGCCAGGCGTAGTGGTACACGCCTGTGATCCCAGCTACTCAGAAGGCTGAGGCAGGACAATCGCTTGAACCCAGGAGGCAGAGGTTGTAGTAAGCCGAGATTGTACACAGGGTGGGTGACAGAGCAAGACTCCATCTCAAAAAAAAAAAAAAAAGAAAAAAAAAAGGAGAGACATGGAGGTCTGAACCCAGGCCTACCAGGCTCCAGTGTGCCTCCCCTCCCACTTCCTCATGAGACAAGACAGTTTGTTTTTGCATGACAAAGGAAACCCTCTGCATGTACCATAGCTGAATACCATTTCCCTCGTCCCTTCTCAGCCCAGGACAAATACACTTTCTGAGAATGGAGATAGAGGTGGCCAGAGGATGACTCTCATGCCAGTTTCTGAGAATTGAACTTGCTCCAAACAATGTTGGTGTTTTTCTGAGTAATGAGTAAGAGCAGGTGGGTGGAGGATTCAGGAGAGAAAAAGGGGAGGGGGCACAGGCTATGTCACATAGGAGCATACCCTCCGTACCAGGACCCATGCTGAGAGGTGGTGGGAGGACTTCCACATGTGTGGACACATCTCATCACTCTCTCATCCATGATATAGTCCTTGAAAGAGAAAAGACTGTAGCCAGCCGTACTCTTGGGCTCAATTCTAGACATGTCTGCTACTTCTAGACATTCAACTTGGGAAGCTTTTCTTTCTTCTCTTTCCTACTTTTTTTTTTTCCATAAGGAGGGAGGCATCATTAGCCCAATATTCTATCCAACAACTTGGATGCTTTGGCCAGGTGCCATGGCTCATGCCTGTAATCCCAGCACTTTGGGAGGCACAGACAGGCTGATCACTGGAGTTCAGGAGTTCAAAACCAGCCTGACCAACATAGTGAAACCTGTCTCTACTAAAAATACAAAAATTAGCCGGGCGTGGTGGCAGACACCTGTAATCCCAGCTACTTGGGAGGCTGAGGCAGGAGAATCACTTGAAACTGGGACATTGCAGTAAGCCAGTTTCATACCACTGCACTCCAGCCTGGGCAACACAGAGAGACTCTGGCTCAAACAAAAAGAAGAAAACAAAAGAAAAAAGAAAAGAAAAGAAAACGGATGCTTTCCAAGATGAGTGACCATAACTAGCAGAGCCATCCATTGAGCCCAAGTGTCTGATTATAATCTTTTCTCTTTCAAGGACTATGTCTCGTTCCCCCATAAGGCTCCCTGCTGAGTTGCTACTTCTCTGATAGCCCAAGTATGAGTTGCCATCAATGGAATCAGAGGCTCAGAGAGAAATGAGCGTGCCCCAGGTCATGCACTGAGAAATACTGGAACAAGTTTCCAAACTCTCCCTCTTAGTGACTCCAGCTCTGAGCCTCTCCTGAATCCACCTGCTCAACTCCTTCTCCAGCCCCAGCACATCTAAGCTGCCATGAGTGTCCTCTACAAGGATGTCACAGCCCCACCAGGCTCCTGGCTTCCACTCCTGCCTCCCTGTAATAAACACTATTCACATCGGCCGATTGCTATCTCTAAAATAGAATGTGGATCATGACACGTTTCTGACTAAAACCTTTGTCTTCGGCCAGGCACAGTGGCTCATGCGTGTAATCCCAGCACTTTGGGAGGTCAAGGTGGGTGGATCACCTGAAGTCAGGAGTTCAAGACCAGCCTGGCCAACATGGTGAAACCCTGTCTCTACTAAAAATACAAAAATTAGCCAGGCTTGGTGGCGGGCCCCCTGTAATCCCAGCTACTCAGGAGGCTGAGGCAGGAGAATCGCTTGAACCCAGGAGGCGGAGGTTGCAGTGAGCCAAGATCACGCCATTGCACTTCAGCCTGGGCAACAGAGCAAGACTCTGTCTCAAAAAAAAAGAAAAAAAAAAACGGCTGGGCACAGTGGCTCACACCTGTAATCCCAGCACTTTGGGAGGCCAAGGCAGGCGGATCACAAGGTCAAGAGATCGAGACCATCCTGGCCAACATGGTGAAACTTGGTCTCTACTAAAAATACAAAAATTAGTCGGGTATGGTGGTGGGTGCCTATAATCCCAGCTACTCAGGAGGCTAAGGCAGGAGAATCACTTGAACCCGGGAGGCAGAGGTTGCAGTGAGCCGAGATCACGCCACTGCACTCCAGCCTGGAGACAGAGTAAGACTCTGAAAAAAAAACAAAACAAAACTTGTCTTCACCTCTTTATTGGAATAAAATCCAAACTCTTTACTGTTGCTTAGAAACCCTCACTTGGTAGCACCAACAGGCTGGCTCTAGTCAATAAGAACTTTACTGTACATTTTAAAATAAAAAGCATAATTGGGGCCAGGCATGGTGGCTCACACCTGTACTCCTAAGACTTTGGGAGACTGAGGCGGGCAGATCACCTGAGCTCAGGTGTTTGAGACCAGCCTGGACAACATGTTGAAACCCTGTCTCTACTAAAATACAAAAAGTTAGCCAGGCATGGTGGCGTACACCTGTAATCCCAGCTACTTGGGAGGCTGAGGCAGGAGAACTGCTTGAACCCAGGAGACAGAGGTTGCAGTGAGCGGAAAGCGCGCCAATGCACTCCAGTCTGGGTGACAGAGCAAGACTCCATCTCAAAAAAAAAAAAAAATCTTAATTAAATTGTTTGTAACTCAAAGAATAAATGCTTGAGGGGATGGATGCCTTAACCTCCATGATGTGCTTATTTCACATTTCATGCCTGTATCAAAACATCTCATGCGCCTGATAAATATACACACCTACTAGGTACCCACAAAAATTAAACATTTTAAAAACGAGAAACGTTCACACAAGTTGGTCCCTGTCCTCCTCTCTCAGCTCCACCCCTCTCCCCCGACATGTCAGCCTCACTGGTGCTGTGAACACACACAAGGCATTGCCATGTTGAATTTTTTTTTTTTTTTTGAGACGGAGTCTCGTCCTGTCGCCCAAGCTGGAGTGCAGTGGCATAATCTCGGCTCACTGCAACTTCCGCCTCCCGGGTTCAAACAATTCTCCTGCCTCAGCCTCTGGAGTAGCTGGGACCACAGACATGCACCACTACGCCCAGCTAATTTTTGTATTTTTAGTAGAGACAGGGTTTTACCATGTTGACCAGGAACAGCTCGATCTCTTGACCTTGTGATCTGCCCGCCTCAGCCTCCCAAAGTGCTGGGATTACAGTTGTGAGCCCTGCGCCCAGCCCTGCCATGTTGAGTTTATGGCACCACTGTTTACCTGCTGGGAACGTCCTTCCATCAATCCTTCCAACACTGGCTGTCCTTGTCATCAGGATCACACCTTAAATGTCAGTTCCTTGAGTGACATAGAGTCTTCCCTTCCACCTGCTCTAAAGGATCCACTTAAGCTTTCTCTGTCACATGACTCTATCTTAATGAATACAAAATTAATGGATCTGAATAAATCAGTTCACACGTTTATTCATTATAACTTTTCTCCTCCCTGCACACACCACTGGAACACAGGAACTGTTGAATATGTCATAGGACATTAGAAGATGGACAATAAGGCTGGGTGCGGTGGCTCACACCTGTAATCCCAGCACTTTGGGAGGCCAAGGCGGACAGATCACTTGAGGTCAGGAGTTTGACACCAGCCTGGGCAACATGGCGAAACCCTGACTCTACTAAAAATACAAAAATTAGCCGGGTGTGGTGGTGGGCACCTGTAATCCCAGCTACTCGGGAGGCTGAGGCAGGAAAATCGCTTGAACCCAGGAGGCAGAGGTTGCAGTGAGCTGAGATTGTGCCACCGCACTCCAGCCTGGGTGACAGAGTGAGACTCTGTCTCAAAAAAAAAAACAACAAAAAAAGACAGACAGTGAATATCGAATATGGTCTTTTAAATCCTTCCCATCTTCCAGCATTTTCATGTTCACAGACCTCCCTGGAGGAATGAGAAGCATTGCTTTTCAGCAAGGGTCAGGTGACTCTGACCTCTTCCTCCCCTGTGGATGAGGCCTCAGTCCCAAAGCGTCTGAGGCTGAAAGGCCTTACAGATTCCCGCACTGACCACAGTCTCAGATGTGGATGGGGAATGTGGGGACCTGGGAGGGGCTGCCTAGCCCAGGGTCATGGAGCTGGGAGGTGGCACAGCTTTCACTCACACTGGGGCCTTCTGTCTCCCCAGGGACTCAGACACTAGGATAAGAGTTATTTGCTTACCAGATTCAGGGGTGGATTCTGTGAATGACAGAGGAGTACTCTTAGTGTTTCCTAGGAAAAAAAAAGGCAGAGAAGGGGTGAGCAAGCGTCATTGATTGCCCCATTAAAGTAGGACCATTTTCTTTTCTTTCTTTCTTTCTTTCTTTTTCTTTCTTTCTTTCTTTCTTTCTTTTTTTTTTTTTTTTGAGATGGAGTCTTGCTCTGTCGCCCAGGCTGGAGTGCAGTGGTGCCATCTTGTCTCGCTGCAACCTCCACCTCCTGGGTTCAAGCGATTCTCCTGCCTCAGCCTCCCGAGCATTAGCACCATTTTCTTTGGAGGCTTGGTCCCTGCACACCCCCTACTCTGTCATCCACCTAAAGACTAATGGGGGCCCTGGGGTCTCTTCCTTGGAATCTCTGGGGGACAATTCCTTCCCTGGGATGGGAAGGTGATAAGGAGAAGCATGGTGGGTGATGTCAACAGACATTGTCTCCCATCGGGATGATAAATCTCCACGTTCCCCAGCAGGGAGATCTCTCTGTGTTGAGGGGTCAGGAGGGGCTTTGGAGAAATGGAAAAGGGTGAGGGGCAACCTCTGACCTCGACAAACTACATCTGGCCTCACCTCCCCCTGTGTTTGTCCTGACCTCTTTCTTCATACAGAAGGTGGCAGAGGGTGTGGAGCTGCCCCGTCTTACCACCCTACACCCTGACAGCCCCATCATGCTCAGCTTCTTTTTTCCTGTGTGTGTTTGTCACTGTTTCATTTTATCCAGAGTACCTAATACCCCTGTGTGCCCAGCGGGACGCCCCTCACGTGTGGCTCTGTGATCCAGTGGGCACCAGAGCATGCAGCAGGCATGGGCTCCTCACCTGTGGTGTAAAGTTGCAGCGGGTCACTGGGGGCTTATAGGGAGAGTCATTGAAGGAACCATAGCATCTATAGGTCCCGCCAGGGACTGGCGTTGCACGGCCCACAGAAAAGTTGGCCTGGAATGCTTCCCTGTGTCTCTGCCCTCCACTGAGCCACTGTCCATGAGCAACCCCGTGTCTGAACAGATGGTACTGGTCAAATGAGATTTCAGAGCTGCAGAAGAGGGTCAACTTCTCTCCCAGCCTCATCATGGGGTCCACCTGGGTGGAGAGAGAAGGCTTTTTGTATTTTCCTAGGAGAAAAAGAGGCTGATTTTAGAACACACGCCTGAGTGTATGAACAAAGTAATCTCTCTCCCTCTTTTTTTTTTTTTTTTTTTTTCCTTTGAGACAGATTTTCACTCTTGTCTCCTAGGCTGGAGTGCAGTAGCACGATCTCGGCTCACTGCAACCTCAGCATCCCGGGTTCAAGTGATTCTCCTGCCTTAGCCTCCTGAGTAGCTGGGATTAGAGGCACGGACCACCATGCCCAGCTAATTTTTGTATTTTTAGTAGAGACAGGGTTTCACCATGTTGGTCAGGCTGGTCTCGAACTCCTGACCTTGTGATCCGCCCACGTCAGCCTCCCAAAGTGCTGGGATTACAGGCGTAAGCCACAGCGCCCAGCCTCGCTGTTCTTATCTTGGCAGCAGATTCCGAATGTCGGCTGGTGCCCCTGTCAATCTCATGTTCATCTCTAGGGTCCTGAGTCAGCCTATGTCTGTGTCTTTTTACTTCCTCTGCATTTCTTTGATTCTGCTTTTGACTGAGTCCCTGTGGTTTACCGCCCCTAGAAGCCATATGAGATGTGGGGTTCTCCTGGAAAATGGGAATTACTCTGTGCTTTGAGACCCTTCAGAAAACATAGTGCTGGCCTTGAGTTCTCTGACATGGGGCTACGGGGTTATGAGTCTTACTATTTTTCAATTGTGTTTGTTGAAAAATATAAGAATCTCGGGAGGATCAGAAGGAACCTCACAGGATCCCACTGCAGGGAACAACTGGCTGTACCCCCAAGCCCAAGGAGTTAGACGTGACTACTTGTTGGGGAGGGTAGAAGTGACCCCTCCTGCCTCTTTAAGCAGTAAGACATGTTAAACCCCTTTGCTGAGCACTTTTTCACAGTCCCTCTCTTCCTTTATTTCTCTTCCTCTACTGAGGTTTGATTAACAACCGCATTACATGAAGCTCCCATGGCACCAACAGACCACGGATGGTCCAGCCACACTCACCTGTGATCACAATGTCCAGGGGGTCACTGGGAGCCGACCACTCATAGCGGGAGTGACTGAAACAACCACAGCATCTGTAGGCTCCTGCATGGGCAGGCGTTACAGGACCCATGGAAAAGACAGCCTCGACGTAATGGATCCCAGCCTCCATCCCCTGGTCAAGCTGCTGGGAATGCTGTATGTGCCCCTCTTTGTATAAGATAAATTCATCAAAGGCCAGTTCTGAGTGACAGCGCAGGCTCACCCTGGCTCCTGCATGCACCAGGGAGCTTGGGTGCGCTGAGATGGAGGGTTTTGTGAACAAGCCTGAGAGCAGAGACAGAGGAGTTCACATGAGTCTCCTTCCTCACCCCTCGCCTGAGACCTCAGGGGGAAGCTGTCCCTCATCACCCCCAAAGCCCGTCTGCGTCCTTCCTGTTTGTGTGCGTGCATGTTCTCTCTGCGCGGATCCCCATTGTCTGGCTTGAAACCATATGAGATGTGGGGTTCTCCCGGAAAATGGGAATTACTCTGTGCTTTGAGAACCTTCAGAAAACACACTGCTGGACTTAGGTTCCCTGGCATGGGACTGTGAGGTTATGAGCCTCACTGTTTTTCAACTCTGCGTGTTGAAAAATACAAGAATCTCTGGAGGATCAGAAGAAATCTCACAGGCTCACACTGAAGGAACAACTGGTTTTGCCCCAAAACCCAAGAGGTTAGACGTGACTACTTGTTGGGGAGGGTGGAAGTGACTCCTTTTCCCTATTTAGGCAGAAGGACACGGTAAACTCCTTTCCTGGGCAGCCCCTCACAGTCCCAATCTCCATTCAGATCCTCCAGGAGCTTTCGTAGCCTGGATCTCCCTGCCTCACCCCAACCTGCTTTCCCCGCTCTCTTGGTGGAAAGACCCAATCTCTTCTCTGTTTCTTCTGAGCTCCTTGAATGTGAGACTGCCAAATTAAAATACATGCATTGTCAATGTTGTAAAATGGTTGTACAGCAAAACTGAAATGTTTATTCTGTCATTTTCAAAGTTACAAATTAATGACTTGCAAATTGAGAACTATTTTCTAGTTCTTAAATTTTTCTCCCATGCTTCAAGAAGTTAACAACAAAAACTGATTTTGCATTATTAACACAGAACCAACCGTGAAAATCCTGGTTCTTGATGTTTTCTCTGAAATCCTTCCTTGACTCACGGTTCAAGGCACAGATCTCTATCTTTCTCTTCCAGAAAACTCTACTCTCTCTCTCTCTTTATGTGTATATTTACATACATATATAAAATATGAATAACTCCACACTCTCCCTTCCCTGCTTTATAGGATGGGCAGGGGCGACTCCACAGGATGAGTTTCTAACTCTCCGTGAGACACTCTGCACATCCATGAGAGAGAAGGGATGAGTGTCACGAGACTGGGAAGGAGGAGGAGAGGAATGGGTGCATTTCCCAATCCATGTCCCACTGAGCCACTGGACTCATCTCCCGAGGGAACTGTCACTTCCCCAAGCCTCTGGCTCCTTCGAGGCAGAGTAACGACTTCCCCGAGGGAAACACTGGTGCTGGGGTCAGGCAACATGGCTCCTCCCTGGATCCAGCTGGGGTCAGGCAACATGGCTCCTCCCTGGATCCACCCTGCTGCAATTGGTACCAGCACCCTGCGTCTGCTACTCCCCAGGCAGATTCTCCTGCTGCTCGGCTTCCTCCCTCCTCCTCCACCTGGGTACCTGATTCCTCACAGGAAATGCCCTCTCTTTAAATTCCCAGGATGGCTTCTGTGTCCACGGTTAGTGCATGACTAGGAATCCCACAACAACTCTCTGGCTTCATTGGGTGTGGACTCTGGGCAGGTCCATCTGGACACCGGTTGGACGTGGGGTGGGCTGGACTTCTCCTACCTGTGACGATGATCTTCAGGGAGTTGCTCTCAGCTGACCACTTTGAGGCGTGCTTGTAAATTCCAACACATCTGTAGGTCCCTGCGTGTTCTGGGGTCACAGGGCTGATGGTGATGTTGTTGGAAAGGCCAGTGTGCAACTCATGGCTTCGGGTCCCAGTTGTTTGGAATATTGTCCATATGACAAACCGAAGATGGGAATGACAGGAGAGAGTCACACGTCCTCCTAGGGGAACCACAGGGCTCGGCCAGGCTGACAGGGAGAACTTGTCCTGAGCACCTGGAAGAGAAGGAGGCACAGCCTAGAGAGGGAAATGTGGAGCCCCCCGTCTCCCGCTGTCCTTGGGGGCATTTCCTTCTTTACATTGTTCTGGTTTGCCCTGTAACGTGGGGTCCCCTGATGCCCTGGGATACCTGGTCGCAAGCCAGGGACACAGCCACCCCAGAGTGGACATGGAAGGTCTCCCCAGAACAGAATTCTACTAAGCATGATGATACAATATTGAGCCAAGTTGCTCCTAGTTCTTGTCTACAACAGAAATCTGTACATGGAGGAGAAGGAGGAATCTACCAGATTCAAGCAATACAAAAAACATATCAACTCATTTAACAATTCCCAACACAAGTGCCCAGCACGGGTCCCTGCCTCCTGACAGAGAGTACTCCTACCCTACCCACCCCCAGACACGCTGGATTCTGAGCATCACAGGCTCCTTCAGGAGATTGGATGAGCCTGAGGGGCTGCCTATGGAGGGTTTCTAGAACAAAATGGAGCCTAGGGTCTCCAGAGGACTCCCTTCCTGTGTTCCCAGTGCTCACTGCAAAGCCCACCCCATGTCATCTACATCAGCCTGACTTCGTGTCCACCCTCCCTGCCTGGAGAATCATTTGTGTTTGGCCAACACAGCATCCTAGGACTGGGATAGGACTCACCCGCATGTGGGCAGATCTTCTGGTTCAGGCAGAATCCTAGGCAAAAAAAAAAAAAAGAGAGGAGAGAGAAAAATAGCTTGTCTTCATGTGAATCCTTCCCTCCTTGTAACTGGGTTTGTCAGCTCAGCCTGGATTCAGAGGGTGGATGAACCTGGCTTCCCACCACCAGACCTGGGTTGTGGAGAGGCCAGGTCTTCAAGAGAGCATTTTCCATCCCAACCGTGTCCTCCTTTCCCTTCCAGGACTTACCCAGACACAGGACGGTGATGAGTTTGGGGGCCATGGTGCCACTTCTATTGGGCAGGACACAGGGGTTGAGCTAAATTGGAAAATGAACAGGATGTGGTAACCATGGTTCCAGTTTCAGTTTGCAGAGTTTAGAGGGTGCCCCACACAGGAAGATGACCAGCTCTCACCCTAAACATAGTGGGTGACACAGGAAACTTGCAGACGGTATTCTTGGTTCAACAGAGCCCCTAACAAAGGCCTGACTTGAACCCTAGCACCGACCAATCCATAATGTCTATATTTCAAATTTAATTTTTCTATGTGCAAAAGTGTAGAATTGTATCTTAATATCTTATTGCCTTTTTTGAGAACTATGCATGATTTGATTTCTGTGATGCAAGGTTCTCCGCCAAATTAAAATAGATGCACTGTCAGTGTTGTAAAACGGTTGTACAGTAAAACTGAAATGTTTATCCTGTCATTTTCAAAGTTGCAAATTAATTACTTGCAAATTAAGAACAATTTTCAAGTTCTTCAATTTTTCTCCTATGCTTCAAGAAGTTAACACCAAGAAAAACTGATTTTGCATTATTAACACAGAAGCGAGCGTGAAAATCCTGGTTCTTGATGTTTTCTCTGAAATCCTTTCTTGACTCACAGTTCAAGACACAGATCTCTATCTTTCTCTTCCAGAAAACTCTACTCTCTCTATGTGTATATTTACATACATATATAAACTCTGAATAACACAAACATATGTGCATATAACGCTGAAGGTTCTCCCCAAAAGCCAATTCATTTTATTAAAAAATTAGTAAGATTATAGCAAGAAAAAAAGCCCTGTGAAATCCACACTGAAAAAAAACAGCATATTCATAAAAATAGTATCAACTCATGCTTTGTCTCTCATCTGTCCCAGAACTTCTCAATGTATGAAAACCACACACATACAATTTTGGATCTTTTCTGTGTTATTTTTGTAAATATGTGTCTCTGATATCATAGCTATCATCTGGTAATATTTGTGTGTGTGTATGTACGTATATTTTTACGTTTTAAATATAACACAAAAGGATAGTTTGTTTTGTGTTTTTGATTGTAAAATGATACCGCTATGCTCCTAATGCTCTGCATAGCTCTTGTTTATTTAACAACAGACAGACTGCAGTAAATCGCTTGCATATTCCTCAATGTATTTGTCCTTTTGGGCAGATATGATGTATGTTTTCACCGGACATTTTGTTTTTTGGAGCAATGTTTGCCGGAGCATTCTTGCCTGAGTGTCCTGGGTTTTATGAGTGAGTTTCCCTGAGTACACACCCCAGGGTGGGACTGCAGGACATGGGGAATGTCAAGATAAAAATAAACTGACAAAAACACATGTTTTACAGAGTGATGACCCCAAAACTGCCAGCAACCGTTGTCAGATTCTGTTGTTTTTTCCACTTCTCAGAAAATACCTGATTACAGATGACAGAGGATGAACTTGATGTTAACATTTACTTAAATATATTCTACAATAGAAAAATATGTTGAATAAATGCTGTGATACAAATATCTGTACCTGTAAGCAAATGTATCACCTATGAGAAATAATTTTTACAAATCAATGGTGCCATTTATTAAACATTGTGCTATGTTTCATAAAATGTGTTATAATTGATTGACTTGGAAGTGAGATTTGCAAAGTTCAAGACCTCAGTAGTGGACAGTCACCCTGCAAGCAAACACACGGGACAAATACCCACTTAAAAATATGACGCATGCATTGGTTAAAAATGAGGAGAACTTGTTAATTGACGTTGCTAAATGTACTTCATGGTGTTTACGGGTTTCTTGCCAGGAAGACAGCTTAGCAGTGTTTACACATTGGGATGAGGCCAACAGCTTTATGAAGTAAACTGTTTTAATCCAGTGCAATTTTTATTTAGTACAAATTAAAGTTCTAAGAAGTAAGCGTACACTGGACTGTGAGAACAAGACACAGCATAAGTAATAGCAGAGGGGCCATGGCCTTTGAAGAAGGAAAATTTGAACACTGATAACTTCAAAAGTTTGGCTTTTGAAGGTGAGGGTTAAGTCCATAAAAATTTCAAAGCGTTCCATGAAATTGGAAATTTTTAATTTTATATTGAAGAATGTGATTCTGTGCTTTTTAAAGCAGTGTTGAGAAGTATAAATAATTACAGGAGTTAATTTGGGATATTGATGTGGGGCATATTTTGATTACTGAATTCAATACCTAAATTCGCAACTCTTCACTAAAACAAGCTCTACTAAATATTGAATGCCCTTGATGCATTACATGGTAATTAGTATGTCTTTAAACTATTTTCCTTCATGAATTATTTCCAGAAGGACCCACATCATCTGTAGATCTTAGGTATATCGTGCAAATTTTCCAGAAGTGCTGCCCAAACAATAAATACAAATAGTTGATGAATTAGGTAAAGAAACAAGGCTCTTGCAGGCAAGAGCCAGTGGTGAGTTTCGTGTCCATTCATGATGATTTAAAAGGTTCTATTCACTTGAGGTACATTTAAAGAAATTTCGTAGCCTAATCTCCTAACAGGCTTATGGATTCCTCTGGAAAAACATATAAAAGAGTAAATTCAGAAGGTCAGAAATAAGCCATACCTGAATTTTTCAAATATGGATCCTGGACAAATAAACTAGATCCTATCTATTCCTTGCTTGCGTTCTCTTCTTCAAAAATTCCAATTTTAAAAACATTGGGTGTTCTTGATCTGTCTTCATATGACTGTACCCTGGCTGATTATTTTTTAAATATGTATATGTTTCCATCCCTTTTTATATACTTTCTGCAAGCATGCCTCTCTCTGTTTCCAGCTACAGTTACTTTATCTTTTCTGTATTTTAATATGTTTCACTTATTTAATACATTTCTTATAAATTCACGAATTTCTTTTTATTTTTACCTCACTTTTAGCATCATTAAAATGAGGGAAATAACTCTTCTAACTTATATAACATTTCTATGTTTTGGTGTTTTAATGCATTTTATTTATTTATTTATTCATTTATTTATTTTAAGACGAAGTTTCACTCTTGTCGCCCAGGCTGGGGTGCAGTGGCATGATCTCGGCTCACTGCAACCTCTGCCTCCCAGGTTTAAGAGATTCTCCTGCCTCAGCCTACCGAATAGCTGGGATTACAGACCCCCACCACCACACCAGCTAATATTTTGTAATTTTAGTACAGATGGGGTTTCGCCATGTTGGGCAGGCTGGTCTCGAACTCCTGACCTCAGGTGATCCGCCTGCCTTGGCTTCCCAATTGCATTTTATTTTTGAAAGAAACTCGAGGTGCCTCAAATTTCTCTGGGGCTATCTCATATTTGTATCACTTTCACTTTCTGAATAGTTTCCCTTCTTATACACAAAAATTTTATTAGGGTATACTTACGCTTTGCTTTTTCTTTACAGCAACCATGACAGTTTAAAATCTGATTACTCTTCATTGTTAAGAGGAATGAGCTCCTTCCTCAATACTAACGTGAAGTAGGCAGCACCTTGAATTCTGGTCATCTCTTATCTTCAATTGGTGGAGGGAAGTCAACACATCCCAATAAACCTCCAGTTTCTTCTGCCCATTGGACAATTTCTTCTGCAGTTTTGCCATCTTGGAGCAAGGCAAAATCTGCACACAAAATAGCCTCTTCCATCGGAAGCTCTGTGAGCTATCGTCACCATGCTTACATTAGATCTCTAGAACATTTTCATCCTGCATAACCAAACTTTGTAGCCTTTGACCAACGTGTCCTCATTTCCCACACTCAAAACCCGCCTGACTATAGTGTAAAAAGACTGTATTACACACCTGAAATTTGCTAACAGGATACGTCTTACATATTCTCACCACATAAAAAAAAATGAAGACAAAAATGATAACCCTGTGAGGGGAGAGACACTTTCTTGTTAGCTCGATTGTGGTAATTATTTCACATACATCAAAACATCATATTCCACCCACCAAATATGTACAATTTGTATATGTCCATAAAGCTTGAAAGTATTTGTTACGATCATTGTCATTCTCTCCTTTTGTTTTAATAATAAAGACATTTAATGTTTCACTTCACAATAAGTTTTGAGGCAGGTAGTGCCAGTGTTGTCCCAGCAACCTAGTGACACTGGGGTTGTGGGTTGTGGGGTTCGGCGGAGGTATTCCTGGGATTCTCTAGGCCTCATATCTTTTTATAATCAATGTTATTTTGTTTATTTTAAGTTCCAGGGTACATGTCCAGGACGTGCAGGTTTGCCACATAAGTAAACTTGTGCCCTGGTGGTTTGCTGCACCTACAAACCCATCACCACACGGCCTGTGGCCCCTTGGCTTTGGATAATTTCTCCCATTTGGAATGGAAACATTCACCCAGTGCCTATATCCCCATTGTATCTTGGAAGTAGCTAACTTGTTTTTAATTTTACAGGCTTATACGGGGAAGAGACTTGCCTTGTCTTAGATGAGACTTTGGACTTGGACTTGTGAATTCATGCTGGAATGAGCTAAGACTTTGGGAACTGTTGGGAAGGCATGATTGGTTTTGAAATGTGAGAAGGTCACGAGATTTGGGAGGGGCCAGGGGCAAAATGATATGATTTGGCTATGTCCCCTCCCAAATCTCATCTCGAATTGCAGTTTCCATGTATTGGAGGGGGGCCCAGTGAGAGATGATTGGATCATGGGGGCAGATTTCTCACTTGCTGTTCTCATGATCATGAGTTCTCACAAGAGCTGGTGGTTTGAAAGTGTGACACGTCTCCCCTGGTTCTCTCTTTATCCTGCAGCCATGAGAAGAAGGTCCCCGCTTCCCCTTCAACATCCGCCATGATTGTAAGTTTCCTGAGGCCTCCCAGTCATGCTTCCTGTTAAGTCTGTGGAACTGTGAGTCAATTAAACCTCTCTTCTTCATAAATTACCCAGTCTCAGGTAGTTCTTTATGGCAGTGTAAAAATTATCTTATACACCAAGTTCTTTTTTTTTTTTGAAAGGTGTCTCGTGGCTGGATCTGGCAGCCTCCCGAGTAGCTGGGATTACAGGTTTGCACCACCATGCCCAGCTAATTTTTTGTATCATTAGTAGACACGGGGTTTCGCCATGTTGTGCAGGCTGGTGTCGAACTCCTGACCTCAGGCAATCCACCTGCCTCGGCCTCCCGAAGTGCTGTGTTTACAGGCCAATGTTCTACTACCTAGATACAAGTACCACAGGTCTTTGTGGTTTTCACTGTTAATCTGTGTCATTAAAAGTGATCACACATATCAGCTCTACTTTCTACTGTTTTGTCCATTTCAATCACTGTCAAAAGGATGGAGTTTAAAGATATATCATTACTCAGCTCTTCGTTTTGGAAGATAAGCAATTACTGCCGTTCACTTAACAATAATATAAACATGCAGAAATATCATAGTATTTTCTTTGGTATGAAGAATAGAGAAGAAATTTGTTTGTGTTCTCTAGGAACAAATTTCTGGGATGATGGCAGTGGAGTCAGCAGACACCTGGCTGAGGAGGAGTTTGGATATGAGCAGAGGCAGGAGCCATCGCATGGAAGATCTCGCGAGAGGACGGGTCTTCCGCGTGCCTTGAAGATCTCGGGAGAGGACGGGTCTCTTGAGTTGGGTGAAGATCTCGCGATAGGAGGGAATCTCATGCTAGGGGTGAAGATTTCGCGAGACGACGGGTCTCCTGCATGGGGTGATGATCTCGCGAGAGGACCTGTCTCCTACGTGGGGTGAAGATCTTGCGAGAGGACGGGTCTCCTTCCTGGGGTGAAGATCTCGGGAGAGGCCGGATCTCCCGCGCGGGGCGAAGATCTCGGGAGAGGACGGGTCTCCTGCGCAGGGTGAAGATCTCACGAGAGGATGGGTCTCCTGTGTGGGGGGAAGAGCCACACACAGAGAAGCCCAGGACCCTGTGCATAGAGCAACAGCTTTCAGATGATGAGCTTTGGTTAGAATAGTTTCCTAAAATTTGAGTCTATGGGATATTTTGCAAGTTGTGGTTGACATCGATATCATCAGACAAGTGTCCTTCGCTGACAGTACCAAAAGCCCTCTAAGTAATGTGTGAAAAGCAATTTCCTTACTCTTCACTTGCAGATTAACGGAGGCATTCATCAATGCACAGAGGCAAAACCAGTGTCCTCAGAGTATCCAGACCCTGAAAGCTGAAAGAAGGAATGAAAAACCTGCCTCTGGAAGTGGCATTGGCAAGGTATGACCACAAGGAAAGCAGCATGAGATGCTCCTTCCCTGCTTCAACCATGCTGAGACCTGACTCATTGGTGGACTAGAGAAAATCAAGGTGGGTGTTGGAAGATGGGAACACTCTAGCGATTGCGAGTGAGTAGCTGCTTCCTTGGTCCTAGAAAGCTTAGGACTGTTTTTTTGGTTTTGTTTTTGTTTTTTTTGAGACGGAGTCTCACTCTGTCCCCCAGGCTGGAGTGCAGTGGCGCGATCTTGGCTCACTGCAAGCTCCGCCTCCCGGGTTCACACCATTCTCCTGCCTCAGCCTTCTGAGTAGCTGGGACTACAGGCGCCCGCCACCGCGCCCGGCTAATTTGTGTGTGTGAGTGTGTGTGTGTGTATTTTTAGTAGAGACGGGGTTTCACAGTGTAGGACTCTTTGACATTCATGTTTCTCAGTGTTTCACCCAAATAACCCACGCTAAGGAGCAAGATCCAATATTCTCCATAGCAGAATAATTATTTTATCATAGGAATATTTACATTTGTTTTATGCCCTTATTTACATTCTCTGGATGAATACGAGAGATGTTAACAAAGAATCACTCCAGATCAAAACATCCATAATTGTATTGACCAGTATTAAACAGTGAAGAGAGAAAACACAATTCCTTGCCAAGATCAATTGATTGAGAGTCTTGTCTTCAGCTTTGGTTTCTCCAAGAATTTTCAGCACCTACCCTCCCAGAGTATCTTGTTTTCTCAACTGGACTGCTCATTTCTATCATTACTTTTGAAACAAGGTCCAAAAGGTGAACAAGATAAGAGCTACTTTCACGTAGGTCAGAGGGGTGAACGGCATCAGAGGCTTCAGAAAATCTGAGGCCGAGGGATGATAAAAGTCCAACTAAATATTTGCAATGACCTAACTAACTTAGTATCTGCCTCATGCACTTCCGTTTCTCGATTAAACCAATTACTTAAACATGAAAAATTAATGCAAAATAATGTCAAGGTTTTATTTGAAATGATTAATTAAAAACACACATCTTTAATGGGAATCTGAATGTTAGCAAGCACGGGTGAAAAGGCCTTTGTGTTGAAGCCAGCGTGGAATTCCTGAGCTGATCCATAGGAGGGCATATGCTCAGGTTACCCATCTGGGTGAATCAAGCTTCCTGTTGCTTTACGTTATTCCAGACACCCCATTCTCCCAATCCTCCAATACTTGTGAGCTCTCCATGCTGAAAACAGTGTGAAGGTCCTATTAGTTTGGACACAGGCTTCACCCTGTGTGTCTAGAATTCTTGATCCACATCCACCCATAGAATAAAGGGAGCGTTTATATCTCTGCCATGAATAGATTTCCCTGCCTGCTTCAAACCTGTCGACACAACCCAAGGGCAAGCTTTTCATTTGCAGTGATTCAATTCTCACCTGAGAAGATCTGTGAAATTGAGGCTTTGCCCAGGAGAGGTGGCTGCTTCCAGCCCTGGCCCATTGAACCCAACGCATTATGTTCATCCTTCATTTTTCCTTCTGACTGCCTGGAATAGGGACAATGACAGTGACCATGACAGGGGATGTGGGTGATGACCTCCAAAGTCTATCTCCTATCATCAAAATTCTGGCCTCACTTCTGGAGCCTCTGGAGAGGTTGACAGGCTGGCACTTCCACATGCAAACCTTTCTGTGTGTCTCCTATCTGAGCTGAAGATTCCTCATCTCTGATTCCACCTTTCCTTCACGGCAGGGCTGGAATATGTGGTATTCTCATCTGTACATAAATAGACACAATGGTTTATAACCCTTACTCGAAGCATACGTTCATTCAGATACTTCACTCCAAGTTTTAGATAAATATTATTACTTTATAAATACCCACATACACTCAGGACAGTATGTTGTCTTATTTACAGCAAAAGAAATGGATCCTTCACATTTCCCTCACCCCAGGACTTTTGCACGTGCTCTTCTCTCTATCTCAACTTCCATCCCTCTCCCCACACCTCATATCACTGTTGAGTGCAAATATCACCAGCTCCAAGATTTCTTTCCTTACCACCGTAGGCAAGTAGGCTTCTGTATTAGTTTTCATGGTTTAGTTTTAACATTTTCTTTCATAAAATTTATCATTGATGTCATTTATTTCTATTTCTCCACTTTTTCATTGTTTCTCCTCCAGTTCCCACCATGAAGACACTCTTTGTGTCTACAATATACCGTAATTGTACGAAGTGAGGAGCCCCGTACTTGGCACACATTTAGTGATTAGTAACTATACGGGGAATTACCGAATGACTCAATGAAGAATGAATAAATGAATGAATGAATGATTTGGGGCCAGGCAGTGTCTCACACCTGTAATGCCAGCACTTTGGGAGGCCAAGGTGGGCAGATCACTTGACATCACGTGTTTGAAACCAGCCTGGCCAAAACCAGCTGGTGAAACCCCATCTCTACTAAAAATACAAAAATTAGCTGGGCATGATGGCTCATGCCTGTAGTCCCAGCTGCTTGGGAGGCTGAGGCAGGAGAATCACTTGAACCCAGGAGGCAGAGGTTGCAGTGAGCCAAGATCTCACCATTGCATTCCAGCCTGGATGCCAAGAGTGAAACTCTCTCTCAAAAAAAAATTAAATTAAAAAAATACAAAAATTAGCCAGGTGTGGTGGTGCACACCTGTAGTCCCAGCTACTCGGGAGGCTGAGGCATGAGAATCACTTGAACCCAGGATGTGCAGGTTGCAGTGAGACAAGATCGCTCCACAGATCTGGGTGACAGAGCAAGACTCTGTCTCAAAAAAAAAAAAGGTGGGGGGGATGTGGAAGGATTCTTTCCTAGAACCTACAGAGTGAGCATGGCCTCCTTGACACCTTACTTGCAAACTTCTACTTCCCAGGATTATAAGTGAATTGATTTTGTGGTGTTAAGCCACGCAGATTGCAGGACTTTGTTAGGACAGCCCCAGGAAGCTAACACAGGTGGCAAAGCATTGTGGTCACAAGACTGGGTTCTGACCTCTGCCAGCCTGGGCTCATTCCAGGATCTGCGGCCTGTTTGCTCCGTGACTCTCAGCCTGCTGCACAAGCTGTGAAGCTCAACCTCCTCATCCTGTAAGCGTGGGTGATATTAGTCACTTCCTAAGGAGGCTTATGTGAAGACGTCACTATTTATTCCATTTAAAACTTCATAAAACTGCATGCCACTTTGTTAAGTAAAGATAATCCAACACAATCAACATGCTATTTTCATTCATACACATTCATACACTCAGTTACCAAGTCTGAGTCCCTGCAGTGCAGTGAACGGACTAGGTATACACAGGGTCTGTGCAGGGACACAGTCCATGTCCAGTATGACGACTGAAGCAGAGAGTGGCGAAGTGGGCTTTGGAGGCCCCCAGATCTGCAACCATCACCTCCAGGGGCACTTTCTGTCTGATGCATCTGGAATACCTGGCGTGTGTTGGGTGCATGCAGCTCTGGGATCTCGAGGTGCCTGGTATATGCTGTGTGCAATCCCCCAATTGCTTATGTCTCTGTGCAGGGCTGGCTTCACTGTCCAGGAGCCGTGCCATCAGAGTTCCAAGCTGAGTTTAATGCCCTCGTGTTGACATCTTGATGTTTGAACATGGGGCCCTCTATTTTCATTTTGCATGGGGTCCAGTGGATTATATAGTCAATGCTGCAGGTATGATCTTGCTTTAGGATTTGTCAGGCTGATCTGAGTTTGTGATCTCTGTGTGCGTCTCACCTGGGCAAAATGGACAAGGAGGAAATCCCTGAGCCAGGAAACTGAGAGCAGAGCTGAATATCCCAGAATTCAAGGGGGAAAGCAGCAGGAGAGGTTGCTGGCTTGATATACGACAGATTTTAAGTGTGCCTTTGAATACTGAATACATCATCAACTCTTCCCTCTGTGTCTGTCCATTTATAGTCCATCCATGCTTCCATCCATTCTGCCAGCATATGTCTATAAATGTCAACCTTATTTCATACAATTAACCAAGAATGAAAAATAAAGCATACGCTTCACTGACATGGATCCTGTCCTGTGAGCCCTGCTAGTCTAGGGGATGTGATAGATGTCTAGAAATAACTACAAAACAGGTAACTACGCACTATGACATTCGTATGTGGAATCATTCCTTGGCTATGGGTGATTAGAAAATAGACTGGCATAGCTCTTCTGTTGCGGAAAGGGAGTCATGAGGAAGTGATGTTTGAGGACACAGGTGAGTGGTCAGGAGGAGGCACTGAGGACACAGGTGAGAGGTCAGGAGGAGGCACTGAAGACACAGGTGAGAGGTCAGGAGGATGCACTGAGGACACAGGTGAGAGGTCAGGAGGAGGCATTAAGGACACAGGTGAGAGGTCAGGAGGAGGCATTGTCTATGTTTGCGAATCTCTCTCAATATCTGTTTCACATTCTCTGTCACTGTCTAACTTGTTTTCTCTTTAACTATCACAAGTTCTCTGTTTCTCCCCCTTTCCTTCATCCCCTCCTCTGGCCCTCTAATAAGTTACTTGGTGTTTCTATGTTCTGGTATTTTTCTTCCTCTACTGGCGGTTTGATCAACAACCACATCACCCTGGGGAGTTTCCTGGGCACCAAAAGACCACGAATGGTCCAGCCACACTCACCTGTGATCACAATGTCCAGGGGGTCATTGGGAGCCGACCACTCATAGCGGGAGTGACTGAAACAGCCACAGCACCTATAGGCTTCTGCACGGGCAGGCGTTATAGGACCCATGGAAAAGACAGCCTTGAAGGAGTGATCCCCAGCCTGGATCATCCTACCATACTGCTGGGAATGTTGTGTGTGCCCCTCTTTGTATAAGATAAATTCATCAAAGGCCAGCTCTGAGTGACAGCGCAGGCTCACGCTGGCTCTTGCGTGCACCAGGGGGCTTGGGTGCGCTGAGATGCAGGGTTTTGTGAACAAGCCTGAGAGCAGAGACAGAGGAGTTCACATGAGTCTCCTTCCTCGCCCCTCGCCTGAGACCTCAGGGTGAAGCTGTCCCTCGTCACCCCCAAAGCCCGTCTGCGTCCTTCCTGTTTGTGTGCGTGCATGTTCTCTCTGCGTGGATTCCCATTGTCTGGCTTGAAGCCATATGAAATGTGTGGTTCTCCTGGAAAATGGGAATTAGTCTGTGCTTTGAGAACTTTCAGAAAACACACTGTAGTGAGGAGGTAGAAATGAATCAGAGGTTTTGAAAGAGAAGAATGAAGAGAAGGTGCTGCTAATTATAGAACAAAGGAAGTCAGATGAAGGAAGTGTTTGGGAGGAACAAAACCACACACTCGGGCTTGGAGGGAGGCTCTGCTTTCTCTGAGGCCAGTTATCCATCTTATAAACACCTCCCCTGCCTGCTGCTTCTCCTGGGGTCATCCATCCCGAGACAGCCCCATCGGCTCCTCCAGTGAACCAAGGCAGAGACTGGAGCAACTCTCAGTTCCTCACGCTCTTCTGCTCCCCACACCGTGAACAAATCCAAACAGCTCTTTCCCCCAGTCCCTCCTCACCCACGTCCCCTGACCCATCCTCACAGTCCAAGCTTAGCTGGAGACTGAAGACATCGTGTCTCTGTCACCACATCAGCCTCCTCCCAGCCCCCTACTCCAGACCCTCACTGCTGCTGACGTCTATTAATTCTCATAGCCCCAAACTTTCCTGTTTCTGGCCCTGATCAAAATCCTTCCACAGGTCTGCATCTTCATCCAAATAAGACACAAGCCTTCCTGTTTGACATTCGTATTGCTGATGATCAGGACTGAGCTAAACTCTACAGCCCCAGAAAACACAGCTCTTCCCTACAGAGCAAACTCAGCACAGAAAACCACCTGGCCCTCCCCAGAGACACACACACACCCTGAGATATTAACACATTTGTAGGCCAGGCGCAGTGGCTCACGCCTGTAATCCCAGCACTTTGGGAGGCCAAGGTGGGTGGATCACAAGGTCAGGAGTTGGAGACCAGCCTGGCCAATATGGTGAAACCCTGTCTCTACTAAAAAAATAAATAAAGAAATACAAAAATTAGCAGGGTGTGGTGGTGGGTGACTGTAATCCCAGCTACTCGGGAGGCTGAGGCAGGAGAATCACTTGAACCCGGGAGTTGGAGGCTGCAGTGAGCCGAGATTGCGCCATTGCACTCCAACCTGGGCGACAGGGCAAGACTCTGTCTCAAATATATATATAATGACAAAAGTATTGGCAAGGAGTGGCAGGTGTATACCATAGATGTTTGGGTAGGAGAAATCCTGACTTGTTGAGAATCATCCTTTTCTACCCTATCCCCATCCCTTGTACTCTTTTCCTTTTTCTCTTCTCCGTTGATGCTTTTGGTAGTGTTTCCATTTCTGTCCAACAGCTTTGTGACTCTTCCCTTAGGCAAGAACCTATAGAGTTCCCTACAGGACTTTTCTACTCGCCGTGTCCACAATGAAAGTCAATATTGCTGCTACCCTCTCCCCAGGTCTGCAGTGCCTTTTGGGTATCCCATCCTGGAAATCAGTTTACCATTCCCACAGTCATCTTCTTATTTTATTTTATTTTTTTGAGATGGAGTCTCTCTCTATTGCAGGCTGGAGTGCAGTGGTGTGATCTCGGCTCACTGCAACCTCTGCCTCCCGGGTTCAAGCGATTTGTCTGCCTCAACCTCCTGAGTAGCTAGGGTTACAGGCACCTGCCACTATGCTTGGCTAATTTTTGTATTTTTAGTAGAGATGGAGTTTAGCCATGTTGGCCAGGCTGTTCTCGAACTCCTGACCTCAGGTGATCCACCCACCTCAGTCTCTCAAAGTGCTGGGATTACAGACGTGAGCCACTATGCCCAGCCAAATCTCCCTCTCTTTTAAAAATTTATCTGGCCAGGCACCATGGCTCACACCTGTAACCCCAGCACTTTGGGAGGCCAAGGCAGGCAGATCACGAGGTCAGGAGATCGAGACCATCCTGGCCAACATGGTGAAACCCCATCTCTACTAAAAATACAAAAATTAGCTGGGCCTTGTGGTGCATGACTGTAATCCCAGCTACTCCAGAAGCTGAGGCAGGAGAATCACTTGAACCCGGGAGGTGGAGGTTGCAGTGAGCCAAGATCACACCATGGCACTCCAGCCTGGGCGACAAAGCGAGACTTCATCTCAGAAAAAAAAACAAAAAACAAAAACAACAACAAAAAACATGATCCACGTTTAATTGCTTTCTTTCCCTGAACACTCCTGGAGGTTTCTCCTATTGCCCCAGTGCGCAGCCCTTCCATGGTCAACAATGAAAATTTTAATTTAACCTATTTGGCTCAACCCCTCACTCCAGCAATTGAGAATAATTCTCCTCCTAAATCTTTCCCCTTGTTTGAGCCTGTAGCTTCTCATAGCTACTGATGCTTCCGAATACACTGCTCTCTCATTTGAGGATGCTCTCTACTCTTTCCTTCCCCTCTTTTCCTCTCTGGATCAATTGTCTATATTTTTGGTACCATCTGAGGGGTTTTCATGGCCAAGGGGCTTTCCTTCACTCCTTAGGAAAAGATAAATTGGTATCTCTTTTGCGTTTCAGCAGCGCCTAAGCTTCTGGTAGCAGAGTCTTATCAGTGCATTGCAGATTTCTCTGTCAGAGTCTGTCAGGGGCAGGAGCTGAGTCTGACTCATTTCCACATCACCTGTTTCCTATACAGGATGTGGCACATCAGAGTCCCGAGTCCCAGGAGATGTTGCTGAGTAAATATTTGAAAAAAACAAATGCCGGCATCCGTCCAGGCTAAGTCTGTAAGCTTGAGATGGGGAGCCCAGAACTTTGGAAAGTAAATCAGGGAATATGTCAGATGTCCAAGGACCTTCAAGAAAATGTTAACAATGATTCATAAAAACAGGTATTATTACTGAGCAAAGTTTATCAGGCTCTGTGTAGCCACAAAACTATGATAATATTATCATCGTTTTTAGAGTAACATTATAGTAGTGATCACAATAGCCCACATTATTGAGTGAGTCTAACAACATGTTCAGAGTTTACTTTGCACGTCACATGCAGTAACTATGTGTTCTCCACCAAAACTCTATATAAGGTAGGTACTGGCATTGCCCTCATTTTATAAATGACAAAATTGAGTCAAGTGGGTAATTTTCCTAAATCTCATAGTTTTCAGAGACAAAGCAATGATCATATCCCAGCCTTCCTGGCTCCGGAGCCTTCCCTCCTAGCTAAACAGAGAGGCAGAATATAATAATCCCCGATCATCCGTCTTCCAAACATGCTTACAAAGCAGACAGCATTATTAGTGCCATTTTATGGAAAAGCAAAGTGAGTCTTAGACAGGTAATGTGACTCTCCCAAGCACATAAAGATAGCAAGGTCAGATTCAGGTTTTGAAAGCAGTTTGGTGTGATTTAAAGCCTGTTGTCGTTTGGCCATTACCCAATAGCTGGTATCTTGAAAGTCCGGGAAGAGATATTCTCAGCTAGATTGGAGAGAACCAACTCTTTCTGACACCCTGGATTATTCTAGTTGTCCTGATGAGTGTGGGAGCCCACATTCTGAGCTTTTTTTTTATGTATATACTTTAAGGTCTAGTGTACATGTGCACAATGTGCAGGTTTGTTACATATGTATACATGTGCCATGTTGGTGTGCTGCACCCATTAACTCGTCATTTACACTAGGTATATCTCCTAATGCTGTCCCTCCCCCTCCCCCACCCCCGACCCCACAACAGGCCATTCTACTTGCTTGCAGAATCCATGGAATGTAAGGGTTATTTTTTTTCCAAAAACATCGCCTTAACAACTGGCATCCTCTTTTTCCAATTTACCCTAATGCCTGAATATTGCCCTGAAAAAAAAGTTACTGATTAGATTTTTCCAGGAAGACTCTATTTCAGAGTCCCAAGATAGGGACTCAGCATATGCAAATGATCAACTAAGAGACGACAATGGAGAAAGCTGTGTGGCTTCCTGGACGCTGGCCATGGTGCTGAAACTACAGACAGGCGCCAGCATCCCAGTCAGTACTGTAAACAGTAACCGCAAGAACCACTCTCCTTGGACTGCATC
Source organism: Homo sapiens (assembly GCF_000001405.40). Taxonomy (NCBI): domain Eukaryota; kingdom Metazoa; phylum Chordata; class Mammalia; order Primates; family Hominidae; genus Homo; species Homo sapiens. Next base: position 499,910 of record NT_187693.1, on the reverse strand, counting down.
CAGACAGGGGAAATAGGAATGGTGTCTAGATATAGGACCAGATATATTGGGAACATTTGGAATAGGAGTCAGAATTTAGCAAGAGGTGGAGAAGCTCAAGGTGTAGATGATGTTCATATGAACTATGGAATCTTGACATCTGGATAAGGCCATTTTTTTTTCTACTGTACACCATCGTGGGCAGAGAGGAAGCAAAAAGGGAATCACTCTGGCCTTGCCTTGGTAATAGAAAATAGTGTTTTGTTTTGTTTTTTTTTTTTTGAGATGGAGTCTCACTCTGTCACGCAGGCTGGAGTGCAATGGCATGATCTCGGCTCACTGCAACCTCCGCCTCCCTGGTTCAAGTGATTTTCCTGCCTCAGCCTCCTGAGTAGATGGGATTACAGGCTCACGCCACCATGCCCGGCTAATTTTTGTATTTTTAGTGAAGACAGAGTTTCACCATGTTAGTCAGGCTTGTCTCAAACTCCTAACCTTGTGATCCTCCCGCTTCAGCCTCCCAAAGTGCTGGGATTACAGGCATGAGCCACCGCGCCTGTCCGAAAATAGTGTCTTATTTCAATGCACTGTGTGTATAAATTATGAGCATGATAAGATTCTACTCATATTGGGACTTTGCTACTTGCTCTACAAATACTATATCATTACTTTTTATTGTAATAAAGTACGCAAACATAAAACTAACCATTAACTATGTAAAAGTGTACAAATCAGTGGAATTTGGTGCATTCATAATCTTCTTCAACCATCACCTCTATTTAGTTCCAAGTAATCTACAACACCTTAAAAAAAAAAAGGCCACACACTTCAGAGAAAACAGAGCCAATACTGTGTGTGTATGTGTGTGTGTGTGTGTGTGTGTGTCCCTCTCTCACTGGGAGAAGATATTCTCCGCTAGATTGGAAAAGACCAACTCTTTCTGAAACCCTGGATTACTCTAGTGGTTGTTTTGCTGAGAGTGGTTTGTGCAGACGTCGGTCGGCAGAACTTCTTGGACTTCAGAGTCTACACACACCCATTTAGGTCTTGGATGGTGGTGAATTCTCACCTAGGACCCTGATTCATCTCTCTTGTCAAGACACAGCACAAAACACGTAACTAAGGAAGGGTGGTCTCCTAGCCCCCATCCGTAATGAGTCTTCCCATCATCTCCTGTATAGTCAGGAAGTCTGCACCTCCCTCCCAAGCCACTGAGGAACTGGGGGCTTTCTGCATTTCCTTGTCTTTTTAGAGCTTCTCTTGTAGCTCTAAAGCCCTTTACATTTCAGTGGATTCTCATGCTTCTCATATCTTCTGTCTCTTAGGGCACAGTCCTTCCAGGTAGTTAAAAGCATCTGTCAGATTCCGAAATCTCCAGTCACTGCCAGCCTCATCTGAAATCCCAAGTCACCTGCTCACAGGATGGAGGAAGCGGAGGACTCTGCTCTGTCCTGGGGTTCCTGAGGCCTGCAGTGATGTTCCATGCAAAGGGCCATCCCCAAGAGGATAGGATGGACCAAGAATTAGGAACATGCAGAGAAGGGCTTGAGACTTTTTAGGGTCACAGGTGAGAGTGACTGGCAGAGGCCATGGGTACGAGAGGTCTCCCAGCAGAGCTGGGGTCCTAGGGGAAGACACTCCCTTCTGGTTCTTGGGGTCAGCAAGGTGTAGTCTGATAGAGATGGAGGACAGGTTCTCACTGTTGGCTGTGGTGTCCTCCTGGGAACAGGTGGGCTAAGCCTCTCCAAGGGCACAGACCTGTGGGTTTCCCCAGACCTCACTCTCAAGCCCAGGAGAGACCCAGCCCCAGTGGTCACATTTCTTCAAGAAGAAGAGAATGAAGCTCTTGGGTCTGTGATCCCTCCATGAAGCAAGGCCCATGAGCTTTGTGATTCTTGGTCTAAACCCTCCTCCCCAACACCTGCCCAGGCTCTACGTTCTCCCTTCAGATAGACGATCTCCTTGACCATGCTCGACTCAGGCTCCTCTGAGCTCTTTTCCAACGAGCCCTGACCTCTGGGCTTCCATGTTTATCTCTGCTTTGCCCAATTTTAGTAAGAATTGCAACTCTTTTCCAATTCTTACTTAAGAAAGAATCCTGCAGAGTCAGTTTAACTCTAGATATCTGATCACCCTTAATCAGATGGTTCACAGGTAAGAACCTTCATTCTCCATCAGCCTCAGGTGATGTCTGGCCGCCTTGGCCTGCCTTCAGCAAGAATCCTGCTGGGTCGGTTTAGCCAGGGTCTTCTTAACCCCTGAGGACTTCTCTTAGCAATTTTCCACTGACTGACCCCGCTCACCCTGCTCCAAGGCTACAAATTCCCACTTTTCCTGTTCTACTCAGAGTTGAGCCCAGTCTCTTTCCCACACTGTGCAATTCCATCACCATGGTCCCTGTACCTACAGCAATAGTCCTAAATAATGTCCTCCTTATTGTGCCTCAACAAGTGACACTGGATTTTTTTTTTCTTCAACACCCTGCCCAGCTGGTCCAACGGTCTGAGAAAGGGAAGTCCAGACACCTGGCCTCTGCTCTGGACAGAAGCCGAGAAGTGGTCTGCAGATCAGGATGCCATGACTGCCACTCTGGGCATCTCTCACACGCTCAGCGTGTCTCAGTTCCATGGTGGGAACCACTGTCCTCAGGAAAAGCTGTTTTCTTTCTGTGTGAAAGTAACCACCCGAATCCCCAAGGAAACAGGAAGAAAAGGTCGGCAACAAAATACCTATTAAAATTCTCCACATTTTGGCCAGGCACAGTGACTCTCGCCTGTAATCCTAGCACTTTGGGAGGCCAAGGTGGGGCAGATCACTTGAGGTCAGGAGTTCGAGACCAGCCTGGTCAACAGGATGAAACCCCATCTCTACTAAAAATACAAAAATTAGCCAGGTGTGGTGACACATGCCTGTAATCCCAGCTACTCTACTCAGGAGGCTGAGGCAGGAGAATCGCTTGAACCTGGGAGGTGGAGGTTGCAATGAGCCAAGATCATGTCACTGCACTCCAGCCTGGGTGACAGAGCAAGACTCCGTCTCAAAAAAAAAAAAAAAAAAACCACATGCAAAGAAACTGAAGCACAGTCCATACATAGCGCCACTGACTCCCTATCAAATGTGAAACATTTTAAGTGACGTTTCTCCACATGGAAAAGCCTGGTGGAGAGAGAAAGGGACAGGGCATGTTATCACACAAACCAAGCATTTTTCAGGAGGGTGTGCAGTGTGGGATGTGCTACAAACTGAGGGCTCATTGCGGACGTGCAACAGAAGGAGGGATGCTTCTGGTGAATTTTTAACAGAACAAGCAGTTTATAAAAGGGCCCGTAAAATATTGACCCTGTTGGGGGGGGAAGCCTGTTATATATGCATGATAAAACAGAGAAAAATAAAAATAGTCAACGTTTACCTGGCATTTTCGATGGAACAGACTCTGGTTTATTTCACTGAAGCATCATCAAAAATCCAATGAATTACATTTCTTTCCTTAGGTAGTTAATACCTGAGGAGTTAAATAGCATTGCACGCCAGTGAGGATTCCATCCGTGTATGTGTTGGTGTGGCTTCACGTGTGTGTGTGCAACAGATCAGCGTGCACTCAGTTCAACAGAAGAAATACGTCTTCTATGGAGCTGGATGCAGTGGCTCACGCCTGTAATCCCAGCACTTTGGGAGGGGAGGATCACGAGGTCAGGAGATCGAGACCATCCTGGCTAACACAGTGAAACCCTGTCTCTACTAAAGATACAAAAAAATTAGCTGGGCGTGGTGGTGGGTGCCTGTAGTCCCAGCTACTCGGGAGGCTGAGGCAGGAGAATGGTGGGAACCTGGGAGCGGAGCTTGCAGTGAGCCGAGATTGTGCCACTGCACTCCAGCCTGGGCGACAGAGCAAGACTCCGTCTCAAAAAAAAAAAAAAAGAAAAGAAAGAAAAGAAAGAAATACGTCTTCTATCATTGATGTCACTCTTCCTCATAAGCTGCCCCTGGTGAACACGCACACACTCCCTGGAGTTTAAACTCAGCCCTTCACAATCATTTTTCACTTTCTTTAGTATGATTTCCCCTTCCCACTTTCCCTCTCTCCTGAGCTCCTTCCCAGGGTAGTGCCCAATATGGAGGAAGCAGGGTTCAAAGGTGATGCTTGGGACAGTGGTTCTGTGCCCTCCTGCTGGCCTTTGGGCTTTGGGCCTGAGCTGACTGGGGTCTGTGGGGTTTGCTTACTAGATTGCCGGGGGGATCCCACTGATGTCTGTACCTGATAGCCATTTGTCCTTCCTTCCTCTCTCTGCTCCCTCAAGGCCTGGGGACCCTTCTTGTTGACTCAATGTCCACTTAGTCCCAGGGATTCAGGGACATTTGTGAGTATCTGCTGCTGCCCCATCTGGCCCAAGTGAGGCCTCCCCTCCCCTCCATGTTGGGCCCCACTGCAGCCCCCTGATGTTCACCCCCAGGACACTCCTCAGGGGAATTAGGGTGCGGTCATGATCACAGGGTGGGCCTTCCCTCTCTGCCTGGCCACACTGCACCACCGGGTGTGTTAAACGTGGCTCCTCCTCCAGGTGGGCTTGGGGGCGGTGGAGCAGGAGGTACATCCTCTCCATACAGCAGTGTCCCCAGACCCATCGCGCTGAGTCCCAGCCCCTGCATTGGGCGGGTTGGAGGATCCAGAAGAAAAGATGAGTCGCTGCCTCTGCTTTTCTGTCCTCTGCCTGGACCCATCCTCTTTCCACCAATCCCCACAAAAGAACAGTTGGGTGCTTTTGTTTAATTTCCCCTAAACCATGACTGTCCTGCTTTTCACTGTGGCCTGGCTGCCTGCACATCCTGGACTTCCTTACACTGGAGCAGGTACGGGGGTCGGCTCAGCCCTCCTGTGCTCTGCAAGGGGTAGAAAAATTCACACAGCCTCCTCTGCTAAGGTCAAGCTGCCACCCTTTGCTGAAGGCCTCATTTACCCACCTGTCCACCTCAGGGTCCAAGCCAAACAAACAAGACGTGATGGGAGAAGACACTGCGCTAATAGTTGAAAAACAACCAGAGAGAAGAAAGACAGAGATACAGAGATGCAGAGACACGCACACCACACACACACACAGAGAGAGCAGGGAGAATGTGTCCCACATAAAGAACAGAGAAAATCAGTCATCATGTAACAGAAGAAGGCAAAAATAAAGAGCACAGGTCTAGGAAACAGATCCTGGAAGGAAATTAAACTTGAGCACAAATAGAAAATTAAAGCTCGGCCGGGCGCGGTGGCTCACGCTTGTAATCCCAGCAGTTTGGGAGGCCGAGGCGGGCGGATCACGAGGTCAGGAGATTGAGAACACGTTGAAACCCCGTCTCTACTAAAAATACAAAAATTAGCCAGGCGTGGGGGCGGTCGCCTGTGGTCCCAGCTACTCGGGAGGCTGAGGCAGGAGAATGGCGTGAACCCGGGAGGCGGAGCTTGCAGTGAGCCGAGATTGCGCCACTGCACTCCAGCCTGGGTGACAGAGCGAGACTCCGTCTCAAAAAAAAAAAAAGAAAAGAAAAGAAAATTAAAGCCCAGTACAAATTAAAATTTGAGAGTATGGCAGGGCAGAAACCTCCCAGCGCGGTGAGCTGCAGCCTGTCCTGGAGTTCAGGCAGCCCCTGCCCCTGAGACCTGGCTAACCTTGGAGAGGTTGCTCCATGTCTCAGTCGATAGTTTCTCCGAGGAAAGGGGGGAAAATAATAAGGCACGCTGAGGACAGTGTGTACAAGGACTTAATGTGTCGATATTTGCATAGAACTAAATTAGCAATTGCCCCATAGAAAGAACTGGCTGAGCTCTTGTTGAAGTTTTAAAAATTATATATATCGGCCAGGCGCGGTGGCTCACGCCTGTAATCCCAGCACTCTGGGAGGCTGACGCGGGCGGATCACCTGAGGTCAGGAGTTCCAGACCAGCCTGGCCAACATAGTGGAACCCCGTCTCTACTAAAAATACAAAAATTAGCCCGACGTGGTGGCGCGTGCCTGTAGTCCCAGCTGCTCGGCAGGCTGAGGCAAGAGAATCGCTTGAACCCGGGAGGTGGAGGTTGCAGCGAGCCGAGATCCCAGGCATCTGGCGCCTTGCAGGCCGCCCGTCATCTCCTCCAACCTTCACCCTCCTCTGCACAGTGCACGCCACTACCCAATTCCCAGGTGGCTAAATGCGGTCCTGAGGGGCTCCCCCAAACCCAGGGTCCGAGCCAAGCGTCCCTCTTCCAGGAACAGCGTCCCTCCCCTCCCCCACTGCCGAGGCAGCATCTTCAATATCCTTCAAGAAAGGCAGACATTCTCTCTTGGAATGTCCTTCCCTCCTGCCTCCTCCACGGTCCAAGGTCCAGGACACCACCCGTTATTCTACACCATGACTTCCTGGGCTTGGTCTTCATAACATTTGCCACCATTTAAAATTACATATGTATTATATATGTGCAATATTACAGTTTTTATATTATTTATAGTTATATGTATCATGTATTATGCAAACGTATAATATATAACAAATATATATTAAATTATGTAATCTTGACATATACATCATAATTTAATGTATATAATGTTAATTGTATATGATTTATACTTATAATATATGTTGCATATATTCACTATAATATATAATGTATAATGTATATTACATATAAACATATAATTAAATATAAAATTTTTCTATTATAATTATAATCTATAAATAATAGATAATATATATTTATGTTTGTACCTGTTTATTAATTATAATAACACCTGAAATTTATTGTACTATATATTGTAAATAAATCTTTCATATAATATAATTATAGTGATATGTGGTGATATGTTAACATATTTTTATTATATAATTATGTTCCTTATATATGTAATACATTACGTGAACATATTTAATATAATTGAAATGATAGGTCTGAAATTCTCCATTGCGAATCGTATCTTTTTATTTGTATATGTATGTATAGGCATCTGTGCATTTCTATTGCTCATTCTAATTATTTCTCCCCATTGAAGTTCACAAGACGGGAGGCCATTTCTCCTCATTCATGGTGCATCAAATCCGGAGGCTTCAGTGCCTGGCACAGTCCCTGTGAGGACAAAATACTTCCTCAGTATTAATAGGAGCATCCCTCCTTTGGGGTTTTCTAATCAGCACTGATGTCAGCGCCGTGTGTACCTGAACTCAAGTCTGCCCTAAACGATTCTACCAGGACAGCTCTTCTATTGCCTCTGTTTCACATGAGGAATTTGGGACACAGGAGGTTTGGGTGAGTCACCGTCAGGCATAGAGCCAGGGGGTGGCAGAACCACCGGGATTTGAACCATGAACCCAGCAATCTGGCTGCAGGAGGGTCTGCCCTCGTGACCTTTATATGTCACTGCATGAAGGTGAGAGAAGAGAGAAGGAAGGAGAAGAAGAGAGGGAGAGAAACAGAGGCAAGATATTCCCGCAGACAGAAGGCTAATAAAAACCAGACACTGGACTTGAACCAGGTCTGCGGGACTCAGGAGCATGTCCCGCTGTGCCCCAGCAGCCCAGGAGCCTCTGAGGGGGTCCGGATGGAGCACGGCATCGCTCCTCCCACCTCCCCATGTGGCTTCAGCCCCTGGTCCCACCTGCCTGAGCTCACAGCCCGAGCCTCACAGGCAGTCACCGGGTCTAGGTCCAAGGACGTACTCTGGGGATAGAAACCCAGGTGGGGAAGGGGCCGCGAATGGCTTATGACCCCGTGTCCTCCCCTGGCAGTTTCTGGTCACAGATCACAGGCGGAGATGGACAACTTGAGACCCAGGGACTTGGGGCAGCTTCACTCCCATCACACAGAGTCCAGGGGCAGAGCCAGAGGCAGCTTCTCTCCCATCACAGAGTCCAGGGCAGAGCCAGATGGAAGGGAAGCCTCATGGCTTCATCCTGGTCACCGTTCACAGCTACGTCCCCTCCCTGTGGAGCCCTCCTCCTCTTAAGGGACCTTACTCCACCGTTCAGGCCTCCCCCGGAGATCACAGAGCCAACAGGAGCAGCCCCGTCCCTCTCCGGGTGTCCCAGGTTGGAAGGTGAGTTCTAAGTCCCTCCATCAGGTGCAGAGCGGGGTGAATGGTGAGGCCACGCCCACAAGGGGGCAGCGTGGAGCTCGGGCGAGCCCGGAAGTCTGGGGTGGGGCTGCCCGGGTGGGTGGCCCCTGCCCCTTCATGGCCTTGTGCCGTTAAGCACGAAACTTTAATTTATGTTTTGCATATTAGAGAGGAGGAGGAGTTAGAGGATCAGACTAGTACCTCCCCCATTAAGTGGTGCTTGCATTAAGTGCTTTCCACAGTTCCTGGCATGGAACAAGGTTGCAATCACGGTACCATTGCTGCTATGGTCTCTGTGAGCATTAGCGACCTCCCAGAGCTTGGTGGGTGTCGGTGCCTTCCCGTGGCCTCCCTAGACCTTGACTCCAAGCCCAGGGCAGAGGGCTGGACCCGGAACAGCATCCGCAGCACAGATTCCCCTGTAATCCCCTCCAGCTGAGGGCCCTGCTACTGACCAGCTGAGGAGCCGGGCTCTGTGTCCGGGGAGTCCGGGCCTCCAGAGCTTTCTGTAAACAGGGGCAGGAGAAGGATTTAGAACCCGTCCCAACCAACCTGCCCTCCTCCACCCTGAGCCCCCATCCAAAGGCCGCATGACCATCACGCAATCCCAGACAATGTCTCGAGACTCCTGAGAAAACGGGGCAGGGGACAGGAGGCTGGGGAGAGCCCCGCTGCTTGCCCCATTCTCCCTGGGGCTGGTCACTCCCTCTGCTCCTCCCACCACAAGCTCTTCTTGACCTCAGGGGACTGCTGAGGTCCTGGGGGGACATGAAGATGGGTTGGATCCTCTCCAGTGGACTTTGACTCCAGGACATCTCGGGCTGAGCACACACAGGAGTGCATGTGGTCACATACCAAAGGTTTTCCCAAAGCACTGTCCCGCCCTGGTCAGGGGCCATCCCTGGACCCTGTGTTCTGCCCAGTGGGAGATGAACCACACCAGGAGAAGCACATTGCCTGGGGCAGGTTCTGGCTCAGTGGAAAGGAATAACAAATGGGACCATCAATCCTGTGTGAAAAGACACTCATCCCCTTGTAGGGGGGTTGCCCCCTAATCTCTGGGAACCCACTCCCCACCCAGCCAAGCAGAGCCAGCTCTGAGCCAACCCAATGCTGGGACTGAGTGTCCACGCCATCTGTGGCATCCAGAGGAGATCAGGGCTCCAGGGACCTAAGCAGGTGTGAGGGCAGAGGGGAGGTGTGTGCAGAGGAAGAAGGGGAGGGCTTGGGGTCAGGAAGAGGGCAACGGTGGCCACAGAGAGAGGACAGCAGCCGGGACAGGGTCCAGGGACCTCGGGACAAGCTCGAGGGTTGAGCTGAGACTGGGGCAGGGCCCAGGTGACGTCCTTACCTTTCACCAGCAGCTCCAGGAAGTCACTGTGCTCAGACCATCCAGGGGGCTTATAATAGAGGCAGCGATAAAGCCCGGCATTTCCTTCACTTACTGAGTCAATGTGGAATCTGGCCTCTGACTCAGATGGACCAAGTCGAAACACATTATAACTATCTTTGTACTTGGCTCTATCCTCCCTCTCCAGGCGGAATGTTTGAACCCCAACCGGGCCCCGGCACATGAAAGTCACATGGCTCCCCGGGGAGATCACAGTGCCTGGCTCAGCCGAGATGGAGGGTCTGGGAAGGGCCCCTAAGAGGGAAGCAAAGAAGGATCTCAGCGTCCACTGTAGGAAGTCACCATGCCACACACGTCATTTTAGGATCACAATTCAGGGATTTTAGCAATTTTATAGAGTTATGCAGCCACGACCACAGCCCAACCTTAGAACATTCCCACGCCTCCTGCACCTTCTACGTGCATGTGATTCTCATCACTGCAGAGTTTTTTCCCAGTTGACAGTGAGGACCCTGAGACTTGCTCACAACTTGGGCCTTGCTCAGGGTCACGTGGGAAGTGTCGGAGCAGCCTGGAGCCCTTCATGCCTGCTGCAGAGCCCAGGGCCACTTTCTAGAGGGACAGAGGGTGGGAGGGAGGCACACGATGGGGATGACAGGGTCATTCGTGAAGGACAAGGGACAGGGAAGCGAGGGCTCTGGAGATGGCTCGTGCTGGGGCCTGAAGGGCACTGGCCGGTCCCCGGGTGGGACTGAGTGTGGGACGGGGGTTGCCAGGCTCCTTTGAGGGTCTGGTGGGGTGAGGGTGAAGCCCCCAGCCCTGATCTGCTCACAGCAGATGCCCAGCCCGTGACAGGTCCCCATTGCTAATGCAGATCTCTGTGGAGACACCACCTCTGGGTTTTCCTCATAGTTTCTACTTTCTTCTCAGCTTAATTTGCATTTCCTTGTTATTAAGGCTCTTGAAAAACCCCATTTATCTCAACTGGGCTTGGGGTGGAGGAGGAAGGGCGGGTTTGACGCCCTGAAACAGGAAGGTTGTGTCAAAATTAGCAAAATCCCTGAGCGGGGCAGAGAGCTGGCAGGGCTTCAATTCACTCGTCCCGTCTTCATTCATTCCTTATTATTGACAAATTAAAACTGCATGTATTTAAGGTGTACAACATGATGTTTTGATACAGGTATACACTGTGGAATCGCTGAATCAAGCTAATTAATATAACCTCACTTTGCGTAGTTAATTGTTGTGGTGAGAACATTTAAAATCTGCCCTCTTAGCGATTTTCAAGCGTATGATATATTGTGATTAACTCTAGTCATTATGTTACACAATCCTGAACTTACTCTCCCTGTCTAGACGAAATTTTCTATCCTTTGACCAGCATCTCCCCAAACCCACCCATTTGTTCATTTTTCTTTCTTTTAACCATATCTCAGTTACTTATCAATCTGTTTAAAGACGCTTTTCATGAGCTGCTAATTCCGCAAATGTGAGAAACACATACAGGATGCCTGCCCTTTGGAGGTGGACGTCTAGAAGGGAGGACAGATATTGATCGAAGAATTGTCCAAATCTGCAGCTGCGAACTGCAATAAGTTTCCTGTGGGTAAGTGTGCAGGGATCTAGGGGACAGGTGGGCGGTGGAGCTGACCTCCTCTGCAAAGTCAGGGGAAGCTCTCTCTGAGCTGAGAGCTGAGGGAGGAGTAGAAACTCCCTGAGCTGAGCAGACAGGGGACACCAGGGCACTCAAAGTGGGAAAATTCCTCAAAGGAAACAAGGTTTTAGTTAGAGAGGAGAAATCAATTGAAGAATCATCATGTACAACACGGTGACTACAGTTAATAACAATGTATTACATTATTGGACATTGCTAATCCAGGTGATTCTAAGCATTCTCACCACAAAAAAATGATTCGCACAGGAGGAATGCCTACGTTGCCTAGCTCGATGTAGCCATTCCTCGCTGTGTGCAGAGTCCACAACATCATATTGGACATGACAAATACATGCAATTTTCATCGGTCAATTTTAAACTGAATTAATTAACTTTTAAAAATCAGACCAGGTGCGGTGTCTCACACCTGTAATCCCAGTACTTTGGGAGGCCGAGGTGGGCGGCTCACCTGAGGTCAGGAGTTCGAGACCAGCCTGATCAACATGGTGAATCCCCGTCTCTACTAAAAATACAAAAACATCAGCCAGGCATGGTGGCAGGCACCTGTAATCCTAGCTACCTGGGAGGTTGAGGCAGGGAGAATTGCTTCAACCAGGGAGGCAGAGGTTGCAGTAAGCCAAGACCGAGCCATTGCACTCCAGCCTGGGCAACAAGAATGAAACACCATCTCAAAAAAAAAAAAAAAAATCAGCATGTGAGAAGAACCACCATGTTGAGCGGCATATGGAGTGTTTGAGAAAGCGAAAGAACCTGGAGGAATGTAGAGATGAGTGAGCCCCAGGTCACAGGGACAGGATGTGGCTGGGAAAATGGGCATGTCCAGAACAAAGAGAGGTGCCTGGGTTGATTCTATCTGAAGATAAACAGGGGAAGGGCTCTAAGAAAAAAACTTCATCTTACGATGAGATATTAAATGAAAATTTTTGAATGCAATTTAAAAACTGTGGAAAGTACAATGGTCATGGTTGTGCTTTTGCAAATCGCCAGTCCCTGGGGTCAGGAAGGGAGCAGGCAGCAGTGGCATGGACAGGCTGAGGCCGGCCTCGGGGAGCCACGGAGGGGAGAAGGGCTGTCACCTGGGGGTGATGCAGGAAAAGTCGATGAAGAGAGAGGGAAAGATGAGAAAAATTTAGAGTGAAATCACCAGGACTGGGTGACATGGTGCATCCAGGAGGATGGAGAAGAGGATGAGTGTTCAGAGTCTGCCCTTTGTGACTGTCACGTTCCCCGCCAAGAAGCTGCCGAGTGAAGTGTGGGCTCGTCTGGGGAAAAGTGCCGGGTTCAGCCTTGGTTGTGTTGGGTTTGAATTCTCATTGTGGAAATCGGTGTGTGGAGGTGATGCCTGCACTCCCAGGGTGACCGCAGCGCTACTCACAGCTGCCAAGACCTGGAAATAACCTGAGTTATATAACCACCACCAAATGAATGGATGAGGAGAATGTGGTGTGTATATGCAATGGAATATTATTCAGCCCTAAAAAAGGAAGGACATTCTGTCATTCACAACAGCATGGATGAACCAGAGGACATTATGCTAAGTGAAATAAGCTGGGTACAGAAAGACAAATACCGCATGTGGAATCTAAAAAAGTTCATCTCGGCCGGGTGCAGTGGCTCATACCTGTAATCCCAGCACTTTGTGTGGCCGAGGTGGGTGGATCACCTGAGGTCAGGAGTTCAAGACCAGCCTGGCCAACATGGTGAAACCCCATCTCTACTAAAAACACAAAAATTAGCTGGGCGTGGTGGCATGCACCTGTAATCCCAGCTACTCGAGAGGCTGAGGCAGGAGAATCGCTTGAACTTGAGAAGTTGAGTTTGCGGTGAACCGAGATTGTGCCATTGCACTCCAGCCTGGGTGACAGAGTGAGACTCCATCCCAAAACAAACAAACAAACAAAAAAGGTCATCTCACAGAGTTAGAGATTAGAATGATGCTATTAAAGTCGGGAAATGGGGGGCTTGGGAGAGACACTGATCAAATGGTACAAAGTTTCGGTTAAACAGGAGGAGTAAGTTTTTGAGATCTATTGCATAGCAGGCTGACTATAGTTAATAATAACTTATTATATATTTCAAAATTGCTAAAAGTAGGTTTTAAATGTTCTCATCACAATAAGTATGTGATGTGATTGATATGTTATTTAGCCTTATTTAATCTTTCCACAATGTTTACATACGTTGTAACATCACATCGTGCCCCACAAACATATACAATTATTTGTCGATTAAAAATAAGATTTTTGGCTGGGCACAGTGGCTCATGCCTGTAATCCCAGCACTGTGGGAGGCTGAGGCGGGCGGATCATAAGGTAAGGAGTTCGAGACCAGCCTGGCCAATATGGTGAAACCCCATCTCTTCTAAAAATACAAAAAAAAAAAAAATTAGCCAGGGGTGGTGGTGGGTGCCTGTAATCCCAGCTACTCAGGAGGCCGAGGCAGGAGAATCGCTTGAAACTGGGAGCAGAGGTTGCAGTGAGCCGAGATTATGCCACTGCATTCTAGCCTGGGTGATGGAGTGAGACTCCATCTCAAAAATAAAAATAAAATAAAATATAGGATTTTTGAAAATAAGAAAAGCAAAACATGACAGGTGGAGAATGAAGGAGAGAAAGGGGTGAGGGTTATGCATTTTACATTTGGAATAGTTTGCAATCTAGGGTATATTTAAAGGGATCTCTCCAGGCCCTCTAAGAATCAACATCACTCCCACCCAGCACTGCCTTTGGGGTGACAGAGGGGACTGGGAAGACGGGACGAAGGCATGACTTACCCTCCTGCGTGTGGATGGTCTGGGCCAGGCAGAGCACTGGAAGAGAAGCCCCAGTGAGAAAAATGCCCACTGCCCAGTCTCCTTACAGGGCTGCTGTCAAAAGGGGGCTTGACGGAGCTGGGGGGCATTCAGCATTTCATAACGACCAAGCCAACCCTCCTCGACATCACTGTCTCCATGTAATCCTTCTTGCTGCAAAATGGTTTCAAGATAAATCCCAAAGTCTCCTCTTCCAAAAAGGCTCCTGCTCCCCCAGCCCTTCTTTTTGGTGTTGTTGGAGACGGAGTTTTGTTCTTGTCGCCCACGCTAGAGTGCAGTGGCGCGATCTTAGCTCACTGCAACCTCCACCTCCCGGGTTCAAGCAATTCTCCTGCCTCAGCCTCCCGAGTAGCTGGGATTACAGGTGCCCGCCACCATGCCCGGCTAATTTTTGTATTAGTAGAGATGGAGTTTCACCACGTTGGCCAGGCTGGTCTCAAACTCCTGACCTCAGGTGATCCACCTGCCTCAGCCTCCCAAAGTGCTAGGATTACAGGTGTGAGCACCGCGCCTGGCCCCCCAGCCCTTCTTAAAGCTGACCTCATCCCCACACCCGGGCCCCTGTTTTTAGGACAAGGTTGTCTCTGATCAGACTTAGGCCCCAGGGAGAGCAGTAGGGCAGTCTTGGGGGGAGGAGGACACTTTCCTCCCCAGAATCTTCTGGACTAGAGTCAGGCTTGAGCAGGGAACTTTCCAGACCTCCCGACCCCCTTTCCAGTCCTTCCCGCTCCCTCCAGGACTCACCTAGGCCCAGGAGAGCAGTGAGGTGTGGAGACATGGCCCCGGTCCCAGAACTCTGCAGCAGACACAAGCAGACAGGATGTGCTGGCCGGGGGCCTCCTGCCCGTGGGGTTTCCACAGCAACTGCCTCACACAAGAGGGAGAGCTTTCTGTTCTGTTCTTTCCACCCTTCCCACTAGTGAGATGAGAGGGAGGGCCTTGGTTTCTGAAAAATGTCGCTTACCCGCATGATCAGATGACCTTAAACTAGTTACCCGATGTGTCAGCCTCTTTCTAAATCTATGGGACAAGACAGAATAAAGGTCGTGCAACCAACTGACTTGGATGTCATCCCAACTCCACACATTAACGACCACCGCTCTTGGGCAAGATGTTACAAAACTAGAAGTCGACATGTCCTTGTATTTAAAATGAGAGTCATAGAAATCCTTCCCCAAGTTTTTAATATTGTGATCTCTGCTAAAATCTCAGCAAGGTATATAATGCATTAAAAAAGATCCTACAGTGCGCCGGGCGCGGTGGCTCACGCCTGTGATCCCAGCACTTTGGGAGGCTGAAAAATTGTGCACTCACTATAGAGAACAGTGGGGAGGTTCCTCAAAAAACTAAACATAGAGCTACCGTATGGTCCAACAATGCCACTTCTGGGTCTATATTTAAAAGAAACAAATTCAGTATGCAAAGAGCCGTCTGAACTCCCCTGATCACTGCAGCACTATTCGCAATAGCTAAGACGTGAAAATCATCTAAATGTCCATTGATAGAAGAATTGATATAGAAAATGTGGTGCACACACAGGGGAATACTATTCAGCCTTAAACAAGGAAGAAAATTCTGCCATGGGCGACAACACGGACGAAACCTGAGGACATCACGCCAAGCGACGCAGAGGCAGAGACCAAGTACTGCATGATGTCACTTACAGGAGATCTGCAAAGTCACCAGAGTCACAACATCACAGCAGGGAATGGTGGTTACGGGGGCTGGGAGGAGGGGGAAATGGGGAGTTATTAACAAACAGGCCTAGAGATCTGCTGCACCACATACGACCCATCGTCAGCAATAACGTCTTGTTCACTTGAAATTTGTTAAGAGGACAGAGCTCACGTTAAGTGTTCTAACAATGATACATAATAATAAATATTATATATAAATAATTATAATTATTACATCTAATAATAATATAATTAATATAATATTATTAGTTAAAATTGTTTATCTATTTTATACAGTCATTACATATATAATTGTTTATATATAATAATACAGCAAATACTATATATATGCAAGTTTATATATAATTGTTAATATATATAAACTATTATAATTATACATATACAATTAACAATTTGTGTGTGTGTGTGTGTGTGTGTATGTGTGTGTGGAGATGGAGTCGTACTCTGTTGCCCAGGCTGGAGTGCAGTGGTGCAATCTTGGCTCACTGCAACCTCCGCCTCCCAGGCTCAAGCAATTCTCTTGCCTCAGCCTGCTGAGTAGCCGGGACTACAGGCGCACGCCACCATGCCCGGCTAATTTTTGTATTTTAGTAGAGACGGGGTTTCACCATGTTGGCCAGGCTGGTCTTGAACTCCTGACCTCATGTGATCTGCCCATCTCAGCCTCCCAAAGTGCTGTGATTACAGGTGTGAGCCACCGCGCCCGGCCCCATTAACAATGTTGTAATTATATATATTATGTATAATACACACACACATTCACACACACACACACACACACACACACACTCTACTAGCATAAGTTCTCTTCCCCTCCTCCTACAGTGTCATTTGGCTCCAGGTGGGAGTGAGGTGGTCCAACAGCACATGCAAAATCCCGAAGGGGTTGAAGGGTCAGGAGACAGTGCTTAGAACCTCGCGTTGAGGTCTGGGGTCAGATGGGCACTCAGCCGGGTGTGGAATGAGGAGCAGGACCAGGACCAGCAGTGCATTTCGGCATCACGGAGCTGAGGGGGACAGAGCCCACCCTATCATGGATTCTCATCTCCGCTGCTCCTGAGGACACTGGGGAGCTTGTCTCCAGGTGTAACCGTCGCAGGCATTGACGAGGGTCTACACCGCAGCCGTTGCTCACTTCTTCCTTACTGACCAAAAGCCAGTTCTGTTTGAGTGGTTGTGCTCCAAGCCCAGGGAGCAAGTGGGAGGGAAATGGAGTTTAGATTAAGGCGATTTTAGCAATCCCATTTTCAGGGTTTTCAGGGCGTATGACCAGATATGACCAATAATAATAAAGCAGAACAGAGCAATGTTCCTGGGAATCATATTTATCTCTTAATAACAGAGGGTTTCAAAAAAGAAAAAAAAAACCACCCTAGGCGACACAGTGAGACTCTGTCTCAAAAATAAAAAGAAAGTTTTTTGCATCAGAATAGTCCAAACATTTCAAAAACATTGAAACATTCCATCATAATCACTGCATTGCAGACTAGTCCTCCTCCCGAGACATGGTGGCTGTAATGATCTCAAGCTGGGATCTCATGGACGGACAGGGGAACTCAAGCTAAACCCTGGCCCTCAAAGAGTTCTGCGCAATGCAGTCCCAGGTATGTTCTTCCAATCTAATCCAACTTTCTGTGAATATGTTAGACTAAGTCCATAAGACAGCAATCCATCCAAAAAATAACAATAAACCAATTAAAACTGCTTAATATAATATATTAAAGACTTTTTTAGGCCAGGCGAGGTGGTTCACGCCTGTAATCCCAGCACTTTGGGAGGCTGAGGTGGGCGGATCACGAGGCAAGGAGATCGAGACCATCCTGGCTAACACGGTGAAACCCCGTCCCTACTAAAAATACAAAAAAATTTAGCCGGGCGTGGTGGCGGGCGCCTGTAGTCCCAGCTACTCGGGAGGCTGAGGCGAGAGAATGGTGGGAACCCGGGAGGCGGAGGTTGCAGTGAGCCGAGATCATGCCACTGCACTCCAGCCTGGGCGACAGAGCTAGACTCCGTCTCAAAATATATATATATATTTTTTTAATTTTTTTAATGCCTAAGAGATATAAAAACTAAGTGAAGGCTATTCAGTCAAAAGTTAAAGAAAGATGGAGTCCCCAGCCTCAAGCTGAATACTGAACCTGGTGCTCACCTTGATGATGATGAATTAACTGAGCTTTATTTTCATGGTTTTGTAAATCATGAGGACAAGGATAAAGTGCAGGGGTACAGAACAGATTCCAAAAGCTTCCGCCTCATCATAAGAATGATTTCAAATCACTCACCAACTTCTCGTGGTTGCAAGGAATACTACATTTGTTTTGAAACTTAGCATTGAACACGAGGCCAAAACACAGCGGCTCCTGAGAATGACCTTCCTGCTTCTGACTCTTCTTTCATGTGTAGAATGGTTTCTATGTATTAGATTCTCCTCCCTGCCTCTTTTCACTTTAGGTCTTCATTAGCGATTTTTAATCAGCTTTATCAAGGAATCCTTGGCAGACAAACTGCCTTCTTTGAATCTGTGCCATTCAGTGAATTCTGACAGCTGTGAAACCACCAACATATCCAAGATTTTCCTCACTACTCAGATGATTCCTCCTGCTGACAGAATCAACATCAAAGGTCACAGAACACATGGGCAGTTATTCTGGGTTTTTCCATAAAAGGGGTGATACAGAGCTGTCGTCGTTCCATATTCTCAAAGGGCCCCTCCACCTTTGCATTCCTCTAAGACTTCAATCCCAGCTGGAGAAGGTCTATGTCCAAGGCATGCTACAGATTCAGCACAGCACAGCTTACTCATTCAAAAACATTACTTGGACGGGGCTCAGTGGCTCACACCTGTAATCCCAGCACTTCGGGAGGCCAAGGTGGGCGGATCACGAGGTCAGGAGTTCAAGACCAGCCTGGCCAACATGATGAAACCCCCTATCTACTAAAAATACAAAAATTACCCGGGCTTGGTGGCGGGCACCTATAATCTCAGCTACTCAGGAGGCTGAGGCAGGAGAATGGCTTGAACCCAGGAGACGGAGCTTGCAGTGAGCCGAGATCATGCCACTGCACTCCAGCCTGGACAACAGAGCGAGACTCCATCTTAAAAAAAAAAAAGAAAAAAAAGTTACTTGATGTGGGATGCACAGGCATAGAGTAATGATTCTCACACTAGACTCAGATACATACACAATATTTGCAACTTAAATTAAACACCAATTAAATGTCAAGTGGAAAGACAACATCTACATAAATAAAATGACATAAGATGCAACGTGAAATGTCATTAAAAGAAGAGTTTGCATTAGAATAGTTCAAATATTTCAAAACTATTCCAGCACCATCACTGCATTGCTGACCTATCTTCCTCCTGAGATGTGGTCGCCGTAATGATCTCAAGCTTGGACCTCGTGGACAGACTGGGGAACTCAAGCAAAACCCCGGTCCTCACAGTTCTGCACGTTGCAATCCTGTGTCGTTCCGTCCAATCTAATCCAATCTCAAGGACCCCAGTTCCTGAGCAACCCTGGCTTGGCTCGGCCAAAGGGAAGCGTCTACAGAATCTGAGTCTAGAATGCCCGGAGGTCTGTACTTCTTGCTGTTTTCAGGAGATTCAACTGCAAAGCCCTCCCCAAGTCATCCACATTGGCTCACGTTTCTGTGCCCCACCCTTCCTGCCTGGGAGGACCCTTCTTGTTCAGCCAAAAAAGCAACCTGAGGGTGGTGTGGTAGCAGGGACTCACCCATTTCTCTTTCCATCTTCTGGCCCGGATGCAACCCTGGAAGGAAGACCTCAGGACGATGATCATCTTCATAGGATTCCCGACCTGTGCCTGGCTTTGTCCTGAATATTAGCCTTGGCAGCCTGGCCTGGGCTCCGATGGTGGATGAACTTGGCTTTCCACGGGCTGCCACCTCCAGCCTGCGCTGTGGAGAGACCAGGTCCTCGGAACAGTATTTTAACCTTGTCCTCCTTTCCCTTCCAGGGTTTACCAAGACATAGCGGGTGTCATAGATGTGAAAAAGCTTCTGCTATACCAGGGTCAGGAACAGAGCAAAACTGAAAACCGCACAGGATGTGGTCTGCCAGGTGCCAGCATCACAGCTCAAATCCTTAAGAAGCTCCAACCGCAGGCATGGAAATAAACAGCTTCTCCCTGCCCTGTATACGTCTCCGATTTTACCCAGGATGGGCTGAGGAAGCAACACAGATTCCCAAATGTTACTTTTTTATTTTGCTTGAGAGCCAAGGCAATATTAGACAAGCCTTACTCCCTAATTAGTGCCTGACAAGAACCATATCTCTGTCCCAATCCTTCTATTCAAAGTAGGCACAATTTGCTTTTACCAAATGTAAAACTCATGTCAAAGCCATGCTGTGAGTATTTACACCAGAGAAATCGGCAAATGCTACACGTCGGGGTTGTTTTTTGTTTTTCTTTTTGCTTTTTTTTTCAGAGAGCTGATTGTCAAGACTTTACCAGCACACTGCTGGTAAATTTCCAAAGGCCAATTTAAAGAAATTTTTTTAACAGAACATGTAAAAAAAAAAATCAACGTGAAGTCAACATGCTCCAGGGAAATCAGAGGCTTGATGAAGCATGACTATCTCTGTAGTGTATACTCCAGCCTGTTTCCCCCTCCTACCTCAGGTACCGTAACCAGCATCTGAAGTCTTATATTCAAATTTCCCTTGCACGGCCAGGCACGGTGGCTCACGCCTGTAATCCCAGCACTTTGGGAGGCCGAAGTGGGCGGATCACAAGGTCAGGAGATCAAGACCACCCTGGCTAACACAGTGAAACCCCATCTCTACTAAAAATACAGAAAATTAGCTGGGTGTGGTGGCGGGCGCCTGTAGTAACAACTACTCGGGAGGCTGAGGCAGGAGAATGGCATGAACCCAGGAGGTGGAGGTTGCAGTGAGCCGAGATTGCGCCATTGCACTCCAGTCTGGGCGACAGAGTGAGACTCTGTCTCAAAAAAAACAAATTTCCCTTGCACTTTTGTATATACAGTGTTATCTCATCGATGTATCAGTTTGGCATGTGTGTGTATATATATGTAGGCTGTCATCTTTAAGATTTATTTATTTATTCATTCATTCATTTATTTGAGACAGGGTCTCGCTCCGTCACCCAGGCTGGAGTGCATTAGCACAATCTCAGCTCACTGCAGCCTCCACTTCCTGGGGTCCAGAGATCCTCCCACCTCAGCCTCCTGAGTAGCTGGGACCACAAGCACACACCACCACACTCCGCAAGTTGTTGTTTTGTTTTGTTTTGTTTTGTTTTGTTTGATAGAGATGGGGTTTTGTCTTGTTGCCCAGGCTGGTCTCAAACTCCTGAGCTCAAGCTCACCCACCTTGTCCTCCCAAAGTGCTAGGATTACAGGCGTGAGCCAACACACTTGAGCCATGCTGTCATTTTGTTGTTGTTGTTGCTGTTGTTGAGACAGACTCTCACTCTGTCACCCAGGCTAGAGGGCAGTGGCACCATCTCGGCTCACTGCAACCTCTGCCTCCACAGTTCAAGTGATTCTCCTGCTTCAGCCTCCTGAATAGCTGGGATAACAGGCACCCACCACCACACCCAGCCAATTTTTGTATTTCTAGCAGAGACGGGGTTTCGCCATGTTGACCAGGCTGGTCTCGAACTCCTGACCTCAGGTGATTCACCTGCCTTGGCCTCCCAAAGTGCTGGGATTACAGGCGCTCAATTTTAATTTTAGTGCAAAGTATAGTTTTCAAAACACTGTTTGCAATGTCATCAAATACAGAATGAGCATGCATCAATGTTTCCTTAATTCATTAATGATGAAATCATCATTCAAAATTCCTATCTTTACCCAAATATTTAGCTTCTTCTGTTGCTCTTCATTTGTTCCTGCGTTTCTCCATTTCCACTGGGATGATTTCCTCTTGCCCAAGCCTTTTATTCTGGCAACCAATGAACTTTACACTCTTTCTATAGTTTTGCATCTTCCAGAATGTCACATAGTTGGAATCAGACAGTGGATACGCCATTTGGGCAGGCTTATTTCGTGTAGTGATATACGTTGAACTCTCCTCCACGTCTTTTCATGACTTGAGAGCTTGTATCTTCTTAGCATGGGGTAATATTCCATTGTCTCGACACATAGTTAATCCACTCACTTACTGAAGGGCATCTTGGTTGCTTCCAAGTTTGGGCGATTATGAATAAAGCTACTGTAAAGATTCATATGCAGACTTTATGTGAACATACATTTCAAACTTCCTTGGGTAAATACCAAGGAATGCAATTGCTGGATTACATGGCAAAGCTACATTTAGTTTTAGAAGAAATTGCCGCACTGTCTCCCAAAGTGACTGTACCATTTGGCAATCCCACCAGCAATGAGAGTTCCTGTTGCTCCACATCCTCACCAGTATGCCAGTATGTGGTATTGTCCATGTTTTAGAATTTGGCCACTCTAATAGGTGTGTCGTGGTAACTTGGTTCCTAAGATACTGATAGAGGTGCAGAACACCAGCTGGGAAGTCAGCCAGAATGAGCTTCTCCTGTGACTTCCTGTCCCACAGCCTCAGAGACCTCGGACAAGCCACTTCACCTATAAACTTCTCTCTTCTTTTTTTTTGAGACAGAGTCTCGCTCTTGTCACCCAGGCTAGAGTGCAATGGCACCATCTCAGCTCACTGCAACCTCTGCCTCCCAGGTTCAAGCGATTCTTCTGCCTCAGCCTCCTGAGTAGCTGGGATTACAGGCACACGCCACCACGACCAGCTAATTTTTCTATTTTTAGTAGAGACGGGGTTTCCCCACGTCAGCCACGCTAGTCTTGAATTCCTGACCTCAGGTGATCCACCCACCTCAACCTCCCAAAATGCTGGGATGACAGGCGTGAGCCACCCCACTCGGCTACTTCCCTTATAAATTTTTCTAAATATAAATGTGTGAATTTTCTTTCTTCAGAAGCCGATCAACCAATATTTATCAATTGCTTATTATCTGCTTGGTGTTTGAGATTCAGGAGTGAACAAAACAGATGCAGCCCCTGCCCTCAACAGAGCTTGAGTCTAATGATGATAGGGACAGGATCAAAGAGCAAATCACAAATTGTTTAGCTACTATTGTGAGGTAAGAGTTAGGGTGACACTAACCACCGTTATAAGTAAGTCTTAAAATACTGGCCGGGCGCGGTGGTTCACGCCTGTAATCCCAGCACTTTGGGAGGCCGAGGCAGGCGGATCACGAAGTCAGGAGATCGAGACCATCCTGGCTAACACAGTGAAACCCCATCTCTACTAAAAATGCAAAAAATTAGCCAGGCGTGATAGTGGGTGCCTGTAGTCCCAGCTACTCAGGAGGCTGAGGCAGGAGAATCGCTTGAACCTCGGAGGCAGAGCTTGCAGTGAGCCGAGATCTCGCCACTGCACTCCAGCCTGGGCGACAGTGCGAGACTCCATCTCAAAAAAGAAAAATTACCGATGGCTTAACACAGTGAGGTTTGGCATCTCACTCATGTAAATGACCAATGAGGGTTTCTCTGGGCAGAATTTGAATTTTCTCCCCAGGATGACTCAGGGACATCCGCTTCTTCCATTGTGCTCACATCATCCCCTTGGGCAATGGCGTCCCATACTTCAAACAGAAAGAGGAGACACAGAAAATATTTGTAAACTTGCAAAATTGATTGACGCACATCATTTCTGTCCAGATTTTTGGCTATAAGTAGTCATTATGGTCAGTCACACATGGATGCAAAGGAGACTAGGAAAAAAGTCCCTTGGTGAGGGTAGCCACCTCCCAGAGATTCAAATGCTTGCACTGTAAGAGGAAGTAGAGAATTCTTTTTTTCTGGTGAGCAGCCACACATCTCTGCCTCACGTGAAAAATAATCTCAAGAAGAAATGTACCTGAGACTGTATAGCCAAGGAGCACGACGTTGTGATACCCTGACTGATGGACCATGTGGGGTGATTGAATCTCCTGATCTTAGAAGGAACTTGCCAAACGAAAGTTTCAAGTAACATCAAAGAGAAACATCTCCATGTTCCTTCTGGAACCCATGCACACCTTAGCTAACCTGCATGGAGTTGTAGAAACCACTAGAACTGAGGGAGGCAGCTCCATGCAAGGGTGACGGCCTTCTCCCCTCCCAGTTCTCTTAGTTCTGGAGTTCGATGAAGGACGGGGTCCACACGGCCCACTCCGTTTCCTCTTTCTCTGAACCGGGGTTGCAGAACCTGAACCCAGACAACCTCTGGGTATGAGTCCGGCCCCAGATCACAGCTGTGGTTTTGGCTGCCGCGGTGGCCGTGACAAAGTCCTGAGTCGTTTGCTGTTGTGGGTATGATGGACAGCTGCGACGTTTTCCTGGACTCCCACTGAAATCTTTAACTTCAAGATCATCTTCTCCATCCCAACAGAACTCATCAGGCCCAGAAGGCTCTCAGCCCCAGAGGTTCCCAGAGCTCTTCAGGTGGAATGTTGAGTCTGCACAAGCCAGGATGGTGACTCTGGAGAAGTTCTCCAGAAAAGAATCAGCATCTAGAGTCTCATGAGTTCCAGGCCCTTAGAAATTCAGACTCCAGAACCACTGCCAAAGTGACCCCCTCAGCCCAGCCCTTCGGTACCCAGCATCCACTGTCCTGAGCCCAGCCCTTCCATACCCAGCATCCACTGTCCTGAGCCCAGCCCTTCAGTACCCAGCATCCACTGTCCTGAGCCCAGCCCTTTGGTACCCAGCATCCACTGTCCTCATCCCAGCCCTTCCGTACCCAGCATCCACTGTCCTGAGCCCAGCCCTTCGGTATCCAGCATCCACTGTCCTGGTGGGAGTCCGCTGTGCTGCTCCAAGAAGACAGACCCTCACCATTACCGGAGAGACTGACCCTCCTGTGTCCAGGTCCTGTGGCCCAGACTCAGCTCTGGAAGAGAAATCTGGATTTACAATGCTCAGTACTTCGCTCAAAATCTGCACTCGATGACGTCTGCAAGCTCTTGGTCCCAACCTGGACTGCGAAGCCTGAGGCTTGGGCAGATAATGCCTTCCTGCCATCATCTCTGCTACCTCTTCAGTCGCTAAGCTCCCACAGCATTGATCTAACCAGACATGGGCCCAGGGAGAGAGCTGTCTTCCCCGCCTCCCAGCCCCAATCCCTCATTCCCTCGCCTGCCATGCCAAGACTGGTCAAGGGAAAGTCCAGGAAGAAAGCATGGTAAGGGGCACCGTGCTGCCTGCGCCCGCCTCGCTGTGCAGATGGCAGAGGCTCGGGATGCGGTGCGCAGAGACTCAGTCCCGACCGTCTTGTGGCTTCTTACCACGTATCTCCCAGGAAGGCACCATGAGGCTTAGTTCTTCCTTCCTGTGACTGGGGTAAAGGAGAGAACTGTCTCCTTGGACATCATCATCCATACGACTGGCCCGAACGTCATCTCTGACCGAAACACCAAATCCAGATGGGCAACCACGGCTGTGGGGTGTGGAGGGGGAATCTGAACACCAACCTGGAGGTCAGACTTGAAGGAGACGGCGACGCTGCCTTCGCCCCATTCACAATATACGACCTTCGATGGGCCACCTCCCCAGTGAGGCTTCATCAAGGGGGCTTGGTCAACTTCCTTTTTGTGTGAACCAAAACGTACATTTCCAGGCGGCTATTAAGGGCTTGAGTCTGTGTCAGAGACGAGCCACGCAAGTCAACGGACCTCACAGTCTAATGTGGAGGGCACACCTCTGACTATTCAAATGTCATATAGGCCGGGCACAGTGGCTCACACCTGTAATCCCAGCACTTTGGGAGGCTGAGGCAGGAGGATCACTTGAGGTCAGGAGTTCAAGACCAGCCTCACCAACATGGTGAAACCCCATCTCTACTAAAAATACAAAAAAAGTAGCCAGGCCTGGTGGTGCATGCCTACAATCCCAGCTACTCAAAAGGCTGAGGCAGGAGAATCGCTTGAACCGGGAGGCAGAGGTTGTGGTGAGCCGAGATTGCACCATTGCACTCCAGCCTGGGCGACAAAAGCAAAACTCCATCTTAAAAAAAAAAAAAAAAGTCATATAAAGCACATTAACGGTAGATTTTAACAAATTAGCCTCGAAATATCTGCAGTTTGTCACAATGGAATGGTCACTACTCACTTGTGTTACACGTCCATATAGGGGCCCCCGGTTGGCAGTTGGAGCTCCTCCATCAGGTGACTCAGGTGCCCAGATTCTTCCACCTTTGGGATCCAACCTCCCCTAGAACCCTGGAGTGCTCTGTCACCAGTGAGGGGAAAGAGGAAGAGAGAATGGAAAGGGCTCATCCGTGCCTTTTAAATAAAAAATCTGAATGTCGCTTATCACTGCTGCTCACATTCCAAGGGTGGGAATTAGTCAGGAGTCCACAGCTGGGTACAAGAAGGATGAAGATAGGGTCCCTCATGGGGCAGCTGCCTCCAGGGACAACTCTACACCACGTAAGAGAGCTGTGAGTTTTGTTGCACTGAGAGCCATATCTGCTGATGTAGTAAGTGCTCCAGAGGAAAAAAAAAAATCCTATGACCTTGTGTGAAAAGGGGACTTGGGCCGGTCATGGTGGCTCAATCCTGTAATCCCAGCACTTTGGGAGGCCGAGGCGGGTGGATCACCTGAGGTCAGAAGTTCCAGACCATCCTGGGCAACATGGGGAAACCCCGTCTCTACTAAAAATACAAAAATTAGCCAGGCGTGGTGGCAAGCGCCTGTAACCCCAGCTACTCAGGAGGCTGAGGCAGGAGAATCATTTGAACCCAGAAGACGGAGGTTGCAGTGAGCCGAGATGGCACCACTGCACTCCATCCTGGGTGACAGAGCGAGACTCTGTCAAGAAAGAAAGAAAGAAAAAGAAAGAAAGAGAGAAAGAGAGAGAAAGAGAGAAAGAGAGAGAAAGAGAGAAAGAGAGAGAAAGAAAGAAAGAGAAAGAGAGAGAAAGAGGAGAGAGAAAGAAAGAAAGAAAGAAAGAAAGAGAAGGAAGAGAGAGAGAAAGGGAGGAAGGGAGGAAGGAAGGAAAGGGAGAGAGAGAGAAAGAGAGAAGGAAAGAAAGGAAAGGAAGGGAGAAAGAGAAGAGAGAGAGAGAAAGAAAGAAAGAGAAGGGAGCGGGGGAAGGAAGGAAGGAAGAGAGAAAGGAAGGAAGGAAGAAAGAGAAAGAGAGAGAGAAAGAAGCAAAGGAAGGGAGGGAGAGAGAGAAAAAAGAAAGGAAAGAAAGGAAGGAAGGGAGGGAGAAAGGAAGGAAGGAAGCAAGGAAGGAAGGAAGAAAGAGAAAGAGAGAAAGAAGGAAAGGAAGGGAGGGAGAGAGAGAGAAAGAAAGGAAGGAAGGAAGAAAGAGAAAGAGAGAAAGAAGGAAAGGAAGGGAGGGAGAGAGAGAGAAAGAAAGGAAGGAAGGAAGAAAGAGAAAGAGAGAAAGAAGGAAAGGAAGGGAGGGAGAGAGAGAGAAAGAAAGGAAGGAAGGAAGAAAGAGAAAGAGAGAAAGAAGGAAAGGAAGGGAGGGAGAGAGAGAGAAAGAAAGGAAGGAAGGAAGGAAAGAAGGAAGGAAGGAGGGAAACAAAAAGAAAAGAAAAGCAAGAGAACCTCAGAGCTGACCCCAGGGAAGCCACCTGCAGTGTGGAGTGGAATCCGGGCTGAGGACTGACGAGCTGGCGACAGGAAGAGCAGCTGGGGGGAGACGTGGACAGAGGAGACAGCTTCTGTGAAAGTCCCCATCAGGAGATAATTTGCCTGTTGTAAGTCGAGTGGACTCCAGATGGAAAAATAATGAAGAAGAATATGTACATTGATTGAGCAGGAGTCT
This sequence comes from Homo sapiens, assembly GCF_000001405.40. Classification (NCBI taxonomy): domain Eukaryota; kingdom Metazoa; phylum Chordata; class Mammalia; order Primates; family Hominidae; genus Homo; species Homo sapiens. Next base: position 472,538 of record NT_187693.1, on the reverse strand, counting down.
CTAAAAGGCCAAGTAGAGTTTTGGTATTTTACCCTCACGAGAGTGGGACAGGTTTTGAGCCTAAGCGTGGCATCATCATATTTTTGTCTAAAACATATCGGTAAGACCTTCCTGAAGTCAGAATTGCACAAGGCAATCAAAGGAAGAGATAACCTTTCTGAGCTCTCGCTCTATGCCAGACACTGCTCCGAGTATCCCTTATGGGTAGTTCCTTTAATTCTCACAACTTTGGGAAGATGTTTTCATCATTAGGCCAGTTTTACAGATGAGAACAGTGACGCTCAGGGAGTTAATTTGATTAGCATCTTGCATCAAGCTGTCCCGGAGGTAGGGCCGACGGCAGCTTACCTGGAATGCTGGCGTTATCGTCAGAAGCATACCACATGCCTTCATGAAAATCAGACTCTCCCTCCAAAATGCAGGTCTAATTTCATAAAATAAGGTACGCTGATAATAAAATGCAATTGGGTAGTAAAATAACAACACAATACAATAAAAACATTCGCCACTCTGTGCCACTCTTCTGATCAGAAACTTTCCAGGACTTCCCGCCTCAGTCATATTGACACGACTGCGTCTTCTGTCTCCCAACTTGGGTTAGTACTTTGATAGCATCTCCTCCGACTCTGCCTTTCACTGACTGTGATGCAGTCCCAGTGACCTCCTTGCTATTCCTAAAAAAACATCAAGCAAGCATCTGCCTCAGGGCTCATCCACATGCCATTCTCGACTGGAATGCTCTTCACCCAGACAGGCACAAGGCTCATCCCTCCCTCTCCTTCACTGTCAACCCCAGTATCTCCTTATCCTTCAGACCTTCTTGGACCATCCTGTCTGAAGTTGCAACACTCCCTCCAGATTTCGTATCACCTCTCGCTGCCTTTTTTCTTTCTTCAGCATATATCATTAATCTTCAGCATATGTGCACGTATTTTACTTATTAATATTGTAGACTATCTGCCTTCCCACTACAATGTATCCCCATGAAACCATAGATTTTTTTCCTGCAGTGTTTCCTGTAGTGTCCCTGCACCTGGAACACTCCCTAGCACATAGTACATAATAAATATTTTTGAATGAATGATGAATGAATAGACATAGTATATAGGGAGTATGGGGAAAGTTATGAGTGCATAACTTGATTTATCTAGTACAATTCCAGAGGCCAGATCTCTAGATTTTAATTTTGGTCGTGCCAGTTATAAGCTCTCTCACTTTAAACTAAGTTTATTTACCTCTCTATTTCTTTGCCTCTTCCTCTGTAAAATAAAAAAGCAATGGTGCCTAACTCATGGAACTGTTGTGATTATTCAGTGAGTAATTATGTTAATGGTACTCAGACTGAAATTACTTAATAACTGGCTATCGAGTAATTTAGTAATAAGAGATTTGTAGGAAAATATTAATCAAGATGTTTGTAGCAATTAATATTAGGTCAAGGGAGTTTAAATGGCTCTTCATTTTTTGAGGTGTTTTTATTTGGATTTTTAAATTGAGTATGTGTTAGCCTTATAACTGAAAAAAATTAAATTATTTATACCTGAGGGAAAAAATAAAATGAAATAAAAGTGCCCCCTTTAAGGAGCTGAGGGTATTGGCTTAGAAAGAACAGGCAAGGTATCAAGATCTCTTTCCTATGACTGTTACCTCCTCATTTTTCCCTCTTGAGTTTCAGTCATGCAAGATGAGGAAGGCCTACAGTCTCCTGTGCGGCTTAGTGTGTGCAGGGAACAAGACTGCCTTGTACCCTTACAAATTTGCTAAGATAGATCTTATGTTATGTGCACTTGTCATCATAAATTGATAGGTGATAATATCAATATTATCAAATAATAACAAATAGGCTGGGCGCAGTGGCTCGTGCCTGTAATGCCAGCATTTTTGGAGGCCGAGGTGGGCGTATCACCTGAGGTCAGGAGTTCGAGACCAGCCTGGCCAACATGGTGAAACCCCGTCTCTACTAAAAATACAAAAATTAGCCAGGCATGACGGTGCGCACCTGTAATACCAGCTACTCAGGAGGCTGAAGCAGGAGAATCGCTTGAACCCAGGAGGCAGAAGTTGCAGTGAGCCAAGATTGCACCATTGCACTCCAGCCTAAATGACAGAGCAGTCTCCGTCTCAAAAAAAAAAAAAAAAAAAAAAGTTCCATCCCAATAACACTTCAAAAACACTTTTGAGTTCTGACTTTATTTCTTCTTATTTTCAATGGAATTCATTCTACTGTTTTCACATTTACCATTCAGGGATATTTGGACAGAATTACACGGCCACAGGTCAACCACAATGACCATGATTCCCTTTCTAAGAATGAGGAACGGGGGCCGGGTGTGGTGGCTTACGCTTGTAATCCCAGCATTTTGGGAGGCCGAGGCGGGCAGATCACCTGAGGTCAGGAGTTCGAGACCAGCCTGGCCAACGTGGAGAAACCCTGTCTCTACTAAAAATACAAAAAATTAGCCAGGTGTGGTGGTGTACACCTGCAATCCCAGCTACTCAGGAGGCTGAGGCAGGAGAATTGCTTGAACACGGGAGATGGAGGTTGCAGTGAGCCAAGATTGCACCATTGTACTCCACCCTGGACGACAGAGCAAGACTCTGTCTCAAAAAAAAAAAAAAAGAAAGAAAGAAAAGAAAAGAAAATGACTTAATGGGTACAATGCACATTATTTGGGGAATGGATAACCTGGAAGTCCTGATTTCATCACTGGGCAATCTTTACATGCAACAAAATTACACTTGTACCCCATAAATGTTTACAAAGTTTTTTAAAAATATAGAAAAATGAAAGGCAAAAGTAAGCATGCTTTCTTAAAAATAAAAAGTAGTCCTAATGCTAGATGACGAGTTAGTGGGTGCAGTGCACCAGCATGGCACATGTATACATATGTAACTAACCTGCACAATGTGCACATGTACCCTAAAACTTAAAGTATAATAATAAATAAAAAAAAAGTAGTCAGACTGAGCCTGACATTACTAAGGGTTCTAATATTGATTATTATTATTTACTTATTTATTTTTTGACATGGAGTTTCACTCTTGTCACCCAGGCTGGAGTGCAGTGGCACAATCTTGGCTCACTGCAACCTCTGCCTCCCAGGTTCAAGTGATTCTCCTGCCTCAGCCTCCTGAGTAGCTGGGCTTCTAGGCCTCTGCCACCACGCCCAGCTATTTTTGTATTTTTAGTAGAGACGTGGATTCACCATGCTGGCCAGGCTGGTCTCGAACTCCTGACCTCAGGTGATCCGCCCGCCTCGGCCTCCCAAAGTACTGGGATTACAGGTGTGAGCCACTGCGCCTGGCCTAATATTGATTATTAATGATTGTTATCATAATTGTTATTTTCATTATTGGTGTGTTGTTATATTTATATGTACAAAACAGCAACAATGGAGAACCCACATTCTTTTCAGGAACATATGAAAAATCTACAAAAATTGACCACTTCTTAATCCACCAAGAAGGTCTCAAAATATTCCAAAGATTTAATATAATGAAACCATATTTCGTGACTGCAAAAATTACATAAAAGACCAAAAATTAAACGTTTAAAAAACACACATTTTTAAAACAACAACAAAAATCTGCATAACTTTTGAGTGACTGTTAAAAAAAAAAACACAGAAGTTGTGACATATTTAGAAATGAACAATGTTATTCATATCGAAACTTAGATGCAATAAAAATCACACTTAAAGTGAAATGTGGATTGTTTTAAGCACACTTTTTTTTTTTTTTTTTTTTTTTTTTTTAGAAATTATGAAGTTTGGGGCTGGGCATGGTGGCTCACGCCTGTAATCCCAGCACTTTGAGAGGATGAGGTGGGTGGATCACGAGGTCAGGAGATCGAGCCCATCCTAGCTAACACGGTGAAACCCCAAACCCCGTCTCTACTAAAAAAATTAGCCGGGCGTGGTGGCGGGCGCCTGTAGTCCCAGCTACTTGGGAGACTGAGGCAGGAGAATCGCTTGAACCCGGGAGGTGGAGGTTGCAGTGAACCGAGATCGCGCCACCGTACTCCAGCCTGGGTGACAGAGACTCCATCTCAAAAAAAAAAAAAAGAAATTATGAAGTTTGGAGAATTAATCACTGAACATGCAACTTGAGGAGCTGGAATGAAAAAAAAGAAGTAAAGGGCAGAGAGGAGGAAGCCAGCCAGCAGTGACGCTAGGGAGAGAGAAAAAATGCCTCCCTAAGGGCTCACCGCACTCACCAAGCTGCATTATCTCAAAGGAAAAAGAAAATAAAGAAGACCTCAAAGGTGGGAGAAAAAACACAATGGTGTACTAAGTTTCTATTATCATAATTACATCAGACTTCTCATCAGTCAGTCTGGAATTTAGAAGACCAGGGAGAAATATATTTGAAAATGCCCCATGGGCCAGGCTCCTGACTGTAATCCCAGCACTTTGGAAGGCAGATGCGGGCAGATCACCTGAGGCCAGGAGTTCGAGACCAGCCTGGCCAACATGGTAAAACCCTGTTTCTACTAAAAATACAAAAAAATTAGCTGGACCTGGTGGCTGGCGCCCATCATTTCAGCTCGGGAGGCTGAGTAGGAGAATTGCTTCAACCTGGGAGGTGGAGATTGCAGTGAGCTGAGATCGCACCACTGCACTCCAGCATGGGCAACAGAGTGAGACTTGTCTCAAAAAAAGAAAATAAAAAGAAAATCGCCTATGTACTTTATGGAGAGATCCCAGAGTGTATTCTTAGGGATTAAATCTGTATTGTGCCAAGAATTGGGGGAATCAGAATATACATTCATATTGTCTCATATTCACCCAGAAACAAACACTGGAAGGATTAATATGAGAAAGTTAAAATTGTGGCTCTCCCACGTTTTCTTCCCCGTCCACCACCTGGACAAGCTGCAGTCCTAGAAATCGCCTCAACTGCTCCTCTTTCTCACCCTCTCCCCTTGTTCTACCTTCAGAATCTGTCCTCATGCAGACACTGCTTGCCAGCACCACGGCGCCAGGTTCACCCTCTCTCCCCTCGTCCAGGGAACATCCCCTAGCTGGTCTCTCCACGCTCATTTCGTGCTACTCAGCTGCCCCTCCCCATATTGTAGCCAGAATAATCTTTCTTTTTTTTTTTTTTTTTTTTTTGAGACGGAGTCTCACTCTGTCGCCCAGGCTGCAGTGCAGTGGCGTGATCTTGGCTCACTGCACCCTCCACCTCCCGGGTTCAAGCGATTCTCCTGCCTCAGCCTCCCGAGTAGCTGGGATTAGAGGCACCCACCACCACGCCTGGCTAATTTATTTGTATTTTTAGTAGAGACGGGGTTTCACCATGTTGCCCAGGATGGTCTCGATCTCTTGACCTCATGATCCGCCCGCCTCAGTCTCCCAAAGTGCTGGGATTACAGGCGTGAGCCCCTGCACCCGGCCCCAGAGTGATCCTTTAAAAGCATAAATCAGATTATGTTTTGTTACCATTGAAATCTCCAGTGACTTCATAGTACACATGGCCCAAAACCCAAACTCTGTGACCTACGGGACACTTACTCATCTTTCCAATTTCACGTTGGTCCCTGTGCCCCTCACTCCCTGCCCTCAGGCCACATGACATTCCTGCTGTTCCTTGAAGACACCAGGTCCCTCCCTGCCTCGGGGCTCCGCGTCTCTGCCTGGGTGCACCGACCTCCTGCTTTGCACCACAGCCTCCAGGTCTCTGCTCAGCATCATCTCAGCAAGAAGAGCCTTCCTAGACCACTGTGTTGAAAGAAGTCCACTAGCCCGACACCCATTCCTTCGCTAAGAAGATTCGTCTTCATTTCCTCTTGACGTTCATCCTCCTTTCTAATTATCCACTCATTGACTTGTACGCTGTCCCTCTCCCGCCGTTAGAATGGAGACTTCACTTGGCCAGGGAAGTCTTGGCTCTTCTGTCTTGATCATCACTTTATCACTGGTACTTAGGGCCTGGCACATAATAGATGCTCAGCAAACACTTGTAGAATGAAGAGCAGTGAATTAGAAACATATTGCCCATCACTTAATGGACACTTAAATATTAAATAAACAATGCCCTGCCCCCCACCTGCCCAGTGCAATGGAATACTGTGTGGTCATTAAAAATGATGGTGCTGTTTAACTTTCATTGACATGGAAGATACCGAGGATTTTGTTGAGTGAGCAAAACAGGAAAAAAAACACGTATATAGAGGCCACATGTAAGTTAAATTACATATGCATGTTTATACACATGTTTATGGAAGGAGAGATTTGTAGGAAAATATTAATCACGATGTTTGTAGCAGTTAATATTAGGTCAAGGGAGTTTAAATGGCTCTTCATTTTTTGAGGAGTTTTTATTTGGATTTTTAAATTGAGTATGTGTTAGCCTTATAACTGAAAAAAATTAAATTATTTATACCTGAGGGAAAAAAAATAAAATGAAATAAAAGTGCCCCCTTTAAGGAGCTGAGAGTATTGGCTTAGAAAGAACAGGCAAGGTATCAAGATCTCTTTCCTATGACTGATAACTCCTCATTTTTCCCTCTTGAGTTTCAGTCATGCAAGATGAGGAAGGCCTAGAGTCTCCTGTGCGGCTTAGTGTGTGCAGGGAATAAGACTGCCTTGTACCCTTACAAATTTGCTAAGATAGATCTTATGTTAAGTGCACTTGTCATCATAAATTGATAGGTGATAATATAAATATTATCAAATAATAACAAATAGGCTGGGCGCAGTGGCTCGTGCCTGTAAGGCCAGTATTTTGGGAAGCTGAGGTGGGCTTTATCACCTGAGGTCAGGAGTTCGAGACCAGCCTGGCCAACATGATGAAACCCCGTCTCTACTAAAAATACAAAAATTAGCCAGGCATGATGGTGCGCGCCTATAATATCAGCTACTCAGGAGGCTGAAGCAGGAGAATCGCTTGAACCCAGGAGGCAGAGGTTTCAGTGAGCCGAGATCGCACCATGCACTCCAGCCTCGGCGACACAGCGAGTCTCCGTCTAAAAAAAAAAAAAAAAAAAACAAAAAACCCCATCCCAATAACACTTCAAAAACACTTTTGAGTTCTGACTTTATTTCTTCTTGTTTTCTTATTTTCAATGGAATTCATTCTACTGTTTTCACATTTACCATTCATGGATATTTGGACAGAATTACACGGCCACAGGTCAACCACTATGACCGTGATTCCCTTTCTGAGAATGAGGAAGGATGTGGTCAGTGAGGTTTTTTCATCTTATTTTACTGCTTTGCAAGATGACACTTTTTATTCATTTTATTTCTTACATTTATTATGTCAGATGCTATTGTGAATGTATAAACTTTCTCCATTTATGTATGCATGCATGTATGTATTTATCTATTAATTTTGGGATGGAGTCTGGCTCTAAGCTGGAGCTAAGTTTTTTGTTTTGTTTTGTTTTGTTTTGTTTTGTTTTGTTTTGTTTTGTTTAGTATAGATCAGGTTTCCCCATGTTTGCCAGGCTAGTCTAGAACTCCTGACCTCAGGTAATCCACCTGCCTTAGCCTCCCAAAGTGCTGAGATTACAGGCATGAGCCACCGCACTCGGCCTCTCCATTTATTTACATCTTTAATTTCTCCTCAGCATCTTTTGTAATTTTTAGTATCCACGTCTTTCACTTCTTTTATTACATTTCTTCCCATTCATTTTATTATTTTGGAGGCTTTGTAAATGAAATTGCTCTCCTCATTTCATTTTTAAATTATTGTTCGTTCGTATACAGACACATGATTGATTTTGGTGAATATATCTCCTATCCTGCTAGGAATGTGTGGTACTTTTCAACTCCAGAGCTTCATTTAGTTTTATGGGTTTTGTTTTTGTTTTTTTTGAGACGGAGTCTCGCTCTGTCTCCCAGGCTGGAGTGCAGTGGTGCAATCTCGGCTCACTGCAAGCTCCGCCTCCCGGGTTCACGCCATTCTCCTGCCTCAGCCTCCCGAGTAGCTGGGACTACAGGCGCCCGCCACCACGCCCGGCTAATTTTTTTGTATTTTTAGTAGAGACGGGGTTTCACCTTGTTAGCCAGGATGGTCTCGATCTCCTGACCTCGTGATCCACCCGCCTCGGCCTCCCAAAGTGCTGGGATTACAGGCGTGAGCCACCGCGCCCGGCCTTAGTTTTATGTTTTAATAATTTCACAGGATAGCACTGTGCTCACTGGTCGTTTCATGTAATTAATATTTCTGTTAGCCGGGAGCGATGGCACATGCCTGTAATCCCAGCTACTCAGAAAGCTGAGATGGGAGAAATGCTTGAACCCGGGACGCGGCAGCTGCGGTGAGCCGAGATTGCACCATTGTAAGCCAGCCTGGGCAACAAGAGCGAAATTCCGTCACCAAAAAAAAAAAAAAAAAAAAAAAAATTCTAACTTCGTGGATTTATTGGGGTCTAGATTGCCATCCTTCAGATTTCTTGCTCTAGCGTAATGACTCTGTTGCTGTTGTTCATTGCAAGTTTCATTTTTTATTTTATTTACTTTTTAGCAGCTTTATTTAGCTACAATTGTTCCACTAAAAAACCCTCTCACTTAATATACACAATTAGATGAATTTGGACGTATGCAATAACCCCTTAGAAGACATTCACGTGCATGTGTTGTTAGCTTTTTGCTTCTCACAAGAACGTATTTCAGGCACTTCCATCTCCACGCTACACATGGGGAAATAGAGGCTCACAGAGGAGAAAGGGTGTGGTCCCGGTCACACCTGTCCCTGGTCCTCCAGGCTGAGGAGCAGAGACCACCCACCTTGGGGCTGCGAGGGTTCGACGCGTATCTCGGGTGCCCTCTTGTGGTCTCAGTGGAGAAACTCCCTGTTTAGTTCTGTTCTTTTCCATCTGCCATTCATTTTTCTCATTCAGTATTTGTTGGTCCTCTCCTGTGCTCTCGCGGTCCATCAATATACAAAACAAACATCCTTGCCATCGAGGAGCTTTTTTTTTTTTTTGAGACGGAGTCTCGCTCTGTCGCCCAGGCTGGAGTGCAGTGGCCCGATCTTGGCTCACTGCAAGTCCCACCTCCCCAGTTCACGCCATTCTCCTGCCTCAGCCGCCCGAGTAAGCTCCATCTTGGCGCGCGCCACTACGCCCAGCTAATTATTGTATTTTTAGTAGAGATGAGGTTTCACCATGTTGGCCAAGGTGGTCTTGAACTCCTGACCTCGTGATCCGCCCGCCTCGGCCTCCCAAAGTGCTGGGATTACAGGCTTGAGACACCGCGCCCGGCAGTTAAAAAAAAAAAAAAAATCATACTTGGCCTGCTTTTGAGACCACAAGAAAGGGACGATGCATCTCCCACTCCAGGCTTCTGGGACACACCTCTCTCTTCCTCCCTCTTGGCTTTCCCAGGCTGCTGCCAGGGTATCATCCAGAGTTCCTTTCCCTTTTATCTCTCCATCGTTGCTGTTCTTGGCCGCTTTCTCCCAGGCCTCTGCCCTTCCCGCTGTTCCATCCAGAACCAGCCACATAATTGGTGGGGTCTATTGCAAATGAGAACTCGACGTCCCTTCTTCAAAACGTAAGGAATTTCAAATTGGTGACAGCTGAGCGTTAACAGAAGCGTGGTGGCCAGGCACAGTGGCTCATTCCTGTGATCCCAGCACTTTGGGAGGCCAAGGCCGGCCGATCACCTGAGGTTAGGAGTTTGAGACCAGCCTGGCCAATATGGTGAAACCCCGTCTACTAAAAATACAAAAATTAGCCGGGCGTGGTGGCACATGCCTATAATCTCAGCTAATCAGGAGGCTGAGGCAGGAGAATGGCTTCAACCCGGAAGGTGGAGAATGCAGTGAGCTGAGATCGCACCATTGCACTCCAGCCTGGATGACAGAGTAAGTCTGCATCTCAAAAAAACAAACAAACAAAATTCCATCCCAATAACCCTTAAAAAAAACTTTTGCGTTCTGACTTTATTTCTTCTTGTTTTCTTATTTTCAATGGAATTCATTCTACTGTTTTCACATTTACCATTCAGGGATATTTGGACAGAATTACATGGCCACAGGTCAACCACTATGACCATAATTCCCTTTCTAAGAATGAGGAAGGATGTGGTCAGTGGGGTTTTTTCATATTATGTTACTGCTTTGCAAGATGACACTTTTTGTTAATTTTTATTTCTTATATTTATTATTTTGGATGCTATTGTGAATGTATGAACTGTTTCTCCATTTTCGTATGTATTTATTTATTTTGAGATGGAGTCTGGCTCTGCCATCCAGGCTGGAGTGCAGTGGCACGATCTCGGCTCACTGCAACCTGTGCCTCCCAGGTTCAAGCGATTCTCCTGCCTCAGCCTCCTGAGTAGCTGGGATTACAGGTGTGCACCACCATGCCTGGCTAATTTTTGTTTGTTTGTTTTTTAGTGGAGACCAGTTTCCCCATGTAGGCCAGGCTGGTCTCCAACTCCTGATCTCAAGTAACCTGCCTGCCTTGGCCTCCCAAAATGCTGAGATTACAGGCGTGAGCCACCACGCTCAGCCTCTCCGTTTATTTAGATCTTTAACTTCTCAGCATCTTTTGTAATTTTTAGTATACATGTCCTTTATTTCTTTTATTAAATTTCTTCCCACTCATTTTATTACTTTGGAGGCTTTGTAAATAAAATTCCTCTCCTCACTTCGTTTTTAAATTATTGTTCATTAGTATACAGACACATGATTGATTTTGCTGAATGTCTCCCATCCTGCTAGGAATGTATTGCACTTTTCAACCAGAGCTTCCATTTAGTTTTAGGTTTTAATAATTTCACAGGATAGCATTGTGCTCACTGGTTGCTTCATGTAATTAATATTTCTATTAGCCAGGCGTGATGGCACATGCCTGTAATCCCAGCTACTCGGAAGCCTGAGGTAGGAGAATTGCTTGAATCCAGTAGGCAGAGGTTGAGGTTATCCGAGATCGCGCCATCGCACTCCAGCCTGGGCAACAAGAGTGAAACTCCGTCTCAAAAAAAAAAAAAAATACACACACACACACACACACACACACACACACACCCCTTTGTGGATTTATTGGGGTCTGGATTGCCATCCTTCAGATTTCTTGCTCTAGCCTAACGGCTCTGTTGTTGTTCAATGCAAGTTTTATTTTTTATTTTATTTACATTTTAGCAGCTTTGTTTAGCTATAATTGTTCTACTAAAAAACCCTCTCACTTAATGTACACAATTAGATGAATTTGGACACGTGCAACCCCTTGGAAGACATTCACATGCATGCGTTGTTGGGTTTTTGCTTCTCACAAGAACGTATTTCAGGCATTTCCATCTCCACGCTACACATGGGGAAATAGAGGCTCACAGAGGAGAAAGGACGTGGTCCAGGTCACCTGTCCCTGGTCCTCCAGGCTGAGGAGCAGAGAGACCACCCACCTTGGGGCTTCAAGGGTTTGACACGTATCTTGAGTGCCCTCTTGTGGTCCCAGTGGAGAAACTCCCTGTTTAGTTCTGTTCTTTTCCATCTGTCATTCACTTTTCTCATTCAGTATTTGTTGGTCCTGTCCTGTGTGCCAGACACTGTTTGAGGCTCTAGCGGTCCATCAATATGCAAAACATCCTTGCCATCGAGGAGCTTATATTCTTTTTTTTTTTTTTTTTTGAGATGGAGTCTCGCTCGTCTCCCAGGCTGGAGTGCAGTGGCGCGATCTCGGCTCACTGCAACCTCCGCCTCCTGGGTTCAAGCGATTCTCCTGCCTCAGCCTCCCGAGTAGCTGGGATTACAGGCATGCATCACCACGCCCCGCTAATTTTTTGTATTTTTAGTAGAGATGGGGTTTCATCGCATTAGCCAGGATTGTCTCCATCTCCTGACCTCGTGATCTGCCCACCTCGGCCTCCCAAAGTGCTGGGGATGACAGGCCTGACCCAGAACGCCCAGCCGAGGAGCCTATATTCTTGCAGAAGGAGACAGACAGTAACCCTTGGGCATAATAAGCACATTCACAGCTTACTAGAAGGTGAAAATGATCTGGATAAATGAGAAAGTGCAGCAGTGGTCCAGTGGTCTGGAGTGTGCAAAGTTCAGCAGGGGGAACAGTGTGGTGGATGCAGACTGAGAGCCAGGGAAAGGGAAGAGGCCATGACTACCCTGAGTGAGCTGGAAGGAAACACGAATCACTCCAAGTAGAACACCCCTTCACTGAGGATTCTTCTTCCCAAACTTCCTCTAGAAAGCTGAGCTGCCACTCACCACAGGGAAGGCTCAGCCCATTAGACTTCAAACGTCCTCAGCAATTCCCTGCCCACCTCTTTCTAGGAGTCAAGATTCCTCCATCCTGATCTAGACCAGCATCTGGTGACCCCTAGAAACCTGTCCTGGAAGCCTCACAAGGCTCTTCACACTCAGTTTGTGATATGATGACCCCAGAGTTGTGCAGTGCACAACCTACGCAGCTGGACATGATGGGCCTGGCGCTCTTCCTCTGTGCTCCCACTGAGCTCTGTGCTGACTATGTCATTCCACTGGGTGGTGCCATGTCAACTTCCCTCCTCTCCTCTCAATATCCTGTAAGCTCTTTAAGGATAAGATAGGATCAAAGTTCCATCCATGTCCCTGCTACTCAGAAGAGGGGCTGAAACATTTAAAAGGGAAACGTTGGAACCCCCTCAATAGCACTAGACTTAAGAAAACAAATTGCCGGGTAGTGATGATTAGATTGCTATAAAAGTCTGAATAATTACAAAAAGATTCTAGGAACTGGTGTATAATTATGTAGGGGCACTGGCAGTATGTACTCACTGAAATCAGCTAAGGAATCATGGTGCAGTCTCAGGAACCAGCTGGGCACAGTGGCTCAGGTCTGTAATCCCAGGACTTTGAGAAGCTGAGACGCGTAGATTGCTTGAGTCTAGGAGTTCAAGACCAGCCTGGGCAACATGGCGAAACCCTATCTCTACACAGTTAGCTGGGCATGCTGGCACACACCTGTAGTCCCAGCTACTCAGAAGGATGAGGCAGGAGAATTGCTTGAACCCGGGAGGCAGAGGTTGCAGTGAGCTGAGATTGTGCCACTGCACTCCAGCCTGGGTGATACACTGAGACTCTGTCTCAGAAAAAAAAAAAAAAAAAAAAAAGTTGGGAATGTATCCAGATGAACCAAAAAACCTAAAACCTTTCTTTGACCTTCCCTGTTCTTCCAGATACCTTATCTCTCTTTCCCTTCACAGAGGACACCCTGGGTTATCTGCTGACCCCTCCGCCTTTCCTGGCCTCCAATCTCTCTCTCTCTGGCCTTCTCCACTGCAATCTGACCTCTCCCTGCCCACCCCATTTGGGTCTGCTCTCACCCAGGCCCCCAGTGAACTCTGGATTCTTACTGAGTCCAGTGGACCTCACTCCCTCTTTTTTTTTTTTTTTTTAATCATACTTAGCCTGCTTTTGAGTCCACAAGGAAGGGACGGTGCATCTCCCACTCCAGGCTTCTGGGACACACCTCTCTCTTCCTCCCTCTTTGCTTTCCCAGGCTGCTGCCAGGGTATCATCCAGAGTTCCTTTCCCTTTTATCTCTCCATCGTTGCTCTTCTCGGCCACTTTCTCCCAGGCCTCTGCCCTTCCCGCTGTTCCATCCAGAACCAGCCACATAATTGGTGGGGTCTATTGCAAATGAGAACTCAGGATCCCTTCTTCAAAACGTAAGGAATTTCAAATTGGTGACAACTGAGCATTAAAAGAAGTGTGGTGGCCGGGCGCGGTGTCTCATTCCTGTGATCCCAGCACTTTGGGAGGCCAAGGCCGGCCGATCACCTGAGGTTAGGAGTTCGAGACCAGCCTGGCCAATATGGTGAAACCCCGTCTCTACTAAAAACACAAAAATTAGCCAGGTGTGGTGGCGCATGCCTGTAATTGCAGCAACTCAGGAGGCTGAGGCAGGAGAGTCGCTTGAACCCGGGAGGTGGAGGTTTCAGTGAGCTGAGATCTCACCATTGGCACTCCAGCCTGAGCAACAGATAGAGACTCTGTCTAAAAAACAAACAAAAAGGCCAGGTGCAGTGGCTCACGCCGGTAATTCCAGCACTTTGGGAGACCGAGGCGGGCGGATCACCTGAGGTCAGGAGTTCAAGACCAGCCTGGCCAACATGGTGAAACCCCGTCTCTACTAAAAATACAAAAAGTAGCTGGGCGTGGTGGCGTGCGCCTGTAATCCCAGCTACTGGAGAGGCTGAGGCGGGAGAATTGCTGGAACCCGGGAGGCAGAGGTTGCAGTGAGCCAAGATCTTGCCTTTGACACTCCAGCCTGAGCAACAGAGTAAGGCTTTGTCTCAAAAACAAACAAAAAAAGAAAGGTGCAGGGCCCTCCGAGCATGGGTCACTGGGCAACCCATGAAGCTGGCCCTGCTTTGGCCCCGCCCCCTCCCAGGACCTGACCTCTGAGGGGCACTGTGGTAGCAGAATAGCCCCACCCACCCCCGCACATGCAAGATGTCCACGCACAAATCCCTGCGACCCGTGAATAGGTCTGCAGATGCACTTAAAATTGTGGATCTTACGTCAGGGAGATTATCCTGGCGTGATGGTTAGTTGTTGTTGTTGTTGTTTTGGTTTGTTTGTTTTTTGGGTCTCGCTCTATCGCCGAGGCTGGAGTGCAATGGCGAGATCTCAGCTCACTGCAAGCTCCGCCTCCCGGGTTCACGCCATTCTCCTGCCTCAGCCTCCCGAGTAGCTGGGACTACAGGCGCCCGCCACCATGCCCGGCTAATTTTTTGTATTTTTAGTAGAGACGAGGTTTCACCGTGTTAGCCAGGATGGTCTCGATCTCCTGACCTCGTGATCTGCCCGCCTCAGCCTCCCTAAGTGCTGGTGCTGGGATTACACACGTGACAAATAGATCTCTTATATACATATCTCTTTTTCTTTTTTTCGTCCTTTTTTTTTTTTTTTTTTTTTTTTTTAGAGCGAGTCTTGCTCTGTTGTCCAGGCTGGAGTGCAGTGGCTCGATCTGGGCTCACTGCAACCTCCGCCTCCTGCGTTCAAGCGAGTATCCTGCCTCAGCCTCCCGAGTACCTGAGACTACACACCACTGCGCCCAGCTGATTTTTGTATTTTTTTAGTAGAGTCAGCGTTTCACCAAGTTGGCCAGGCTGGTCTTGAGCTTCTGACCTCAAGTGATCCACCCGCCTTGGCTTCCCAAAGTGCTGGGATTACAGGCGTGAGCCACTGCACTTGGCCTTTATATATATCTTAACGTATGTACATAATACATGTAATGAACCACTGGCACATGCTGCACACGGATGAACCTGCTTATGTGAAGGAAGTCAGATAGGTAAGGCTGTATGATGTGTGATTCCATTTATGCGAATGTCCAGAAGAGGTAATCCATGAATCAGAAAACAGGGGAGTGGTTTCCAGGGGCTGCAGAGAGCGGGGCATGGGAGTGACCGCTTAATAGGGTTTTCTTTAGGGGTGATGAAAATGTTTGGGAACTTGATAGAAAGGATGGCTACACAATTACCAGTGTACCAATTAGGTACGTTCCATTGGGAATGTACTAAATGTCACTGAACTGTACACCTTAAGATGGTTAATTCTGGCCCGATGCAGTGGCTCACACCTATAATCCCAGCACTTTGGAAGCCGAGGCAGGCGGATAACCTGAGGTCGGGAGTTCGAGACCAGCCTGACCAACGTGGAGAAACCCCGTCTCTACTAAAAATACAAAATTAGCTGGGCGTGGTGGCAGGCACCGGTAATCCCGGCTACTCAACAGGCTGAGGCAGGAGAATCGCTTGAACCTGGAAGGTGGAGGTTGCAGTGAGTGGAGATCGCGCCATTGCACTCCAGCCTGGGCAACAAGAACAAAACTCCGTCTCAATTAAAAAAAAAGAAAAAAAAAAGATGGTTAATTTTATGTTATGTGAATTTTACATCAATAAAAAATACTTAATAAAAGTCTGTTATATATATATATATATATATATATATATAGTTTTTCTGATTACTGAGTTTCTGGTGACCACTGCCCCCTCCCCCCTTAAATTTTGCTGTGGGTGCTGAGTCCTGACCTACTTCACTCCATCCCCTGCGGGGACCCCAGTGGGAACTTTCTAACACCTGGATCTTTCCCTGCCATTCCTCCGCGGTCCCCCCACGCCTGCAGGGCAAACTGAAGCTCCCAGTGGCTTTCAAGCTGGCTTCTCCAGGCAAATCAAACTCCACCTGGTGTCTGAGAACCCTCTGCCCCACCCAGCTTCCCCACTCTGCTCCGATATCCATCCTCCTCTCCCTGGGCTCCATCAACTCTCACTCATCCTTAAGACCCAGCTCAAGGCTGCTTCCTGTTATCGCAAATTGACTGTCTTCTCTCCAGCACTACAACCCCAGCCCCAACTAGGGGTAAAACCACTGACCTAGCCTCCCACCTGGGCCTCCCCTTTCTCTCACTGAGCTGCCTCCTACCTGGGCTTCCCTCTCCCTCTCCCTCTGACCCTGACCCAGGCTCCAACCTGCATCTCCACCTCCCTCCCGCTGACCCAGCCTCCCACCTGGGCCTCCACCTCCCTCCCACAGACCTAGACTCCCACCTGGGCTTCCCACCTTCTTCCCACTGAGCTGCATCCTGCCTTGGGACTCTGCTCTCCCCCTCCGCTCTCTCTCCCTGCCCGCACCGCCCTGAAGGAATTGCCCTAACACTCAAACCTCACTCTCTTGTCATCAATAGACACTGGTGCTTAGAATGAGATATGAGCTTTCTATGACGGAGTGGCTCCAGGCAGGGAGGTTCATCTAGGGGACGCCGCAGCAAAGCCAGAGCTGCCCCTCTCAGACACCCTCCATGCTCTTCATCCTCCTGCTGCTTTCACTGTCTGACCTGCCTCTCTTCTCTCTTTCTCTCTCTCTCTCTCCCTCTCTCTCTCTCCATACAGCTGCAATCTGGAAGAAATTACTCTTCTAAACAGCCAGACTTCCCCAGTTTCAGGAAATTCCAAGCTGTGCAGGGGAGGGGCCAGGCTGGGGGCGCGCCCTGTCCAGCCCCACCCCCTCTGCCAGTTCCCCCTGCACACTTAGTCCTGGCCTCCTCCCGCCCCCACACTCCGCCCAGAGGGGCCTCAGCTTTTCCACCACTGCTTTCTAGTCCTTTAACTCCTAGAGGCAAACTTTTGGGGGATAAGAAAGCCTGGGAGGGGCCTGTGCCAAAACCCTCTCTGCCTGGGGACTGGGCGGTGATTCCGCTTCTGCCTGGGCTCCTGCCATGGCCCCCGAGAGGGGCTGACACTTTAGCTCCCGGTGCAGGTAAAGGGGCCTTATGCCAGGGCTTGCCAGGGGTGGGGCCTGGACTCCTGGGTCTGAGGGAGGAGGGGCTGGGGGTCTGGACTCCTGGGTCTGAGGGAGGAGGGGCTGGGGGTCTGGACTCATGAGTCTGAGGGAGGAGGGGCTGGGGGGTCTTGACTCCTGGGTCTGAGGGAGGAGGGGCTGGGGGGTCTTGACTCCTGGGTCTGAGGGAGGAGGGGCTGGGGGGTCTTGACTCCTGGGTCTGAGGAAGAAGGGGCTGGGGGTCTGGACCCCTGAGTCTGAGGGAGGAGGGGCTGGGGGTCTGGACTCCTGGGTCTGAGGGAGGAGGGGATGGGGCCTGGATTCCTGGGTCTGAGGGAGGAGGGGCTGGGGGCCTGGACTCCTGGGTCTGAGGGAGGAGGGGATGGGGGCCTGGACTCCTGGGTCTGAGGGAGGAGGGGCTGGGGGTCTGGACTCCTGGGTCTGAGGGAGGAGGGGCTGGGGGCCTGGACTCCTGGGTCTGAGGGAGGAGGGGCTGGGGGGGTCTTGACTCCTGGGTCTGAGGGAGGAGGAAGGGCTGGAGGTCTGGACTCCTGGGTCTGAGGGAGGAGGGGCTGGGGGGTCTTGACTCCTGGGTCTGAGGGAGGAGGGGATGGGGCCTGGATTCCTGGGTCTGAGGGAGGAGGGGCTGGGGGTCTGGACTCCTGGGTCTGAGGGAGGAGGGGCTGGGGGTCTGGACTCATGAGTCTGAGGGAGGAGGGGCTGGGGGGTCTGGACTCCTGGGTCTGAGGGAGGAGGGGCTGGGGGCCTGGACTCCTGGGTCTGAGGGAGGAGGGGCTGGGGGTCTGGACTCCTGGGTCTGAGGGAGGAGGGGCTGGGGGTCTGGACTCATGAGTCTGAGGGAGGAGGGCCTGGGGGCCTGGACTCCTGGGTCTGAGGGAGGAGGGGCTGGGGGCCTGGACTCCTGGGTCTGAGGGAGGAGGGGCTGGGGTCTGGACTCCTGGGTCTGAGGGAGGAGGGCCTGGGGGCCTGGACTCCTGGGTCTGAGGGAGGAGGGGCTGGGGGCCTGGACTCCTGGGTCTGAGGGAGGAGGGGCTGGGGGTCTGGACTCCTGGGTCTGAGGGAGGAGGGGCTGGGGGGTCTTGACTCCTGGGTCTGAGGAAGAAGGGGCTGGGGGCCCCTGACTTTCGGGTCTGGGGTGGGATTAAGAAAGCGAAGATCTAGGACGCCTAGGACCTGAGGGCGAAGGAGGAGGTGGCTCTACGGACCCGGATGCCTGGCTCCTGAATCTCCCTCCGGGTTCCACATGACACTTTCCTTACCAGGTGAGAACCCGCCCGGAGGAAGAAGGAAGGCGCGGGCCGGGGATTAGGAGACGGAGGCGGACTCGGAGCCAGGGAACCAGGGGTCCGGGCTAGAGCTGGAGTCGTGAGCGCGCGCCCGCCCCGCTCTGGGAGGACCGCGAGGTAAGGCGCGGTGGGGACAGGGGTCCTGGGTCCCGGTCGGGAGGGAAAAGGGCCGCTGAATTCCCGGCCGCAGCCACGTGGCTGCAGGAAGCGCGCAGTGAAGCCCTCGCCGGGCCGGGGGTCTCCCCATCTGGGGTCCCCCGACCCGGCTGCACCGCAGTTCCCACGGGTCTGAGAACCAGTTGGGCCGGATCTAGAGTGGGTTGTTATTTCCGTCCTGGCGGGGCCGGGACTGAGAGAGGACAGAGGTGAACCAGCTGTGCCCGCCACCCTGCAGCTGGAGCCGTGGCCCTGCCCCAGCAGGAAAGAGAGGGGTGGGCGGAGGCGGGGGGAGAACGCGCGGCCCGGGCCTCCCCGGGCTCCACGGTCGCGCCCCGCTTTCTGCCTGTTCCACGTTGGTCACAAACAACAGCCCCTCTGTCCCGAGCCCTGGCAGCGTGAGGGACTTTTTCCGAGCATGACCTCATTGCTTTAAACACAATTCAACCAGAGGGAGGTCAGAGGCTTCTATTTAAGAGGACACGCAGGCTGGCAGAAGTGAAGCGACTTACCCAGGGTCTCAGAGCTAGGGCGCAGAGGTGGCATTCGAAAACGACTTCCAACTCGTTGTTCTGGTCTGGACTGGAGAGGAAAAAAGACAATCAAGGGTGTCAGAGGAAATCTCTCGCCTTCATATCAAATCAGAACATTATTATTTTTTTTCTCATGGGGTGGCATGCCCGTAGTCTCCTATGGGGAGCTAAGAGTTCGTCTGGATTCCAGATCTGGAGCGCAGCATTTGCTACTGTGTGACCCAGGGCAAGTGACTTAACTTCTCTGTGTCTCAGCCATCGCGCATCTGTAAAATGGAGTTGTCCTGAAGATTAAATAAATTAGTTCATTCATGGGGAGGCACTCAGGCTGGTGCCTGGCCCAGGATAAGCACTTGGAAAATAAAATTTCGGCACCCTCAGTGTAGTCTTTCTTTCTTCCCTTTCTTTCTTTCCTTCTTTTTTTCTTTCTTTTTCCTTCCTTCCTTCCTTCTTTCCTTTCTTTCTTTCTCCTTCCTTTCCTTTCTTTTTCTTTCTCTTTCTTTCTCTTTCCTTCCTTCCTTCCTTTTTTCCCTCCCTCTCCTCCCTCCTTTCCTTCTCTCTCTTTTTCTCTCTCTCTCTCCTTTTCTTTTCTTTTCTTCTTGAGACAGGGTCTCTTTCTGTTGCCCAGGCTGAAGTGCGGTGGGACGATCATACCTCACTGCAGCCTCAAACTCCTGGGCTCAAGGGATCTTCCCTTTTCAGCCTCCCAGGTAGCTGGAACTGCAGGTGCATGACACAGCACCTGGCTAATTTTTTATTTTTATTTTTGTAGAGAGATCATCTCACTTTGTTGCGCATTCTGGTCTCAAACTCCTGGGCTCAAGTGATCCTGCTGTCTCAGCCTCCCAAAGAGCTGGCATTGTAGGTGTGAGCCACGGCGCCCAGCCACAAACAAGAGTTCCAACCCCTGTTTTTTGAGGAGTAAACTGAGCTTTAGGCTGAGGAAGCCAGTTTGGGATCGCACAAGAAGGAAATGGCAAAATTTGAGCCCAGATGTGTGTGATGTCAGAAACCAAGACTTTATGTGTGTTGCCAGGTGCTGAAAAGTGGTGGCAACGGATAGGGCAATGGAAGGGGGATGCGAGGTGCATGCTGGGAGCTGGGTCTGACCAGAGGCAGGGGCTGAGAGCTGTCCACGAGTCAAGAGGCAGCAGAGAGTGGAGGCAGCCAGCTCTAGACACTGGAGTTCCCTAGAGCTGGCTTTGTGATCTTGGTCAGTCACGTCCTGTCTCGGATCACCCATTTCCTTCTCTGGAACACTGGGAGAATGATCCGAGGTGTGACTCCATTGAGCATATGTTAATTGAACATTCCCTGTGCGCTGGGCACTGTGCCAAGACTTGCAGGGACATATCCCTCCACCAATTCTTGCAAAAGGACTGGGAAGTATTAGATTAATATCATGCCATTTTCAAGATAAGGAAATGAGGTCAGAAAGGTCAAGTAAGTTGCTCAAAGCCACAGAGCGATCAGCACAGCCAGATTCAAACCTGTGCAATGGACTTTCTGAATTCCACTTTTTCACCTCTGACCCACAGCAGAGCAAGTGCTGAGATCATAGGCTCTGTTAGCAGCTAGAGAGGATTTTTTTTTTTAAACTGTGGATCCAGAAGATACATTAATGAGCTGAGCTCAACATTTAAAAATAAAATAGATTACAATAGAAAATATCAGAGTAGGGGCCGGGTGTGGTGGCTCATGCCTGTAATCCCAGCACTTTGGGAGGCCGAGGTGGGCAGATCACGAGATCAGGAGTTCGAGACCAGCCTGGCCAACATGGTGAAACCCCATCTCTACTATAAAATACAAAAATTAGCCAAGCATGGTGGTGTGCACCTATAATCCCAGCTACTCGGGAGGCTGAGGCAGGAGAATCACTTGAACCTGGGAGGCGGAGGTTGCAGTGAGCCGAGATCGCGCCATTGCACTCTTGCCTGGGTGACAGAGCAAGACTCCATCAAAAAAGAAAAGAAAGAAAGAAGGAAGGAAGGAGAAAGAAAGAAAAGAAAGGAAGGAAGGAAGGAGGGAGGGAGGGAAGAAAAGAAAGAAAGAAAGAAAGAAAGAAAGAAGGAAGGAAGGAAGGAAGGAAGGAAGGAAGGAAGGAAGGAAGGAAGGAATCAGAGTATCTACCACGTTGTAAGACAAGTAAGTATTGGCCGGGCTTACTGGCACACACCTGTAATCTCAGCACTTTGGGAGGCCAAGGCGGGCAGATTGCTTGAGCTCAGGAGTTTGAGACCAGCCTGGGCAACATGGTGAAACCCCATCTCTACAAAAAAAAAAAAAATACAAAAATAACACTACATGGTAGCATGAGCCTGTAGTCCCAGCTACTCAGGAGTCTGAGGTGGGAGGATCGCTTGAGTCCGGGAGGCGGAGGTTGCAGTGAGCCAAGATCTCACCACCGCACTCCAGCTGGGTGACAGAGTGAGACCCTGTCTCAAAACAAGACAAATCTTGTTTCTTAAAATTTTTGTTTCCATTATGGGGAAGGAGAGAGTGGAGATTGTGTGCTAGGTAACGATAAAAATATATTTATTCATCTAGGTTGAGGTCAGAGAAATTTGATAAATGCTGCAGAGGTAGTAAATCAAAACTGGTTTCCCCATGGAAATCAATGTAAAGAGTGTGTGTGTGTGTGTGTGTGTGTGTGTGTAGGCCAGTCTTCAGAATCTAGCCATCTACAATTATTTTAAATCCCTTTGGCTTTCATTTTCCTCCATATTATCACCAATACTTCCCAGGGTGCCTGTTACGGTGAAAACAATGTCAGCGGCTTTGTCTTTCTCATAGTGTTCTATCCAACCTAATTTTTGTTCCACAATTATTGTTAGGGAAATATTTTCCCCCCAACGCTAGCATTACCCATTGGTTAGCACTATTACAAGTATAGTTTTCTTTGATCAGACTTTTCTATGTATCCTGAAAGGAAGGTAGTGTTATTTTATTTATCTTACAGATAGAAAAGTAAACAGGGAAATAAAGTAATTTATTGCAGTTCATACAGCTGGCAAAGGGTAGGGCTTCAACTGAAATAGGTTTTTATTATTGCGATAACAGTGACTGTTAAAACAAAAGTACAAGGTCATCAAAGTCCCTCCCAGAAGTTCCACACAAAACATGCAATGACCAGGATATGGGCAGACTCTGTGGCTGCGTTTCTATTTCATATTGAATTTAGGCCGGGCGTGGTGGCTCATGCCTGTATTCCCAACACTTTGGGAGGCCAAGGCAGGCGGATCACCTGAAGTCATGAGTTTGAGTCCAGCCTGGCCAACATAGTGAAACCTCATCTCTACTAAAAATACAAAAATTTGCAGGGCATGGCAGCGCACACCTGTAATTCCAGCCACTCAGGAGGCTGAGGCAGGAGAATCGCTTGAACCCCAGCCTGGGCAACAGAACAAGACTCCGTCTCAAAAAAAAAAAAAAAAAGAATTTGGTGCAGCTATGGGCAATAAAGCACCTAGTTTACAATGCAGATGCTGCCAGCTTCAAATTTATGCAATTCTTCCCATTTTTTTTAACATAGGGCTTTTTATTTTTTTTTTGAGACAGAGTCATACTCTGTCACCCAGGCTGGAATGCAATGGCGCGATCTCAGCTCACCGCAACCTCTGCCTCCCAAGTTCAAGCGATTCTCCTGCCTCAGCCTCTCAAGTAGCTGGGATTACAGGCATGCACCACCACAACCAGCTAATTTTGTATTTTTTTTTTTTAGTAGAGATGGAGTTTCACCATGTTGGTCAGGCTGGTCTCAAAGTCCTGACCTCAGGTGATCCACCCGCTTCAGCCTCCGAAAGTGCTGGGATTACAGGTGTGAGCCACCATGCCTGGCTAGGGAATTTATATTATTATTTTAGAAAACATAAGACATCATATTGTTAGGTTGTAGTCTCAAGATCAGGTACAGTTGGCCAGGCGTGGTGGCTCATGCCTGTAATCCCAGCACTTCGGGAGGCCGAGGCGGGCAGATCACGAGGTCAGGAGTTCAAGACCAGCCTGACCAACATGGTGAAACCCTGTCTCTACTAAAAATACAAAAATTAGCGTCTCAAAAAAAAAAAAAAAAAAAGATCAGGTACAGTTGCCCCTTGGTAGCAGTGATGGGACTGGTTCTGGGACCCCTATGGATACCCAAATATGCAGATGTTTAAGTCTCTTATATAAATGCCCTAGTATTTGCATATAACCTATGTACATCCTCTCCTATACTTTAAATCATCTCTAGATTACTTATAATGCATAATACAATGTAAATGCTTTGCAAATAATTGTTATATTGTTTGAAACTTGTACTCATTTTTTATTACTGTATTTTTTTCCCCAGTATTTTTTATCAGCAGTTGATTGAATCTGCTGATGCGGAACCCACAGATACCAAGGACTGTAATTCAAATCATAAAATGCACCCTAGGCAAAGCCCACCTGGGCCTCTTCCTCGTGTGCGTGGTGGGCTCTAGGCAGGATCTGCTTTGCTTAATGGACAGAGTCAGCCCTGTCTTCAGAACAGGAGCCTGGGAATTTCCATTTTTGACAAGCTGGAGTTTTCTTTTTCTTTTTATAGAGACAGGGTTTCACTCCTGTTGCCCAGGCTGGAGTGCAGTGGCCAATACAGTGACACGATCTCGGCTCCCTGCAACCTCCGCCTCCGGGGTTCAAGCGATTCTCCTACTTTAGCTGGGATTACAGGCATGCGCCACCATGCCCCGCTAATTTTTGCATTTTTTATAGAGATGGGGTTTCACCATGTTGCTCAGGCTGGTCTCGAACTCCTGGCCTCAAGCGATCCGCCCGCCTCGGCCTCCCAAGGTGCTGGGATTACAGGAGTGAGCCACCGCACCCGGGCCAACAAGCTGGAGTTTTCTATCAGTCAAGTCTGGGAAGCACTCTGAAGGGTTTGTGAAATATTTGTTACTTGACCTCTAGGAAGGCTCAAGTATTCGCTCTCAGGAGGATCGGCATAGCATGGTGTTCATAGGCATTCTGGAGTCAGGTTAGATCCAAATGTGAGCTCAGCAGCTGTGCCCATGGGACCTCCTGGAGTCTCATCTTACCCCATCTGTGAAACGGGAGGCCGGGCGCGGTGGCTCACGCCTGTTATCCCAGCATTTTGGGAGACTGAGGCGGGTTGATCACCTGAGGTCAGGAGTTCAAGACCAGCCTGGCCAACATTGTGAAACCCCGTCTCTACAAAAATACAAAAATTGGCTGGGTATGGTGGCGGGTGCCTGTAATCCCAGCTACTCGGGAGACTGAGGAGGAAGAATCGCCTGAACCCGGGAGGCGGAGGTTGCGGTGAGCCGGGATGGCGCCATTGAACTCCAGCATGGGCGAGACTCCGTCTCAAAAACAAAAATCAAAAAACAAAAAACGGGAACCGTCCCCCATCGTCCTTTGAGCAGTCGCGTGGCTGCGAGCCCCGGGCTGGGGCCGCGCTGACCCTCCCGTGCCCCTCGCAGATGCCCGTGCTGAAGCAGCTGGGCCCCGCGCAGCCCAAGAAGCGGCCTGATCGCGGCGCCCTGTCCATCTCCGCGCCGCTCGGCGACTTCCGGCACACGCTGCACGTGGGGCGCGGCGGCGACGCCTTCGGGGACACCTCGTTCCTGAGCCGCCACGGCGGCGGGCCGCCCCCCGAGCCCCGGGCGCCCCCCGCGGGGGCCCCGCGCTCCCCGCCGCCGCCCGCCGTCCCGCAGTCCGCAGCGCCCTCGCCTGCCGACCCGCTGCTGTCCTTCCACCTGGATCTGGGGCCCTCCATGCTGGACGCGGTGCTGGGCGTCATGGACGCGGCGCGCCCGGAGGCGGCTGCCGCCAAGCCCGACGCGGAACCCCGCCCCGGGACGCAGCCCCCCCAGGCCCGCTGCCGCCCCAACGCGGACCTCGAGCTGAACGACGTCATCGGCCTCTAGGTTCCCTCATTCCCCGCGCCCTTCCCGCCCGGCACCCCACTTCTGTATACATAAACGGCCAAGGTGTGTGCCCGGGCTCTGACTTTTCACTTTGCACGTGGAAAGGGATGAATGATAGGGTCCTGGCGCCTCTGAGAGCCGGATGTGTCACCCGGAGGCCTGGTCCGGGTCCGATGATTGCCCTGGGGTGGGGGTGCGGCTCCTTTAAGAGAGCCCGAGGGCGTGGCCAGGCGGTGCCCCTTGCAGAGGCGGCGGCTCCCGCAGTCCCATTCGTCAAATACTGTGCGCCACCGCCGGCCGGACGTGGTCCTGGGGCCGGGCCAGACTCAGCCACCGCGGGGCCAGCCGAGGCGGGGCTGCAGAGTGCTGCAGCCCCAGGAGTCCTTCTGGCCCTGAACGCCTCAGGTGGACTCCGACCCGGCGGAGCCGCCGTTTACTCTGGGAGCGGCTGCAGAGGGAAGTGTCTGAGAACACTTTTAGAGCAGTAGGGGCCTGGTCTCCGTGGGGGAAGGGTCCGCAGGCATCTTGGTTCTTTAAGGCCCCCGAGGGATGGGGCCGAACATGCAAATGATTTGGACTGAGGGGCCAGGTTCTCGTAAGTTTCCCAGAGGGGCGGGGCCGCAAATGTAAATCACTTGGACTGAGGGCGGGTCCAGGTTCTTTAAAGACGTCCCCTCATGGGCGGGGCACACAGGTATCACCGGGAAAGGGGCGGGGCACCACATGTAAATCACCGGGAAAGGGATGGGACACAGGTAAATCACCCGGAAAGGGGCGGGGCACCACATGTAAATCACCTTAAAACGGACAGGGCACACATGTAAATCACTTGGGGAGAGGCACACACGTAAATCACCCGGAAAGAGGCAGCACAAAAGTATCACTGGGAAAGGGCCAGGGCACGCATGTAAATCACCCGGAACGGGGCGGGACACATGTAAATCACTTGAGAAGGGGAGAGGCACTCGTAAATCACCCGGAAAGGGGCGGGGCATTACATGTAAATTACCCTGAAAGGAGCGGGGAACATATGTAAATCACTTGGGAAGGGGAGAGGCACACATAAAAAAAAAAAAAAAATCACCTAAAAGGGGTGGGGCACTCGTAAATCACCAGGAAAGGGGCGGGGCACCACATGTAAATCACCGGGAACGGGGCGGGGCACTACATGTAAATCACCTAAAGGTCGAGGCACACGTAATCATCCCGAAAGGGGCGGGGCATTACATGTAAATCACCCAGAAAGAGGCAGCACACATCAATCACCGGGAAAGGGGCGGGGCCAGGCTCCCAAGAGCTCCGGGAGACCGAGACTGCCGCAGCCTTTACGCAGCTTGCTTTCCTGGCGCTGGGGGAGGGCGCAGCCGGGAAGTCCCAGAGCAGCGGTGTCAGGCTCTCCACCAAGGAGGGACTGGGCCAGAGTCCTCGCGAGGGCACGCGGCGTGGTCCCCAGAGCTAGGCCGGAGCGCGGGCCGCTGACGCCACTGTCGGGTGAGGCTCGGTGCATCCATGGGGAGCCGCCCTCCGTGCGGGGCGACCTCGTCTGCGCGGCGGGCGTGCCAGTTCCCCGCACCCATGGCAGCGGCCAGAGAGCCGGAGTTGCCGCAGGAAGCCCCCGCCACGGAACCCGCGCCCCCGCCGGCCTGCCGCTTCTTCCTGGAAGGCCGCTGCCGCTTCGGCGCCCGCTGCCGCCAGCCCCACCCTGGGGCGCCGGCGCCGCCTGGCCGCGAGGCGCAGCCGGAGGCCGGGGCCAAGAAGCCGCCGCTGCGCACAGCCGCGGACGTCATCCAGCGCATCCGCTGGGACCCGCGCCTCGACCCCGCCGACTTCTCGGTGGGCTACGTCGACCGCTTTCTGGGTGTGCGCGAGGAGCCCTTCAGCGCCTTTTGCTGGGACCAGCCGCTGGCGGCGCTCGGGCCGGGCGTGCTGGCAGTGCCCCAGCACCGCGTGCGCTTCTTCCGCTTCCATGGCCGCCTTGTGTGGGACCGCGCCTCGCGCACCGACCTCGTCTTTGGCTCTGGCTCGGCGGCGGGACGCGGGCCCACCATCCTGGACGCACCGAACACCGAGGGCGCCCACGGGGCAGAGGGTGCCGAGTGGACACTGGCGGGGACAGGTCAGGAGGCCCAGGCTGCCCCCAAGCGAGGGAGCACAAGGCCGCTCTGCACAGGGCACCAGGAACCAGGCGTGGAGGAACCCGGAGAGCTGGAGGCGGCCCAGGAGAGGGCGCTGGGCACAGCTGCTGATTTGGGAACACTGGCCCCAAGAGGACGCCTCGCCGGAGTGACTGAGGAGGCACTGAAGCCAACAGCAGCCACCAGGACCACATTGCTGGGGGGCAAGGAAGCACAGGCCCTGGGAGTCCCGGGGGGCTCCGCTGAGACGACAGAAGCCGAGTGGGGTCCTGCGGCCTGGCCCGAGGACAAAAGGGCCCGCCTTAGTGTTGCAGCCCCTTGCCAACCGCGCCCCACACATTTTGTGGCCCTCATGGTGACCGAGCCTGGGCTACAAGCAGAAGTGACCAAGGCCCAGGAATACCTGGTCCACGTGGCCCCACACTGCGCCAACTTCCTAGTGCCCTCTCAGAACCTACACCTGACCCTGGCCCTGCTGCGACTGGCAGGCGCTGGGGAGGAGGCCGCTGCCATTGGAGCTCTGAGACGGGCCCTCTTGGCCCCGGGGCTAAATGCACCCCCTCGGCTGAGCTTTAGAAAGCTGGTCCTCCTGGGCCCGCATGTGCTGTGTGCCCCACCCTCTCCCACACTGGAAAGCATGGCACAAGTGCTGAGCCAGAGGCTGGAAGCCGAGGGGCTGAGTACACTACAGTCTCCAGGGCAGCTGCACCCCCACCTCACCGTGGCCAAGGTGCCCCATGGTTCCCAGGTCCACCTCCCCAAGCTGGAGTTCACCCTCAGCCAGGAAGTGGGGTGCCAGCCCCTGCAGACACTCTGGCTGTGCCGTATAGGGAGGACAGGGGGGCCTTTCCAGCCCCTGGCTGAGATCCGCCTGGAGTGACACCCCCAGACCTCTGGAGGAGACAATGGATGCAAACAGCCCACACAGGAAAGACAAAGCAGGAGCGTGCACGCTCTCTCTTTCTCTCTTTAATTTTGGTTTCTCTCAAGCTTCCAAATGGTGCTCAGTGCTCCAAGGAAAGGAAGGAAGGAAGGAAAAGGAGGGGAGAGGAGGGGAAGGGGAGGCAGAGGAGGAACATCTGGAAAAAAAGCAGCCTGACAGTCCAGCTGTTTGCAAACTCATAGCACATCCTCCAGTTACATGGCAGAAGAGGGAGGGAGGGAGGGCCAAAAAGAAAAGGGAGAGGAGGAAGAAAAATAACTTAAATAAACACACACACAAAGAAAAGAGAAGGCAACATGACGTGAGCTGGTGATCCATGAAGGCAGGGAGGGAGGGGAACCGTTTTACCTGTGCTGAACCAAGGGAAGAATGCGGAGAGGGAGGGAGGGAAAGGGGAAAAAAAAATCAGAAGAAACACTGGGGGCAGAGGGAGGAGGGGACACGGAGACAACTTTATACAACTTGAGACGAGGCGGCCCGGCCGGCGTGTCCTCAGTGCGGTGTGGCGGCGGAGGATCTGGTGCTGGTGGTGCTGGCACTTCAGGGTGGGGGGCCGAGGACGGGCACAGTCTCTAAGCAGCTCCCCCACCCCAAACACGGAGGCCCCAAGGGGCTGGGAACAAGAGTCTGTGGCGAAGCAGGTGAGGCAGCGGGCGGTGGGCGGGCTTGCTGGGTGCCCCCGCCGCAGGCGGGCACGGGCTGGACGGCCTGTCTTCTTTCCACTGGCCCCCCGGCATGGGATGGGCCAGGGCGCCGGGTCGGGTACCGGAGTGCAAGCTCGAAAGAGAGAGAGAGAAAACACTGAGACAGCATTAGTGGAGTGAAAGGCGGACACAGATGAGCCTGCAGACCATGCCCCCAACCCTCCGCTGCCCATCCCCTCCTCCCCAATCCCATCCCTCTGAGGCAAAAAATAAAAACGTAGAAAAATCTCTGTACAGACTCCCCGGTGGGAAAACGGGGGCAGGGATGGTGGCTCTTCCTGGAGCGCACTCCCCACAAATAAATTTACAACCCAAGTCCACGGCTCAAAAACAGAATCCGCAAAGGCAGCGCTGGGGGCTGCAGCCCCTGCCCCCGCCCCTCCTCGCTGGGTGCTCAGAAGGCTGACAGCTGCGCCAGGCTGAGGCGGCAGTCGATGCTGGAGTTGTCCGGGCCCGTGTAGGCCAGGCCCAGGGGCTCTAGGAAGGCCCGGCAGGCGGCCTCGCCCTCGAAGGCCAGCTCGGCCTGCAGGTAGGAGACTGGCAGCGCAGGGCGGAAGCTATGGAGACAAGAGGAGAAGGTGATGAGGCGGGCGGGCGGGAGGGCAGGGGAGGGCCCCACGAGCGGGGAGGCCCCCCCATTCGGGTGCCCACAGGATTTCCTCAGCACAGTGCCTGCTGGCTCCCCACCCGCCTCCCAGCCTCCCCACCTCAGGGGCTCGGGGGGGGCCCGGGGGGGGGTTAGTGACCCCAGTCCCCTGTGCCCCCCTCACCCTCACTTACCTGTGCGGGGGCCAGGGAGGAGCGGGGACGGGCAGGGAAGGGCCCAGCGGGCTCCTCCGCTGGCTGAGGGGCAGGGACCAGATGGAGGGAGCAGCACGTGGCAGGGGATGGGGATGGCGGGGCTGCCAGGGCCACCGTGGGGACCCAGCCCTCGCTGCCTCCCCTGCCCTGCGTTACAGTGTCTGGGAAGCCAGGCGCAGGGGTGCCAGCTAGCACTCACCACTACACACTGAAAGCAGTCACTTCCGGCTGCTGCTAAAACACACTACTGACTGAGCATCTAGCACGAGCCAGGTCCTCAGAGCTCCCTGAACCCTCTTCCACAGGGTGCAGCCCTACCCTTTCCACACACACAGGAACCCAGGCACCGAGTGAGGGGCACTAAGTCCTAGAACCCGCTTCTGCTCCAAAGCCAGAGCTTTCCTGGAAGCCCTGGGATCAGAGCCCACTCCGTCTCCCAGTCTCAGCTGGCAGGGCAGGGTCAGCCTCCTTGAGGGGAAGGTGCTGACACAATGAGGTCAATGACAGACTGGCGCCCCACCCACGAGGGGCACTCATGGCTATGTTCCCAACCAAGGCCAATTAGGTATCAATTAACAAGGACACTCGCCCAACCACACACCCCTGTGTAGCACAGAAGCTTGAGAGCCACCATTCATGGGGCCCATCATGGCAGCAGACTAAGCAGCCTCCTGCCTCCCCTTCCTTCTAACTTCCCAAGCTGGTCATGGAGCTCTGTGCACGGCACCCCACATCCTCGTCTGCTCCTGTGACTCCTACCCTGGCTCAGCCTCTCCCTGAAGTTGGCTTGACCCACACTAGATTCCAGAATGAGTCTCCAAACCTCCAGGCTGACAGTCCCTCCCTAGCTCCAAACTATGCTGTGACCATGACCTCACACGGAGGGCCACCTGGCCAGGCTCTCAAGGCCTCCATGCTGTGACCATGACCTCACGTGGAGGGCCACCTGGCCAGGCTCTCAAGGCCCCCATGCTGTGACCACAACCTCACATGGAGGGCCACCTGGCCAGGCTCTCAAGGCCTCCATGCTGTGACCATGACCTCACGTGGAGGGCCACCTGGCCAGGCACTCAAGGCCCCCATGCTGTGACCATGACCTCACGTGGAGGGCCACCTGGCCAGGCTCTCAAGGCCTCCATGCTGTGACTATGACCTCACGTGGACAGCCACCTGGCCAGGCTCTCAAGGCCTCTTCAGTCTACCGGTCAACCTCTTCGACCAGAATTTCTCCACCTTGGCAAGACTGAGCTCTGAGGCCCAATGGCAGTGGCAGGGCAGCATCCCTGGCCTCCACTCACTAGATGCCAAGAGCATCCCCTTGCTGTGACAAGCCAAAACCTCTCTTGACATTGCCCAGCGTCGCCTGGGCACCTCAATCACCAGACAGAACCATGCGTCTAAACATGAGTCAAGCAACTCATCCCCACCCACAGCAAGCCAGGCGCAATGTCTAGTGAACGAAGGACACTGCAGGGGCATGGCCTGACCAGGGGCCTCTGGCACCGCGCCCAGTGTGGCCTCAACACAGGTGTCTCCCTAAGCGTTTCTGGTGCTCTCAAAGGAGCTGAGTGGGACTGGGCCTTGTCCTGGTAGACCAGAGGCTGTCTAGATGGTCTCTATGGTGGGAGCACAGCGACAAGCTGAGAAAGCAGAGACCTCAGGGTTCTGAGGAAGCCCAGGGCAAGGAGTGAACTAGGGGGTCCAGGCAGGAGAGAACAGGAGGAAGAGACACACAGATGGGGTGGAGAAGAGGCCCCAGAGGCAGTGAGCTGGGAACAGTGGGGAGAGGGAGAGGAGTGACCCGGAACACAGAGGTGACCAACAAGGAGAGCAAGAGGAACTGGAGAGGGGAGGGCTGAATGGAGAAAGATGATGGGGAAGCAAGGACCAGGACAAGGGTTGGGGGCTGGGGGAGGCCTGCGGCCAGGAGCTGGTCTGAGGGGCGGTGCGAGGCGGAAGGATGGGAAGAGCAAAGGCAGAAGGGAGCTTGGCACCACATACGTTTTGATCATGGCCTTGAGGGCGACCTTGCGCTCCCGATCTGCAAACTTGTCCACGAGGTAGCCAGACATGCAGGGTGCATGGCAGTAGAGCCGGAAAAAGCGGTGGTAGTTGCCCAGGGCCCAGGCTGTCCTTAATGCCAAGGCGTGGGCCACGCAAGGATCTGCCTTCAGTTCTCGTGTGAGGTATGCCAGCTCCGTGGTGATGTCTAGCACCAAGACAAAGAGGGTGAAGTCAGCAGGGCTCAACCCTGGGTACCATGGCCTCTGTCCTGGGGACTGGGCCTCACCTCCCGAGTTCTTGGTGAAGATGTAGTAGAGGATTCGGTAGGCAGTAAACTCGCCCACATTGCCAGGCAAGTTCTCGGCGTACAGCGACTTGAGCTGCGTCTGGCACTGGTTAAACTCTTCATGGTCACCCTGGAAGGCAGAGGCACCGAGGGAGGAGAGCAGAGTGAGGGTGCTGAGGGCAGAACGGCAGCAGGAAAGGGGCTGGGGAGGCCCGCAGAGGCCAGCTCACCTTCTCCAAGGCGATCCGGGCATGGGTCTCGTACACCTCCACCGTGAACTCGGTGCGGATGCCCTGCACCTGGGGCAGCGGGGCGAGAACAAGAGTCACAAGGAGCGGGAGGCAGGACTGGCTGAGGCCAGGCCCCTCCCAGCGCGAGTCTCACCGTCAGATCCTGCCGGATCGACTTCATCTGCTCGCAGGCAAACGCGTAGTCCTGCTTCTCTTTCCAGTGGCACTTGACCATGCACAGCGACTTTTTCAAAACCTGAAAAAGGGAACTGAATTCACACTCGGAGTACAACTCAGGTAGCGTGGCCAACGGCTTCCACTTATTTGGTGGGAGAGTTGCAACATTAAAAAAAGAAAAAAAAGGCCAGGCGCAGTGGCTCACGCCTGTAATCCCAGCACTTTGGGAGGCCGAGGTGTGTGGATCATCTGAGGTCAGGAGTTTGAGACCAACCTGGCCAACATGGTGAAACCCCGTCTCTACTAAAAATACAAAAATCAGCCAGGCGTAGTGGCAGACGCCTGTAATCCCAGCCACTAGGGAGGCTGAGGCAGGAGAATCGCTTGAAGCCGGGGAGCGGAGGCTGCGGTGAGCCAAGATCACGCCATTGCACTCCAGCTTGGGCGACAGAGCCAGACTCTCTCCCAAAAAAAGAGAAAACAAACCCACAAGACATGGGTTAAGAGTGGCCACCTCCACACCCATTTCCCTATAAGCACATGGCTGTTCACAGGTTCTGCAGCAGAACAGTGACTACGCCAAACACTGGAAGCACAGCCCCCCACGCCCCACAGCCCACGGGCCTGGGAGAAGGCTTTATGCTCCGTGTCACCTAAGCCAGGAACCACGGCCCAGAGGTCAAGCGATTCGCCGGCCAAGCTGCACACCCGCCACGCGGGGCTCCAGGGCAGCAGAGCGCCTTTGCGCTCCTCTCAGAACGCCGACCAGCCGAGGCGTCTCTGGCCGAGCTTCCCCTGCCATACCAGAGCCCCCGTGTGGCCTCTGCCACCCTCCCTGGGTTGGCTCCCCAAGTCCTGAGCCAGCACGGCCTCACAGAGCAGAACTGCCCTGCTGGGCACTTACTGCCACAGGGCGCACGGTGGACGGGTCGGGGGCACAGGTGAGGCGCAGGTAGTGCTTGGTGATGTCAGGGCAGGTGCCCACGATCTGCAGCTCCTGCCAGTCAGGGTCAGCCCCACTGCTCTCCAGGCTGCTCATCTGCAGCACCAGGGGCTCGAGGCGCAGGCGGCGGGAGTGTCCGTGCTGGAAGCGGGCTGCCCGCTTCTGCTTCTTCAGCTCTCGCTCCGGGTCCTCACACTCCAGCGCCGCCATCTTCTTTCGACTGCGCTTGGTGGGCGCCAGATCGTGCCTAGGAAGGGATGAGGGGCAGTGAGCGCGACAGGCGTCTCCAGCCCCCCTTCAGCCTCGCCCCTTTGGCAGCTGGCTGTCCACCTGTCCGGCCCTCCTCCTCCTTCTCCCATGGGTCCCCAGTACCCTCCTCCACCCTGGCCCGTGTGTCGAGCCCTCACACAGTCTCACCTCTTCCCACGCTGCGCCCTGCCTCGGCCCCGATCCATATGGGCCCCTCGACCGCCCCGGCCCTTAGGGGGCGGGTTCCTGCGGCCCACAGGGTGACACTCATTCCCTGAGTAGGAGCTGTCGGAGTCTGAGTGGGAGTCACTGCAGGAAGAAGCAGGAGGGTCAGGCCTGAAACGCCTCCCCCTCCCTCACACACAGCCCCAGCCGGGAGCCTCAGTACCTTCTGCGGAAGTGGCGCGTCGGGGACCTGGAGGAGGAGCGGGAGCGGGAGTCTGTGCTGGAAGAAGAGCTGTTGTCCTTCATGAAGACGTTGCGGTTGCCAAACTTGGTGAAGCTGTTGCCCCGGGCTCGACCGGCACCCCCAGCCCCGGGCGTCCCTCGCTGGGACGGGGCACCCCCGCCCCTTGTCGCCGAGCCTGCCCCTCTAGGAGGGTGAAGGCTGCTAGCGGCCTCCCACCGCTTCTTCTTAGGGCTCTCAGCCACAGGCTCCCGGGTCAGCCTGAGAATACAGCAGGGCAGGGCGTCACCAACCCCGCCAGACACTGGCAGGACAGCCGCCACCACCTCCCTCAAGGTACCGACCCGCCTCCGAAAGGAAAGGCACTTACCCCAGGCGGCTCAGCTACTACAGTGCAGAAATGAGACGCGAACCCAGGTTTTCCGTCTCCAGAGGGTGCGCTTAACCACTGAGCAATGCACGCCTCTCCAGCACCCATGGTCCCCACCCCACCCCACCGGCCTCCCTCCAACCAGGACTTCATCCCCCCAGGATCCAACTTTCCGGTTCATTTCTCTTTGGAGCTCCTGGTACCTGGGACCCGCAACTCTCCTACCTCCATACCCAGCCCATGCCTCTCACAGCACCACCCTCCCACCTATGTCCCCCACCCAGACTAACCCCGGCAAGGGCTCCCGGCTCCAGTCAATGGTATAGGCCGAGCCGTCCTGCAGCCGCGCCTGCAGCACCTCCTTGAGCAGCTTTTCCGTGCGGTCCTTGTCCTCCTCCGACTCACAGGCGGTGAAGCAGCGCTCCACATACTCTTTCATGTCCTGGGGCCAGTCATCGGGCTTCCCAGACAGGTTCCCCCGGGCAGAGGACCCGCTGCGGGAGGACAGATGAGGGGCTCAGCTGGAGACGATCCCAAACTCAAAAGACCATCCCCACCGCCACTCTGAGCTGACACAGCGGGACGCAGTCCCCAAGTTTTCCTTCTGTCTCCTTCAGTGCTCACAGCAACCCCCAAGAGAGGGTCCTTCTGCCCTTTTCAGAGGCGCACACTGAGGCTCAGGGTGGGCAGCTGGCCAGTGGGACTGGACCATAGACGCTGAGTGCAGAGTGTGGGGCTGCGACGGGGCAAGGGGGCAGACGTCACCTGTGGTTCTGAACTTTCTCAGGGTTGGGCTGGGGGCCAAAACCACTGTGCTGGCCCTCTGCGTTGGAGCCAAAGCTCTGGGTGGTAACAGCAAAGGGTCGCTTCTGGATGTTGAACTTGAGACCTCCAGTCCCAGGGGCGGCTGTGAGGGCAGCGAAAGCTATGGTTAGGCCCTTCCCCGGCACATCCAGGGGTCCCCAGGGGACGGGAGGAAGTGGAAATGCAGGGAGGAGCGCTCAGGTTCTAGAGGAGGGCTCCAGCACACATGTGCCTGGTCCAGAGCAGCCCCACCCCCAGCCTGGCGATCACAACACCCAGAAACAAGGAGCAGCACACACCACGGGCCTCACACCCAGGAGCTCTTGTGAGGGCCCAACCGCTCCGACCTCCACGTAGCTCTGCCAACTTACGCTTCATGCGGTTCCACAGCTGTTGGCCCTTCTTGGGCTTGGCAGGTTCGGTGTAGGTGTGTGGCCCATAGGCCTGGCCCGTGGCGGGCCCCGCCTGGCTGTGCTGTGTGGCTGGAGCTGTCCCAGGCTGAGGGCCACTGTTCAGCGTGTGAGCCCCATGTGGGGGATTTGAGGGCTGAGGGGGCTGAGCCGACGGCAGCTGCTGAGGGGGAGCCTGGTAGGACATGCTCTCATCCATGCCGGGGACTGGGGGCTGCAGAAGGAAGCAGGCGCTGAGCACGGGAGGCAGATTCTGGGGCTGGCGAGTGGCACTCAGCCCTCGCTGTGAGGACGCGGTGGTCACAGCACTCAGCACTCAACCCTCCCGTGACCTTCCCAAATGTGAGTTCATTCGAGTCCTCAGTAACTCTGTGAGGTTAACATTTGTTAACAGCCCTTTTCACAGCTGACAAGGCTCCAGCTCAGAGACTAAGCGACTTCCCAGGGCCCTAAGCTATGAAGCGGCAGCTGGCAGCGTTTCAATGCTGGAGTAACAGCCACCGACAACACACCCACTCCAGCGCTACCATCTGAGCACAAGACACCCATGAGCACACACACTCATGGAGCCCAAGGATGAGGCTACCATCCTTCCCGCTTTCGAGAGCTGACCGAGATGCGTAATTACACCAGGGGTGGGACAGCTGGGATTCAAACCCAGGTCTACCTGCCTCCTGTGCACTAGCCCGGCCATTCCTCCAAGCTGCACATTCAATGCAAAACCCAGCCGGTGTGTGCACGCCTGTGGGTGACCATGCTAGGGAAAAAGATGAGATGTCTTTCAACATCTCAGCCCTGGCCTTGGCTCAGCCTTAAACCCACCCCAGGTTCAAACACTATGCTCTGTCCTCCTCATTTTCAGATCAGGAGTTGCTTGGAAGGAAAAAAGCAGCTTAAGGAGTACAAGCCATTCCTCATTGACAGCTCATTCAAAAATCTACACTTCCTCTGCTTGAGCAGGGTATGGGAGCTGGGCTAGGATGTTACCTGGTTCAGAGTCCCTTGGTGTTGGGGTGCGGATGGCTGCTGGGGTGTGGCTGAGCCATAGGAGCCGGCCATCCCATACTGGGAAGGGGAGCCATAGCTCTGGTACATGCTCTGCAAAGGCGCAGGGAGGGAGGGTTTAGTGGGAGGCCTACCCTTTCCGCTTCCCCAGCCTGCTCAGGAACTACACCAGCCATGACCCTCTACCAATCCCTCACCCCTTTCTCTCTCCACTATATTAATGCACCACATCCTCTCATATATTAGGAAAAGAAAAACCTCTATCAATCCCACATCTCACTTAGCTAGTTCTCGGAAGAATATAATCAACGATACTGAGTGCCAACTCTTCTAAGCACTACGACAGAACAAAAGGAAAACCCATGCTGTAATGAAGCTTGTGCTGGAATTACATGTCCGGCTGGAGACATCAACATGTAATACATCCAGCAATAAGGATCATGAAACAATAAGATGGCAAAGAAAGGGAGAGGGACAGGCTGCGAGGCAGGAATGCTACTTTCAATCAGTGTGTCAGGTAGAGGCTCTCTGAAGGCGGCATCTGAGCAGAGACCTCCAAGAGGCGGCAACACAGGGAGCACTGCAGCCAGGGCAAAGCGAGAGCGGGCCTGGCGGGTGCGGGCATCAAGGAGGTCTCTGCTTCGATGGCCATGGCAGAATGAGCATGAGGAGAGAAGGGACCAGAACCGGGTATGTAGGACCTTGTGGCTCATGGCGGGGACCTAGGAATTTACCTCCTGGGCAAGTTAGAGGGTTTCTGAGCAGTTATCACTGCGATCTCCAGTCCATCCACCACCCGGCCCCATCCCGGCAGACTCCACTTCACCTCGCCCCGACCCAGCAGACTCCACCTCGCCCTGCCCCGCCCCACTGGCTGGGCACTCACCATGGGATAGTAGTAGCTGTAGGGGTAGGCATAGTTGTACTGCTGGTACCACTGGTAGTACTGCTGCTGCTGCAAAGCTGAGGCTTCTGCCTGGGACACGTACTGTGGAAGCAGAGAGGCACATGTGCCGTCAGCAGCCCAAATCCACAGGCACACGGCCCCCAAAGGGCAAGCCTGTTTACTGGTGGCCAATTGCCAAGGGATGAAACTGGGTCCATGTATCTGCAAAGTGAGCCACTGTCTCTACCATGAGACTCACGCACGTTAGAGACCAGGGGCATGGGCATGGCCTCCCTCTTCAGAACCACATCACGCCCTAATTTCCTCAAGGAAACAGAACTTTTTCCCGTTCAGATTTAGATACCCTGGAACGTCTTTTTATGTTTCCCCTCAGAGCACCCCGTCTGAATGATACAACAGGACGCCAGACTGTGTCCCTCCCACAACCTCTGGCTCAGGGTACCCCAGCCCCATGAGGCCTTCTCACCTGTGCACTGGCCACAGGCCCATTGCTGCTGGACTTGGCAGAGCCGCCGGCAGCTCCTGACTTGCTGATGCTGGCCAGGGCCTGACGGGCCTTCTCCCACTCCGGGTTCTCGTGCATCGGCGTCTCCATGCCATTCTCTCGGCCTGCCCCAGCCACCATGCTGTACTGAGAAGACCTGCAGAGAGAGAGGACATCAAGTCACACCTGTTCTCCCCACTGTACACAGGTGGGCAAGTTGGGAGGCAAATTCCAGCCCCTGGATCCCATATCTAACTGTTACTACCAGTCTAAGCCTAAGTTTTCTAATCTGTACTATGCTGATAAAGGGTTTCTGCTTCAGAGTCTGCTGGGAGGGATAAATGAGATCACCTACTTAAGGTACTTATCCCAGAGCCTGGCACACAGCAGTTGTTAAAACCAAACAAACAAAACAATTAACAGAACCCACAGAACTGAACACAGGCCCTGGCACCTCCTAGGGCTATGTCTTTCATGAATCAATGAATTCTGTCTGACATCACCCCAGTCGGCAGGTTATCACACTATTTTGAGAAAAAATAAGGAATCAGCAGAAAAACAAATAAATGACTGTGTATTGAGTGTTGGGAAGCTGCCTCCTAATTACACTTGCTTGAATGAATCATCACAATTCTGCAAAGCAAGCGCTGTACTGTGAAAAACGAAAGCTCAGAGAGGTGAAAGCTTGCCCCTCTCCACACCACAACCAAATGCTTCCCTCTGTGTTTGCCTTACCACCACCCCCACCCACAGGGATTGTGGCATCACCTCCCCTAAGGCCACGGGAGGTCCCACCCCAGAGGACAGCACTGGGTCTTGCTTCCTCTTTCCCTCCCGACTGGCCTCCGTCCCTCTCGCCTCACTAACCAATCTGTGCTACGTTGATCACCCACGTTGGCCGCCATCTGGACCTTGGGGTATAAGGGGTGGACCTCGGGAGCCAGACTGCTTTTTCACTGCCTATGAGAAAAAGAATGAGTTAGGGAGACTTAAGGGGGAGCTAAAAACACGTCACAAAGTGGGGAAGAAAAGTAGATGGACTCAAGAGAAGCTGGGCAGAAAAGGGGAGGCTGACTGAAAAGCCACTGGGGTCAAGGATCTGAAGAGTTCTGGGTGTGGACTAGAAAGGCTGGAGTGAGGGGAAGCCCCTGGCCCCTTTGTAGAGCTCCAGGTGGAAAACGAAGGATTTGGAAACAGGGAAGCCAGAGCAGACTTCCCAAAGGAAAGGAGAAGGGTCTGAAACCCATGTGAGCAAAGAGAGGCTGTGATGAAAGGTCCAGAGGGTAGGGGTGCCTCCATCAAGGGGAAAAGGTCTACAAAAAATTCTAGGGGCCAGGCGCGGTGGCTCACGCCTGTAATCCCAGCACTTTGAGAGGCCAAGGCGGGCAGGTCACCTGAGGTCGGGAGTTCGAGACCAGCCTAACCAACATGGAGTAACCACGTCTCTACTAAAAATACCAAATTAGCTGGGCATGGTGGCATATGCCTGTAATCCCAGCTACTAGGGAGGCCGAGGCAGGAGAATCGCTTGAACACGGGAGGTGGAGGGCGGTAAGCTGAGACTGCGCCATTGCTCTCCAGCCTGGGCAACAAGAGCGAAACTCTGTCTCAAAAAAAAAAAAAAAAAAAAGCTAAGGAGTACGGGTTGTGAAAGGAACCTGAACCAAGAGGATGGATGCTATAATGAGAAGAGTCTGAGGGAACCCTTAAGGCTGAGAGGGTGGAAAGGTTTCCGAGAACTCTGTGAAAAGGGAGGCCTTTCAGGGAGCATCGAGGGGGCTGGAAGAATATTGGAGAAGAGAAGAAAATTTTGAGAGGAAAAGGGGATTTTCCGGAAGTTAACCCTGGAAGCAAGTGGTCGTTGAGCGCTCCTGAGAATGCCAACGTGAACCCCAACGTGAAGAAATGGGTTCTTAGCACTGACAGACTGATTTCAAAAAGGTCTCCGAAGGGCAGTAAAGAGACCTACGTGGGAGTCCTCAGTGGGACTACCCCTGCCTGCTTCCACGGGAGGTTCCCGGAAGCAGGGGTAGGGCTGGGAGAGAAAAGGGATCACCTTGGTTGGGTGTCTGGACATAAAGCTTTGGGAATGCCAAAGAAGACCCAAAACATGTTCAACGAATTAAGAGTGGGGTACAGAGAGAATTGGAAGAAAAGTGGAGTGTCTCCGGAGCAAGGATTCAGGAGCCTAAACTCCCGAGAGAGAGTAACTGATAAGTAGGATAATTAATCCCGCAGGAGAACCGGAATTCTCACGAGTTGACGGGATAGGAACGGGAGTCTGGAGCTGGGGAAAAGCCCTAGAAACGCAAAGGCTTAACTTAAACAGGACACAGGGCGTGGGTGGAGACGAGGGATCGTGGCGGGGACACAGGAAGAGGAGCCCCAGGGCAGAAGGGAGATTAGAGGTAAGGTCAGGAGTTGGGGGCTGGACAGAGGACTCCCAGACGGGTCTCAAGAACAGAGACAGGCATCAGACGCGAGGCCTGAGGTCCCGGGAGCACCTGGCCGTCCCGCAGGCTGGGCGAAGGCAAAGGAGGACGCCGGGTGGAGGAGGCCGCTCGGATCCCCACGACTAGCCACGGAGCCACTGCCCAGGCCGCGCCTGCGCACCACGCCCCAGAAAGACGCGCAGGAGCCGCCCGTCGCCCGGGGCAACACCCGGTCAACGGCGAGTGAGGGGCGCCCCGGGGCCCCGAGAACTCCAAGGGAGAGGAACGGAAAGTAGAAGACGACGGCGCACGCGCGCTAGTGCCCGAACGCGCGGCCCCAGGCCCGGTGCGCAGGCGCAGTGGCTGCCCCTGCGCCGCCACACCCTGTCGACGCTCGCGCGCGGCGTCTGCTGCTGCGACGGCCGAGAAGGCCTCGGGGCTCGCGGGGCGCAAGACCAAAAGGAGATGCTATCCCCGCCCGCCTGCTCGCCCGCCGCTCCCCTTACCAACCAGGATCCTTCGCTGCAGGGACACGCCAACAACCACCCAGGCGATCAGCAACACGGCCACGA
The DNA here is from genome assembly GCF_000001405.40 of Homo sapiens. NCBI lineage: Eukaryota > Metazoa > Chordata > Mammalia > Primates > Hominidae > Homo > Homo sapiens. Next base: position 431,536 of record NT_187693.1, on the reverse strand, counting down.
CACCGCTGTGCCACCCGGCTGGCTCTGGTCTTCTTTGGCTTCGACGTCCTGACCGCGGCGTCCTGACGTCACGCGGCGGCCTTGCACCGCCTCCCTCGGCCCTGCACAGCCAATGAACGCCACGAGCTGCGCTTGAGCCCGCCTTCCTGCCCACGCACTTACGCATGAACATTTTAAGGCAGACCGGAAGTCTGGGTGGGGACGGTGGCCCCGAGGGGACAAGCGTGGCCGCATTAGCTCTTTCTGCCTCCCACGCAGCCTTATTTTTTTTATTGTTGTTTTCTTGTTGCTGTTGTTGTTGTTCTCGGAGACGGAGTCTTGCTCTTGCTCTGTCGTCGCCCACGATAGAGTACAGTGGCGTGATCTCTGCTCACTGCAACCTCCGCCTCCTGGGTTCAAACAATTCTGCCTCAGCCTCCGGAGTAGCTGGGATTACAGGCGCGCGCCACTATGCCCGGCTAATTTTTGTGTTTTTAGTAAAGACGGGGTTTCACCATGTCGGCCAGGCTGTTCTCGAACTCCTGACCTCGTGATCCCTCCGTCTCGGCTTCCCAAAGTGCTGGGATTACGGGCGTGAGCCACCGTGCCCGGCCGCAGCCTTGTTTTGACTGAGTCAGTGGGAGCCATTACTGTTCCTAAATGTAAACTGGCGTGACAGGAGTTCCGGGATTGTCCACAGCACGGTGATGTGGAAGCCCTGGGGAGAGAATGATAAAGAAAGGGGATGAGGAACAGCTCCACCCGGAAGAGCGGGCTTCCCTAGCAAATGAATCTGGAAGGGCGCAGGGGAGGGGGCACGGCGAGTTCAGATGGACCGAGGCTGGAAGCTGACGCGGTTGGAGGGGGATGGGTGTAGCTGTTGGCAGTGGCGCTGGGGTGGAAGTGTGTGGGGTCACAGATGTGTAAGGGTGGGCGCGGAGCAGACCCCCGAAGGTCCCTGAGGTCAGGCTGAGGCATTGGACCAAATCCGTACATAGGCATTTCTCTGAACTGCGCGCCACCTTTTGAGTGCCATCTGTTTCCGTCCAGGACTCTGATACAACTATCCAGTCCGCTGCAGGGACCGGTCACTGCGTCACAGTAAGTGGTGGGATTTAAGAGGCAGTTTTCCTCCTCATGTTCTACCATTATGAACGTCTAGCTTGAAAAATACATACCATTTTCATAACTACGTATTATTTTGTTAGTGCTAGCATAGTAGATCTTTTTCCGTTATTTTACTCTGTGGGGGGGGGGGGGTTTGTTTTGTTTTTGTTTTTGTTTTCTTTTTGGTACTAAGCTTTTTGTTCTGGAATAATTTTGGATTTATTCAAAACGTTGCAAAGACCGGGCGCGCTGGCTCACGCCTGTAATCCCAACACTTTGGGAGGCCGAGATGGGTGGATCACCTGGGGTCAGGAGTTCAAGATCAGCCTGGCCAACATGGTGAAGTCCCGTCTCTACTAAAAATACAGAAATTAGCTGGGCGTGGTGGCGCGTGCACCTGTAATCCCGGCTACTCGGGAGGCTGAGGCAGGAGAATCGCTTGAACCCAGGAGGCCAAGGTTGCAGTGAGCCGAGGTTACACCATTGCACTCCAGCCTGGGCAACAAGAGTGAAATTCTTGTCTCAAAAAAAAAAAAAAGAAAAGTTGCAAAGATCATACGCAGTCCACCATGTTTTATGCTCAGTTTCTTCTGATGCTGTCATCACAAGCACCAACAAAAGTGGTTTGTTGTAGATACTGACATGATGCATTACTGTAACTAAAACCCAGACTTTACTGGGATTTCACCACCTTTTCCTCCAATGTTTTCTTTACATGCCAGGGTACAAGCCAGGACCCACGTTCCATTTAGCTTCCTTTTACCTGTTGTATTTAGGGTGGGTTTCTTGTAGATAGCATGTAGTTGGATCTTGCTTTTTTTTGCCCAAGCGAACAGTCTCTGCCTTTTAAAAGAGGTGTTTATAACTGTACTTTTATTTTTTATGTCTTATTCTTTAGCATTCTGTACACAGACACAGCGATAAAATGAAATGACTGGAACTTAAATGTGAAAACTCTTTACAAGTAAGCCCACAATTAGATACATTTATCTTACATGTCAGGGAAAAAAATTATGTAAACAGGACAAATTATATCACAAAAGAATCCCAAAGTAGAAAAAATACCTAAGAAATGTGTCTAACCATGAAAAGTACTGTTCTCTTGGTGTCTTCACATCGTGTCTTCTGTGTACTTAAGTACAAAACATTGTTGCCTCTGATTAATGCACCCTGTACTTATTTTTCTGTTGTCCAGTTACATATTTGGTTGGTTCCAGGGCTATGTTCATGTAGCCATCCAGGCAAACCAGCACCCCTCCCTTAATCCACTTCAGAATTTTACCCCAACTGTCTGATGATGTGCTCTAAGAAGTCACTAGGGGATTGCTTTTCTTAAAAAATCTATTATTATTATTATTTTTTGAGACGGCTCTGTCGCCCAGGCTGGAGTGCAGTAGCACGATCTCAGCTCACTGCAACCTTTGCCTCCCAGGTTCAAGCAATTCTCTTTACAGGCGTGCACCACCACACCCAGCTAATTTTTGTATTTTTAGTGAAGACGGGGTTTCACAGTATCTGGAATTCCGGACCTCAGGTGACCCGCCCGCCTCTGCCTCCCAAAGTGCCGGGATTACAGGCATGAGCCACTGCGCCTGGCCAGTAGGGGGTTGCTTCTGAAAACTTATTTTAATAATCTTGGGTAGGCCAGGCGCGGTGGCTCATGCGTGTGATCCTAGCACTTTGGGAGGCCGAGGCGTGTGGATCACCTGAGGTCAGGAGTTCAAGACCAGCCTGGCCAACATGGCGAAACCCCGTCTCTACTAAAAATACAGAAAAATTAGCCGGGCATGGTGGCGCATGCCTGTAATCCCAGTTACTCATGAGGCTGAGGCAGGAGAATCGCTAGAACCCTGGGGGTGGAGGTTGCAGTGAGCCCAGATCATGCCATTGCACTCCAGCCTGGGAGACAGAGCGAAACTCTGTTTCAAAAAATAATAATCTTGGGGGGCAGGAAACCTAAGTCATAATCCCGGCTCTTTTACTTAACCAGCCGTATGACTTGGAAAACTCGTTTCCCTTCTCTCGGCTCCAGATTCCTCATCTTGCAGCTGGGATCCAGAGCTCTCACTCCAGGAGCCCAGTCACAGCAAAAACCAAAACTGTACTTTTTTTTTTTTTTTGAGACAGGGTTTCTCATTCTGTCACCCAGGCTGGAGTGCAATGATGTGATCTCTGTCTCAGCCCACAGCAGCTTCAACCTCCCAGGCTCAAGTGATCCTCCTGCCTCAGCTACGCAGTGTATGGTATTTTGTTACAACAACCAGAATGTAGTAAGACATTTATTGAAGGATATCTTGGTTCCTTCCAAGTTTTTGGCAGTGATAAAGAAAGCTGCCATAAACGTGCACGTGCAGATTTCTTTGTGGGCAGAAGTTTTCAACCCATCTGTGTAAATACTGGGGAGCAGTGTTGCTGGTTCATATTCTAAGAGTATGTTTAGGATTATGAGAGACCACCACACTGTCCTCCAAAGTAGCTGTACCATTCTGCATTGCCAGCACCAATGAAGAAGGGTTTCTGTTGCTCCACATTTCTGCCAGCATTTGGTGGTGCCAGCATTTTGGATTTGGCATTCTAATAGGTATGTAGTGGTGTCTTGTTTTTTTTTTGTTTTTTTGAGACAGAGTCTCACTCTGTCTTCCAGGCTAGAGTGCAGTGGCATGGTCTCGGCTCACTGCAACCTCCGCCTCCTGGGTTCAAGCGATTCTCCTGCCTCAGCCTCCCGAGTAGCTGGGACTACAGGCGTGCGCCACCACGCCCAGCTAATTTTTGTATTTTTAGTAGAAACGGGGTTTCACCATGTTGGCCAGGATGATCTCGATCTCTTGACCTCGTGATCCACCTGCCTTGGCCTTCCAAAGTGCTGGGATTACAGGTGTGAGCCCCCGCGCCCGGCCAGTGGTGTCTTGTTTTAATGGACGGTTCCCTAATGACATACGGTGAACATCTTTTCCTGTGTTTATTTGCCATCTGTATTAGGGTTCTCCAGAGGGCCAGAACTAACAGGATATATGTATATATTGAAAGGGAGTATATTAGGGAGAACTGGCTGACAGGATCATCAGGCAAAGTCCCACTATAGTCCATCTGCAAGCTGAGGAAGGAAGAAGCCAGTCACGTCTCAAAGTCCAAAAGCCTCAAAAGTAGGGAAGCCAACGGCGCAGCCTTCAGTCTGTGGCGGAAGGCCTAAGAGTCCCCGACAAACCACTGGTGGAAGTTCAAGAGTCCAAAGGCCAAAGAACCTGGAGTCTAATCTCCAAAGACAGGAAGTATCCAGCACAGGAGAAAGATGAAAGCCAGAAGACTCAGCAAGCCAGCCCCTCCCACCTTCTGCGCTGACTGGATGGTGCCCACCCACACTGAGAGTGGGTCTCCCTCTCCCCGTCCACTCACTCAAGTGTCAGCCTCCCTGGCAACACCCTCACAGACACACCCAGAAACAATCCTTTTTTTTTTTTTTTTTTTTTTTTTTTTTTTTTTTTTTGAGACCGAGTCTCACTCTGTCACCCAGGTTGGAGTGCAGTGGCACCATCTCGGCTCACTCCAACCTCCGCCTCCCGGGTTCAAGCAATTCTTCTGCCTCAGCCTCCCGAGTAGCTGGGACTACAGGCACGTGCCATCATGCTGGCTAATTTTTGTATTTTTAGTACAGGGTTTCACCATATTGGCCAGGCTGGTCTCAAATTCCTGCCCGTCTTGGCCTCCCAAAGTGCTGGGATTACAGGTGTAAGCCACCATGCCTGGCCCCTTTTCCTATTTTTTAATCAGATTGTTTTCCTGTTAACTGAGTTTTAAGAGCCCTTTGTAAATCTTGGATAGCAGTCCTTCATGAGATAGGTCTCTTGCAAATAGTTTCTCCCAGGCTGCAGCTTTTCTCATTATATTAAAAATGTTTTTCAAAGAGCAGAGGGTTTTGTTTTGTTTTGTTTTTTGAGATGGAGTCTCGCTCTGTCGCCCAGTCTGGAGTGCAGTGGCGTGATCTCGGCTCACTGCAAGCTCCGCCTCCCGGGTTCACGCCATTCTCCTGCCTCAGCCTCCTGAGTAGCTGGGACTACAGGCACCTGCCACCACACCTGGCTAATTTTTTGTATTTTTAGTAGAGATGGGGCTTCACCGTGTTAGCCAGGATGGTCTCGATCTCCTGACCTCGTGATCCGCCCGCTTCGGCCTCCCAAAGAGCTGGGATTACAGGCGTGAGCCACCACGCCTGGCCTAGCAGAGGGGTTTTTTTATTATTATTTTAATAAAGTCAAGCTTGTAAGTTTCTTTCATGGATCATGCCTTTGATGTTGTATCAAAAAAATTATCACGGCTGGGCGTGGTGGCTCACAGCTGTCATCCCAGTATTTTGGGAAGCCGAGGTGAGTGGATCACTTGAGGCCAGGAGTTTGAGACCAGCCTGGCCAACGTGGCAAAACCCCATCTCTACTAAAAATACAAAAATTAGCCGGGCGTGGTGGCGCACACCTGTAATTCCAGCTACTCAGGAGGCTGAGGCATGAGAATCACTTGAACCCAGGAGGCAGAGGTTGCAGTGAGCCAAGATTCTGCCAGTGCACTCCAGCCTGGGCGACAGAGTGAGACTCTTGTCTCAAAAAAAAAAATTCACAAAACCCAGTCATGTAGGTTTTCTCCTATGTTATCTTCTAGGAGTTTTATAGATTTGCATTTAACATTCAGCTCTATGATCCATTTTGAGTTAATTTTTGTGAAGAGACTAAGGTCTGTGTATAGATTTGATTTATTTATTTTTGGCATGTTGATGTCCAGTTGTTCTAGCACCATTTGTGGAGAGAAGTTTGGAAGTTTGAGCATTTTTTATGATACCTTTTTTTTTTTTTTAGACGGAGTCTCACTGTCATGCAGGCTGGAGTGCAGTGGCACAGTCTCGACTCACTGCAGCCTACTCCTCCCAGGTTCAAGCAGTTCTACTGCCTCAGCCTCCCAAGTAGCTGGGATTACAGGCGTGCACCACCACACCCAGCTCCTTTTTGCATTTTTAGTAGAGACAGGGTTTCACTATATTGGCTAGGCTGGTCTCAAACTCCTGACCTCGGGATCTGCCTGCCTTGGCCTCCCAAAGTGCTGGGATTACAGGTGTGAGCCACCACGCCCAGCCTTATGATACTGTTCTATCTCTGCTCTGTGCCCACCACCACACCCAGCTAATTTTTGTATTTTTTGGTAGAGACGGGGTTTCACCATGTTGGCCAGGCTGGTCTCGAACTCCTGACCTCAGGTGATACGCCTGCCTCAGCCTCCCAAAATGCTGGGATTACAGGTGTGAGCCACTGCGCCTGGCCTTGTCTTCACTTTTGTTTTTTTGGTTTTTTTTTTGAGAGGGAGTCTTGCTCTGTCGCCCAGTCTGGAGTGCAGTGGCGCGATCTCGGCTCACTGCAAGCTCCGCCTCCCGGGTTCACGCCATTCTCCTGCCTCAGCCGCCCGAGTAGCTGGGAATACAGGCGTCCACCACCACGCCCGGCTAATTTTTTGTATTTTTAGTAGAGACGGGGTTTCACTGTGTTAGCCAGGATGGTCTCGATCTCCTGACCTTGTGATCCGCCCGCCTCTGCCTCCCAAAGTGCTGGGATTACAGGTGTGAGCCACCGTGCCCGGCCCACTTTTGAAAAACAGTTTCAGTGAGTATCGAATTCTAGGTTGACTACTTTTTTCTTTTGCTACTTTAAGAATTTTCTTACACTGCTTTCTCACATTGTTTCCAGTGAGAAATCTGGTGTCATCCTAATTTTTGTTCCTCTGTTTATAAAATCTTTTTGTTTTTCATCTGGCTGTTGTCAAGATTTTCTCTTTGTTACTGGTCTTAAGAAATTTGATTATGATGTATCTTGGTTTATCTTTGTGTTTCTTCTGCTTGGGGTGTGTTGAGTTTCTTGTGTCTTTGGTTTTATAGTTTGTATCAAATTTGGGAAATTTGGGGTTATTATTTCTTTAAACACTCTCTCTGTTCCTTTCTTTCTCTCTCCTTATGGGCCTCCAGTTACACATATATTAAAATGTCCCACAGCTCACCAGTGTTCTTTTCATTAAAAAAAAATATATTCATTCCTTCTGGGGCAGGGCATGGTGGCTCATGCCTGTAATCCCAGCACTTTGGGAGGCCAAGGCAGTAGGATCACTTGAGCCCAGGAGTTTGAGACCACCCTGGGCAACATGGTGAGACCTCATCTCTACAGAAAATTTTTAAAGATTAGCCAAACATGGTGGTGTGCGCCTGTAGTCCCAGCTACTCGAGAGGCTAAAGTGGGAGGATCGCTTGAGCTGGAGAGGTTGAGGCTGCAGTGAGTCATGATCACGCCAGTGCACTCCAGCCTAGGTGACAGAGTGAGACCCTGTCTAAAAAGTAAAAAAAAAAAAATCATTTTTTTAAATGTTTCATTTGGACAGTTTCTAATGTTGTCTTCCAGATTTTTTTTTTTTTCCTGCAATGTCTAATCTGCTGTTCTAGGGCTGGGTGCAGTGGCTCGCACCTGTAATCCCAGCACTTTGGGAGGCCGAGGCTGGCAGATCATTTGAGGTCAGGAGTTTGAGACCAGCCTGGCCAACATGGTGAAAGCCCGTCTCTACTAAAAATACAAAAATTAGCTGGATGTGGTGGCAGGTGCCTGTAGTCTCAGCTACTTGGGAGGCTGAGGCATGAGAATTGCTTGAACCTGGGAGGTGGAAGTTGCAGTGAGCCTAGATCATGCCACTGCACTACAGCCTGGGCAACAGAGCAAGACTCTCCCCCAAAAAACAAAAATCTGCTGTTCCAGCCAGTACATTATTTATTTCAGACATTGTAATTTCTATCTGTTGATATCCAGTTTGAGTTTTTTTATATCTTCCGTATCTGTAAAGAACTTTTGGAACGTATGGAGTACAGTATAATAGTTGTTCTAATGTTCTTACCTACTAATTCTAACTCCTGGGTCCGTTTCAGTTGAATGATTTTTATCCTCATGATGTGCCCTATTTTCCTGCTTTTTGCATATTTGGTGACTTTGTTGTTGGATACTAGACAATATCAGTATTACCTTGTCGAGCACTCGTTACTTTTGTATGCCTATAAATATTCTTGAGCTTTGTTTGAGAATGCAGTCACCTTACTTGGAAGCAGCTTGATCCTTTCAGGTTTTGCTTTTAAGATTCCTCAGGCAGGACCAGAACAGTGTTTAACAGGTTAGGGCTGCTTATTCCCCACGGCTGATGTAAGACCCTCTCCGTGTTCTACCCAGTGTTCCTTCAGTTATGAGGTTCTTCTGGCAGGAACAGCGCCTTGTCAAGGCCTGTGTGAGTCCCCAGAACTCAGGCGCTATTTGCTTCAGTCCCTCCAGGTGGTTCTTTCCCTGGCATTCTAGTCTGCAGTAACAGAGGACCATGGACTGGTGGCTCAAAAACAACAAACACTTATTTCTCACAGTTCTGGAGGCTGGAAGTCCAAGATAATTTATTTTTATTTTTATTTATTTATTTTTTGAGATGGAGTCTCGCTCTGCTGCCCAGGCTGGAGTGCAATGGCGCGATCTTGGCTCACTGCAACCTTCGCCTCCCAGGTTCAAGAGATTCCCCTGCCTCAGGCTCCCGAGTAGCTGGGACTACAGGCACCCACCACTACACCCGGCGAATTTGTATATATTTAGTAGAGACAGGGTTTCACCATGTTGGCAAAGCTGGTCTCGAACACCTGAGTTCAGGTGATCTACCCACCTCGGTCTCCCAAAGTGCTGGGATTACAGGCGTGAGCCATCGCACCCGGCCCATAACTTCATTCTCAAAACAAAGCTCAAGAACAAAGCTCAGACTCCCTGCTTTGTCTCCTCTGCTCACGGAGTCCTCCCAGCTCCGCCTCAGTCTTCCCTCCCTGTCCCGTGGTCTAGAAACTTGCAACAGGACCCAGCGGCAATTTTAGGGCTTGCCTTGATGTTTCCCGTTCCTCAGGGATCACTTTCTTGGTAGAGTCTTGACCACTGTTGTTTTCTTGTATTTACTCTATTTTTGGGGGGTCAAGTCCAGTCTCTGTGACTCCATCCTGGTCGCAGTGGAAGCCCCCATAGGTAACATTCTAAAAATAACACTGGATTTTCCTTTTGTAAAGTTTGGGTAAAATGCCTTTTTTTTTTTTTTTTTTTTTTTTGAGACGGAGTCTTGCTCTGTCGCCCAGGCTGGAGTGCAGTGGCGCGATCTCGGCTCACTGCAAGCTCCGCATCCCGGGTTCAGGTGATTCTCCTGCCTCAGCCTCCTGAGTAGCTGGGATTGCAGGCGCCCGCCACCATGCCCAGCTAATTTTTGTGTTTAGTAGAGATGGGGTTTCACCGTGTTGGCCAGGCTGGTCTCAAACTCCTGACCTCAGGTGATCGCCTGCCCCAGCCTCCCACAGTGCTGGGATTACAGGCGTGAGCCAGGGTGCCCGGCCAACTTCTTGTTGAGAGATCACCCCCAGGCTCATTGGCATGGGAGATCAAGCAGCTGAGTCTCAAGGTACTTTGCAGCCGCCCAACAGCCAGCGGATGCCTGTGCTTGGGAAATGGGCTCAGGGGCACTAGAGGGCAGTGTTTGAGAGGAAAGAAGTCAGCATAGCAGCAGGGCCGGGCCTGGGGCAGACAGCCCACATGGTTAGGAAAAAGTGAGTGAACGCATGTGGCCCCCAGAACCCCTCCCTGAAATTGCAGTTGATTTTTATTCCCACCGTCAGGCCCACATATCTAAAGCTTCCTCTGAACGCTCCTTGCAGTACACAAAATAGAAATGATTGACAGGCACAGAGCAGCAGCAGGCCCCACGCTGTACACCAGCATCTGGCACTGTGGGTCACCAAGCACCAACTCGATCCCCTCGGAGCCAGGTGTGTGTTGAGATTCAGGATTTTTCAGTTGCAAAGGCAATATGATCTCTACTCCACAGGGCACACGGCACCCTCAGTGCTCAGCACAGCAGTGTGCAGCAGCCTGGTTAACTTTTCTGCAGGGAAGTATGTGAACGTTCACACCAAGCGTGTCAGTCATGTCTGTAAGTCATCTCCCACCAACACAGGTCAGGTTTTCCTGCCCAATGAGCTTGGGGATGGCTTGACTTTGGAGCTCTTTGGATCTGTGGATTTTGGAATTTTGGATTTCTGATACCCGTTTGATCAAAGAGGCAACCGAGGTCTAACGGGTCAAGTGACTTTCCCATATCCGTGAAGGTCATGAAAAGCAGGGCCAGGATGGTGGCCTGGGGTGCCTTGAATGATAAGCTGGGCCCTTCACTGTGCAGGCCCCTCTCCTTCAGTCCACTCTGCCACTGCTGTCTGCCACACCCTGCTCTGATAGCTCCTCTCTGCCAGGCTTTTCCCTCACATCCTCAACTCAGCCAAGAGCTGGTTTCTTCCAGAGAGCCCTGCTGTGCAGTCAGTTATTGGACTTCTCTTTTTGTGCATGTTTGTTTTCAGGGTTTAGCTGATCAAAGTGGTATCGTTGTAACAGGCAGCTCTAAATAGAAGTCTTCAGAAGCCTGTGTGTCTTTTTCTGTAAATCAATTCCCAAAAGCAGGATTGTTGGGGCATGGGGTGTATGCAGTTTTGATCTGATCACATACAAGCGCATTTTTTTTTTTTTTCAAGGGATGGTGGCAGCTCACAGCCTCAGGAGAAGTGTTTTGAGTGCCTGTTCCTCTAGGTCCTCGCCCGCCCAGGACATCACCACTCTTGTTAATTTCATTGTGTCTAGGTAGTGAAAAAGTGTAGTTTCTCATTCTTTCAAATTGCATTTCCCAATTATTAGAGTTTGAATCTTTTTGTCTGTTTACTGATGTTGGAATTTTTATTGAGTATTCAACTCAATTGATTACTTTTAAATGGGTTGTCTTTTTCTTAGTTTATGAAAGCTTTTGTAGATTATATCTTTTAAGAATAACATTTCTGCATCATAACTGTTAACATACACACACACACACACACACACACACACACACACACACGCACGCACACACTCACTGTTCCCCAGTCTGTCAATTTGCCATTTGACTTTACGGTATGTTTTTCAATCTATAATTTGCCAACTAAGCTATCTTTTCCTTTCTGGTTTTATGATCTCCTGCTTAAACTCCTCCCTCCCCATTTTCCCTACCCAGATACATGACATGCAGACAATATACAAATATTCTCCTAATTTCTCTGGTTTGTTTTGTTTTGTTTTGTTTTTTTCTGAGATGGAGTCTCACTTGATCTCCCAGGCTGGAGTACAGTGGTGCAACCTCCACCTCCCGGGTTCAAGCAATTCTCCTGCCTCAGCCTCCCGAGTAGCTGGGCTTACAGACCTGTGCCACCATGCCCAGCTAATTTTTTTTTTCTTTAAGTAGAGACGGGGTTTCACCATGTTGGCCACTCTGCTCTCAAACTCCTGGCCTCAAGGGATCCACCCACCTTGGCCTCTCAAAATGCTGGGATTACAGTCATGAGCCACCGCAGCCAGCCTCTCTCTGTTTTTTGTCTTTTTTTTTTTTTTTTTTTAAGAGGCAGGGTCTTGGCCGGGCGCGGTGGCTCACGCCTGTATTCCCAGCACTTTGGGAGGCCGAGACGGGCGGATCACGAGGTCAGGAGATCGAGACCATCTTGGCTAACACGGTGAAACCCCGTTTCTACTAAAAATACAAAAAATTAGCCGGACGTGTTGGCGGGCGCCTGTAGTCCCAGCTACTTGGGAGGCTGAGGCAGGAGAATGGCATGAACCTGGGAGGCGGAGCTTGCAGTGAGCCGAGATCGCGCCACTGCACTCCAACCTGGGTGACAGAGCGAGACTCCGTCTCAAAAACAAAAAAAAAAAAAAAAAAAGAGGCAGGGTCTTGCTCTGTTGCCCAGGCTGGAGTGCAGTGGCACGATCACAGCTCACTGCTACCTCGAAACGGGCTCAAGCAAGGAGTCTCAGCCTCCCGAGTAGCTGGAACCACAGGCATGCACCACCATGCCCACCCTCCTAATTTCTCTAGAAATTCTTCTGTGCCTTTACTTGCATACATCTAGATCTTCCACCCATCTTATCTATAGAAGTTTTTGGCCAGATGGAGAGCCGATATGTCACTACTGCTGCTAAACCAACCGTCCTTTCCACACTGACTTGAAATCTGTCTTCTGTCATGTGTGTATATATATATATATACACACACACACACACACACACACAGTTAGATCTATTTCTAGGCCATCTATTCTGTGCCAGAGATGCCTGTGTCTTCCTGTGTCAGGACACGCGCATTACTTTTAGAATCAGAAGAAAGCGTTTTGTTTTTTGATTTTTTTTTTTTTTTTTTTAAAGAACAATGTCTTTGGACCCCTTGCTGAGCCTGGACAGGCGCAGAAATTCCTGGCAGCTGGGAGGCCGGGGGAGAGAGGACAGCAGGGAGGATGTCCCAGCCCTGGCCAGGAGGCCGAATCAAGGGAGAGGAGAAATAAGGAGGACCCAGCTGCTTGTAAAATAGTCTTCCCTTTTATTTTAAATCAACCCTTTTCCAAGTTAGTGCCACGAGTTGAGATCAGGGGGTCAGAGCCCACTGGGATGTGGCAGGGGCAGCAGGGGGACTCATGTCCCCCACCCCCAGCTTAGTCCCTCCAAGGATGGGACCGGCAGCCAGGGATGAAGGGTGCGAGGCGAGGCTGTCTGCCCCCTCCCCTGCCAGCCCTACTCCCTAGTCTGCCCCCTCAGCTACTCCCAAGGCCAAGGACAGAAATGGGAGCACAGTGGCCAAGAGCAGGGAGGCGGTCCTGTGCAGGCTGTCCATGGCCAAGAGTGTTAGTGGTCAGAGCCCAGGCAGGCTGGGTTAGTGGGGTCTCCTCCGGCAGCCAGGGAAGGAACTGCGGAGAGAGGGAGAGACAGGGCAGTGATGCAGGCTGGAGGGCCTGCCCGGTGCGATCCACCCAGCAGGAGGCACGCAGCCCATGCCTGGAGCAGCTCGGAGGGCGGGAGGGGGGCAGAGGCCCGGCTGCAGGAGCTGGGGTGGCCCTTGGAAGCTCACCGAAGAGGGGAGCCAGGCTCCAGTCCAGCCGGGAGGAGGGGCTCAGATAGACGACTGCCACTGCACAAAGCGCTTGGATTCCTGCTAGGAGATTCGGGGTAGCGGGGGAGAGGAGGGAATGGAGTGGGAATTGGCTTTGTACTGTGGGACCCCAGCCCCTCCTCCCTCAGACCCAGGAGTCCGGGCCCCAGCCCCTCCTCCCTCAGACCCAGGCGGCCAGGCCCTCAGCTCCTCCTCCCTCAGACCCAGGAGTTCAGGACCCCCCGCCCCTCCTCCCTCAGACCCAGGCATCCAGTACCTGAGGGTTGAAAGGGTCGTCATCGTCTGTGTCATCGTAGTCGTCACTGGGGTTTGATGCGGGGCATGGCAGAGAGGCGGGATGGGGACCCATCAGGAGGCTGCACCCCCCACCCCCACTGCCACCGTGGTCCCCAGGTGCTGCCCCTCCTCTTCCCTCCCCAGGACCCTACCCTCCCCCGCTCCTGACCTGGGTGGGAAGAGGGCCCAGGCTCGGGGCAGGCTGCAGAGGGCAGTGGCCAGCGCTCCTGCAGACAGCAGGGAGAAGAGTAGCAGGAAGAGCAGGCCTTCCAGGGCGTCTTCGCACAGGCCCCGCAGGGCTGCACCATAGTCCTGAGGGGAGGGCGTCATCAGGCCATGCGTCCCCACCCCCTCCCCCATCGGCACACACTGTGCACATCAGTCTGACCGTCCTCCCGGCTGTGGTACTGCACACGTCAACTGACCACTCTGTGCCTCAGTTTCCCCTGTCAAAGGGCAGTTCTGAGAATACAGTGGGTACAGTGGGGTCTTTGGTGTGATAGGCCTGGCACTCAGGAATTAATTGCCCAGCCTCCAGACTTGGCTTCTCCTGAGCTGCACCCGCCCTTGTCATTGCAGGCCCCTATCTCCCTTTCACATGGGTCCTCCCCAGTCAGCACCCCACATCTAGAACCAGTCCAGCATCTCCCACCAGCCCTGGGCCCTCTCCTCCATCTTCATCTACCCAGGAACGTGAGAACTGCTACTTCCGTTTCCCTTCTCCCTCCCGGCAGCGGCACCTCCTGCAAGAGCATCCTCCCCTGCACCAAGCGCCCACAGGCCAGCCACCGCCAGCTCCGCCTTGGTCCAGGGGCGAGGGCTTCATAACCTGGGCCCTGCTGACATTTTGAGCCAGATCATTCTCTGTGGTGACGGCGCTGCCCTGTGTGTTGTGGGGTGCTGAGCAGCCCCACTCAGCTCCACCCACCAGATGCCAGGAGCACCCCCTCCTGCAGTGTGACAACCAACAGCAACTCGGCACCCGGCCAGGTGTCCCTGGGGGCAGAACTCCTCACCCAGCCAGGTGTCCCTGGGGGCAGAATCACTGGCCTAGAGCACGTGGAACAGCACGTCGAAAAACCAACCAGTGGCTCAAGATGACACCGCGCACACAATACACACTCAACATGCCAACAAATGCTGGCTCTGATGACTGTCGTCCCAAGAAATCAGCAGAAACGGCCTTCACCGAGTGCTAAGCACCTGCACAGCGTATGTATTCAGTGGGGGTTGACAGAGCCTGCTCTGCCCCAGGCGCTGCCCCCAGTACCAGGAAACTTCGGTAAACAGGACCGAGAAGGTCATCTCAGAGGCTGGTGTGCAACGAGGTAGGAGGGCGGGGGTCAGTGCAGGGCAGGGGTAGGTCGGGTAACCCCACTAGCAGGGATGGGTCCTCCAGGAAGGAGCCAGGCAGAGGGCTGTGCAGAGGAAGCTGGGAGGGGCTGAGGCCAGAGGCAGACAGATCCAGGACTGACCACCCAGGCCCTTGTAGGTCAGGGCGAGGAACAGGGATTTTAATCCATGTCTGAGGGGAATCACTGAGCGTTTTAAGCAGAGGAAGAACTTGATCGGATTGTGTTTTAAAAGGATCACCTGGCTGGCTGGCTGCTGCATGGAGGACAGACGGGGGTAGGCGAGGGGGGACAGGGAAGAGGCCCCTGTGGTCATGGTGGCTAGGATGCGGGGACCAGGGCACAGCAATGGTGGTAGGAACAGCGGTGGGAGTCCATATAGGTTTCAGAGGAAGGGCCAACAGAACTTGTTCTGAGAATGGTTGTGGGAGCTAAGAGCCTGAGTTTCTGGCAGGAGCACCTGGTTGAGGTGGGGTGTCTGTTACTAAGCCAGTGAGGGTTGGGGTACGGACCTGTCGGGGCAATGGAGGCTCTGTTTTGAGAGTATTGGTACATGCACACTGTCCTTCATCCTCACAACAGCCCTGCCAGGCAGACACTGACCCTCTCACGCTGCCGCCTCTTGCAATGGTGGAAAGAAGTTGCAGCCCAGAGAAGGCAAGCTACTTGCCCAGAGTCACACTGTCTGGAAGGGGCAGAAGCGATATTGGAGCTGATTCTCTTAGGCTCCAGTGCCCTCCCTCCTTCATCCTCATCCCTGATGTCCCTTATTGTTGATTTTTTTTTTTTTTAATAGAGATGGGGTTTCACCATGTTGGCCAGGCTGGTCTTGAACTCCTGAGCTCAAGGAGTTCTGATCTGCCCCACTGGGCCTCCCAAAGTGCTGGGTTTATAGGCACGAGGCACCCATCCCTAGCCCCCTCCTATTTTTTTTTTTTTTTTTTGAGACGGATTCTCGCTCTGTCACCCCGGCTGGAGTGCAGTGGCTCGATCTCAGCTCACTGCAACCTCCACTGCCCAGGTTCAAGCAATTCTCGTGCCTCAGCCTCCTGAGTAGCTAGGAATACAGGGGTGTGCCACCACGCCCGGCTAGTTTTTTTGTATTTTTAGTAGAGATGGGATTTCGCCATGCTGGCCAGGCTGGTCTCAAACTCCTGACCTCTGGTGATCCGCCCACCTTGGTTTCCCAAAGTGCTGGGATTACAGGCGTGAGCCACAGTGCCCGGCCCCGCCGCTTATTCTTGATTTTAATCTGTGAGGACCCTGGCACACTGACAGGGGAGATGGAGACCCAGGGTCTCATGGTGCAGTGGTAGGGAAGGGTAGAGTGATCTGTCCTCTTCCTTCCCTTCCCTCCCTCCACAAAGGAGTCTGGGGGCCTGTATTCCAGCCCAGTTTCTGCCTAGGCCACAGAAAAGCGCCTGAACCCCAGTTTATCCTTATGCAAAAGATCAGGGCAGCCCTGGGCTGGGTGGGGGCCCAGCCTTTCTCAGCTCAATAGTCAGCAATTCTGAGCATGGCTTCAGTGCTTACTCCCCACTCCCTTTTTGGAATGCCAGTTCCAGAAGGGTGGGAGGCAGTGGGAGCCACAGAAGGGGTCTGTCTGAGCCAGACCAGGGAAAGCTCAGATCCATGCGATGGCGTAGACAAATCCCTCTTGGGTAGGGTTGCCAGATCAAATTCAGGACTTCCAGTTACATTTGAGTATCGGATGCCCAATACATAATTTTCTAGTATAAGTATCTCCCCAGCATTGCACCGGGCGTACTTATAGCAGAGTGGTTTGCTGTTTGCTGAATCTGGCAGCCCTATTCTAGGGTCCATGGGGGGATGGATGGGGAGGGGGCCATGCTTCCTTCTGCAGGGGAGAGAACGAGGCCTCAGCTGCGGCAGGGGCATTGGGCATTGAGAGTAGATGGATGAAGACATTCCAGAAGCAGAAAGGACAAAACTGGGCAACTGCCTGGCTGTGGGGGGCAGAGGGCGGGGCCCTCCGGAAGGTCCCTCTCTCCTCAGTGTGCACGGGCTGGCTGGCCGTGTGACCTTGGGAAGGTCCCTCAACTCTGCTCCTCATCTTCTAACCTGTTAGGTGGGATAATCATAGTTCCTTCTTCATAGCATTGTTATGAGGCATCGATGAGTTACCACCTGTGAAATGCAACAGGGTCAGGTACTTGGTGAAGCTATGCACATGTGAGGTCTTTGATGGGAAGACTGGCCGGGGAAAGGCATCCTCGGGTGTGTGTTTTAGAACAGCTCTTACTGGTTTTGTTTGTTTGTTTGTGACAGAGTTTCGCTCTTGTTGCCCAGGCTGGAGTGCAGTGGCACAATCTTGGCTCACTGCAACCTCTGCCTCGTGGATTCAAGCGATTCTCCTGCCTCAGCCTCCCGAGTAGTTGGGATTATAGGCGCCCACCACCATGCCCGGCTAACTTTTTCTATTTTTAGTAGAGACGGGGTATCACCATGTTGGCCAGACTGGTCTTGAACTCCTGACCTCAGGTGATCCACCCGCCTGGGCCTCCCAAAGTGCTGGGATTACAGGTGTGAGCCTCCGCGCCCGGCCAGCTCCTACTGTTTTATAAGGGGATTTTTTTTTTCAATCCTCACAGCCATCCAGTGAAAAAAAAACAAACAAAAAAAACTCGTCCTTCCTCACGGTACGGGTGGGAAGCAGAGTCAGCCACGCTCACCTGCCTATGGCCGTGCAGCCTGCGGCAGAGCCCAAACTGGAGCCTGCAGGACACCAGATATCTTTCCTCCTGGGCACCCTGCCCACCCCTGCCTGTCCAGTGTATGAACAGCACAAGCCGCAGGGGAGCTGGACAGGTGCCCACTCTTGCAATCCCAGGTTTATAAGTGAGGGAACTAACTGAGGTACAGAGAAGTTAGGTGACTTGCCCTTGGTCAGGAGGTAGGACTGGAACCCAGGCAGTCTTGCTCCAGAACTCACTAAGCGGCAGCCTCTAGGAGGGAGGGAGAGGCAGGAGGACGGAGAGAGGAGAGAAGACAAGGAAGGAAAAGGTGGCAGGAAGGGACGGGGAGGGTGGGATGGGGACCCAGCGGGGAGTGCGGGAGTTGGGGGGAAAGGGAGGGAGGAGGGAAGGAATATGGATAATGCTTGATAGGTAGGTAGACGACAGGTTATAAATAGGTAGAGAATAGATATAGGACAGATAAATCATATAAACAGAGGATACAGAGATATCCTCAGGCGCAATGGCAGGGGTCCAAGGAGAAGGAGGAGGTAGTTCTGTGGGTCGAGACAGAGGCCCCCCGTGGGAGAAGAAATTGGGAGGGGAGGGGCTTCACCTTGTGCAGGCTGCGGCAGTGTAGCAGTGCCACCAACTGGTGGAAATTTCCTTCTGTCACATTCAGAGTCTCCTCCAAGGACAGCAGAGGCTTCTGCGGGGCGAGGAGGGGTCGTTTTCCCACGAACTCTTCAGGCCCGCCCATCGCCCTGGCCCCGCCCTGCGTCCCCGCCCACAACCCAAGGCCCCGCCTAGCTCTGCAGCCCCGCCTACGCCCCACAGCTCCATCCCGCCCCGTCCGCCTTCCCCGTGGGGTCCGCGTGTCTGGGGAGCGCCCACCCACCGACCTGCGCTGAAGGGAACTGAGGCACAGCTTCTCGCTCCAGGCCCAGCAGCTGGGAGTGGATGTTGGCCAGAGCTCGCTGGGACAGAGTCAGCCTCTGCAGAAAGAGAAAGGGAGGGAGGAGGACCCAGGAGTATACGCCCCCGGCCCTCTCTCCTCTCCTCCGGACACAGCACTCGGGCCCCTGGCCTGCATCCTCCCCGGAACCCAGGAGTCCAGGCCCCAGCCCCAGCCCCGCCCCCTCCCTTCAGAGTCCAGATTTCTGGCTCCCTCAACACCCGTTTCCCCTGCCCGCAGCCCTAACCTGTTGGAAGGGGTTGGAGACGGCCCGGTTGCAGAGGAGATAATAGCTCAGGATGTCTGAAGTGGGAGGAGGAGAGGGGAGGAGGCCATGAGCCTGGGCCCCCAGGGATCTCCCGGGGGAAGGCCGGGCACTGGGGGGTTAGCAGGGTTAGGGGCCTCAGCCCAGCCCTGGAGCCCGATGGCCTTACCTTCAGAGACCCGCCAGCCCCGCGTCCCTTCTGCTCCTGCCACAGCCAGAGCAGGCGCTGGTGGGCAACCCTATACTCCCTGGGAACCCCTGACTAAATGGTGCTCCCCAGTTTTCTCCAGGGGGCCAAACTCCCCATTCCTGACGCCCAGGAGCACCCTCTCCTGACCCTCCTCTCTCTTCCTGGCACCATTATCTTTATCCTGCCCTCTTTTCCAGCCCACCAGGAGAGGCGCTGCCAGCTGGAGCAGAAGGGATGAGGGTCTGGCGGGTGGCGGGGCTCCAGGAGGGCTCCGAGCTGGGGAGTGGCCAGGAGCCCTGCTTCCCTTCCAGAGGGCTGGGTCTCGCCTGGCAGGCTGCACCCCCACCCCACCCTGGGCAGGACCGGGCACAGAGGAGGCCTGAGGAAGCCAGGGCCTGCACTGCCCAACCCGGCGGACCCACCGGGCCCTTGGAAATCACCTGAGCTGAGCCCTGTCTCCTCCTGGGTCAGGTTCAGAACATAAGGGTCTGGATTGGAGCAGAAGTCACTGAGGCCCTGCGTGAGGCAGCAGAAAAGGGGCTCAAACCCAAAACTGCCCCGATTCCACACTCCCACAGCACCCAGTGCCTGGCTCCCCAGCTCCCCTCCCCACCCAGGGGTCCAGGTCCCAGCCCCTCTTCCCTCAGACTCAGGAGTCCAGGCCCCAGGCCCCTCGTCCCTCAGACTCAGGGGTTCAGACTCTCCAGCCCTTTCTCCCTCAGACTCAGGAGTCCAGGCCCCCAGCTTCTCCTCCCTCACACCCAGGAGTCCAGACCCCCAGCCCCTCCTCCCTCAGACCTAGGAATCCAGGTTTCCAGCCCCTCCTCCATTACAGCTCAAACGTCCAGGACACCAATCTGTACCCACTCAGGCCCCAGGAAACAAGCCCTAAACCTCAGAGCTGTGATCGTGCCCCCCAATTCCTTTCTCTACTAAGCCATGCCATCCCGAGATCCAGAAGTTGAAGTCTCCAGGCCCCCTGAGTCCCAGAGCCCAATGGCCCGGCCCTGGCACTCACCACGGCCGTGGCTGCCTCCAGGCCCATGGAGCCCCAGCTCAGGACGAGAACCAGGAGACTCATGACTGTCATCCTAGAGTGGGGGAGGGAGGATCAGCCCGGGGTTCTTAATCTCCTAGCCTAGCCTCTTTCCACACCCCAAATCCCATCACAGCCGCCCCCCACCTCCACCCACCTCTGGAGCCTGGAGGATCAGAATTAGGGAAACACAAGTTCAGTGGTTGGGGGTAGGCCAGTGGCTGCTGATGTCCAGCAGGACATCTGGCTCCTGCCCAGATGAGCAGGGTGTGGGGTATGAGCAGGGCCCTGGGCTGGGTGGTCGCAGCTTGGATCCCAGCTCCAGGACCCTGGGACGGTGACTGCTCACCTCTGGGCTCACTTCCCCCGAAGGCTCCCCCAAGTCCACCCACAGCCTGATCAGCCTCTGGCTCTGCCCTGTCTCCTCTGAGAATGGGAGACAGTGCCAGGGCTGAAATCTGAAAGTCTCTGGACTTTCCGGGTGGGGAGGGGTGCAGGGGGCGTGTCAGCATTGGTAGGGTGACCAGTAAGCAAGAAGGGCACCCAGGGGTCCCCAAACTGAAGGCCTGGCTTCCAGTCCCAGACCTGCCCTGTGTTGGCTAGGTTTATGGGTCTGCAAGCCTTACGCGGGGTCTCTCCCACTCTCTCAGGGGCAATGGAGGTACAGGTTCAACTCCGCCTCACCCCACTAGGGCCAGAGAGAATGCAGGGACTCCTCCAATGAGAATGGCCTGTCTGGTTCAAATCCCAGCTCTAGCACTTCTAGCTGTGTGGCCCTGAGCAAGTGGTCCAACCTCTCTGATCTTCAGTCTCTCCCTCTGTTAAACAGGGAGAAGGGCCAGGCATGGTAGCTCATGCCTGTAAACCCAGTACTTTGGAAGGCTGAGGCAGGCTGATCACTTGAGGCCAGGAGTTCGAGACCAGCCTGGGCAACATAGCAAGACTCCATCTCTACAAAAATATACAAAACTTAGGCCAGGCACGGTGGCTCATGCCTGTAATCCAGGCACTTTGGGAGGCTGAGGCGGGCGGATCACCTTAGGTCAGGAGTTTGAGACCATCCTGACCAACATGGAGAAACCCCATCTCTACTAAAAATACAAAATTAGACAGGTTTGGTGGCATACGCCTGTAATCCCAGCTACTTGGGAGGCTGAAGCAGGAGAATTGCCTGAACCCAGGAGGCAGAGGTTGCAGTGAGCCAAGATCGTGCCGCTGAACTCCAGCCTGGACAACAAGAGCCAAATTGCAGCTCAAAAAAAAAAAAAAAAAAAAAAAAAAAACTTAGCCGGGAGTGGTGGCATAAGCCCATGGTCCCAGCTACTCTGGAGGCTGAGGTGGGGGGATCACTTGAGCCTCAGGGGACAGAGGCTGTAGTGAGCCGTGATCATGCCACTGCACTCCAGTCTGGGCAACAAAGCAAGACCTTCTCAAAATAAAAAACAGAAATAAAAAACAGGCAGAAGGAAGCACCTTCCTCACAGGGGGCATGAGGTGCTCCAGGGAGTGCAGAGAAGAGTGTCGGGCGCGTAGAGCGAGCTGTGAAATCAGTGTGGTCCTGCGGCTTTGCCACGACACTTAAGGACGGCTCAGTCTCGGACTTGGCCACCCTCTGCGCTCTTAGTCAGGTCCCTGACCGGCCACATGGAGCCTTATGGTAGCTCCTTCATGGGGTGGAGGCAACTGAAGGACTCAGCGTGCATGACCCTCAATAGATCATCATCCTCATCTGTTTTTTTTTGTTGTTGTTGTTGTTGTTTTTGAAATGGAGTCTCACTGTGTCGCCCAGGCTGGAGTGCAGTGGTGCAATCTCAGCTCACTGCAACCTCCGCCTCCCGGGTTCAAGCGATTCTCCTGCCTCAGCCTCCCGAGTAGCTGGGACTATAGGCGCCCGCCACCACGCCCGGCTAATTTTTGTATTTTTAGTAGAGATGGGGTTTCACCGTGTTAGCCAGGATGGTCTCGATCTCCTGACCTCGTGATCCGCCCTCCTCGGCCTCCCAAAGTGCTGGGATTACAGGCGTGAGCCACCACGCCCAGCCTTTTTTTTTTTTTTTTTTTTTTTTGAGATGGAGTGTCACTCTGTCGCCCAGGCTGGAGTGCAATGGTGTGATCTTGGCTCACCACAACCTCCACCTCCTGAGTTCAAGCGATTCTCCTGCCTCAGCCTCCTGAGTAGCTGGGACTACAGGCGCATGCCACCACACCCAGCTAATTTTTGTATTTTTAATAGAGACAGGGTTTCTCCATGTTGGTCAGGCTGGTCTCAAACTCCTGACCTCATGATCCACCCACCTCGGCCTCCTAAAGTGCTGGGATTACAGGCGTGAGCCACCGCGCCTGGCCTCATCCTCATCTTTATTGCCAACACAATGATTATTTCTGCCATGATTCCAGCATACTTCATACTGTTAGGGCTGCCTGTTTTCAGGTCTGTCCCCGCCTCCCTCCTGGGCTGCTCTGACTCTCTTTTCTTCGTGTGTACCCGGCCGTGAAGGACCACGGTCCTCCGTGTAGGAGAGTTGTAAGACTGAGGTCCTGCCTGCCAGGAGAGTGCCAGGCAAGCACTGGGTCCCCCTACTGCCTGCACTTACACGATCACCAGCCACTTGCTCTGCTTCGCCAGGCCCAGGAGGGTGAAGAGGCAGACCAGCAGCTCCAGGAGCAGCAGGAGGACGTAGGCCAGCCACCTGGGAGGGGAGAGGGTAGGGCTGAAACCACAAACCTGCCTCCAGGCACCCCGGCGGAACAGCAACCCTCCACCAGCATTCACCCTGCCCCCCAGCTCAGCCTCACATTCACCACCCTCCAAGCTCAGCCTCCTGCTGTTTACTGTGTCTGGGCCACAGCCCAGGTCCTCTGTGAAATAGTGTTATCATGAGACAGGACACTGGAGCGGTTTAGAATACAGGTCCTGAGCACCTGGGACTATCCCCTGGCCGGGCCACACACATGTGCCCTGTGACCAGGGACACGTGATGTGTTCTCTCCGAGCTCCCCATCCCCAACCCCACCCTGCAGAGTGGAGATACTCGTTCTCAAGACTGCACCAAAGATCCCATCGCATCCCTGGAGGGCATGACGTCTGGAGGCAGAGGCTGCCTGGTCTCAACCCCAGCCCCTCCGCTTAACTGGCCGGGTAACTCTTGTCTCGGTAACCTTAGCCTCTCGTTCCTCAGTTTCCCTACATGTAACGTGGGGAGCACAACAACACTGGCTTGAGAATATTGCCTCGAGTGGGCTGCATGACTAGAAGTGCTTAGGAGAGTGCCAAGCACGTGGACACACTTAGAGGTTAGCCTGAGCGTGAACGAGGGAACTGAGATGTTAGTTAATAGTTAATACTTGGCCGGGCGAGGTGGCTCACGCCTGTAATCCGCGCATTTTGGGAGGCTGAGGCAGGCGGATCACTTGAGGTCAGGAGTTTGAGACCAGCCTGGCCAACATGGTGAAACCCCGTCTTTACTAAAAATACAACAATTAGCCGGGCGTGGTGGTGCACGCCTGTAATCCCAGCTACTTGGGAGGCTGAGGCAGGAGAATCATTTGAACCCATGAGGTGGAGGTTGCAGTGAGCCAAGATTGCACCACTGCACTCCAGCCTGGGCGACAAGAGTGAGACTTAGTCTCAAAAATGAAAAAAAAAAAAGTTAATCCTTAAATATCAGTGAAGGGCCCACCACCATGATTCAGGAGGTGCAAGCATGCAAGCCACAGTGAGAGACAGGACTAGCTGGATGTCCGAGGCCGACTAATAATCCCTAAGCCTAGCTGGGAAGGTGACCGCATCCACCTTTAAACACGGGGCATGCAATTTAGCTCACACCCAACCAATCAGGTAGTAAAGAGAGCTCACTAAAGTGCTAGTTAGGCAAAAATAGGAAGTAAAGAAATAGCCAATCATCTATCACCTGAGAGCACAGGGGAAGGGACAATGATCTGGATAGAAACCCAGGCATTCCAGCCAGCAACGGCTACCCACTTTGGGTCCCCTCCCGTTGTATGGGAACTCTGTTTTCACTCTATTAAAACTTGAAACTGCACACTCTTCTGGTCCGTGTCTGTTACGGCTTGAGCTGAGCTTTCGCTCGCCGTCCACCACTGCTGTTTGCCGCCGTCGCAGACCCGCCGCTGACTTCCACCCTCCGGATCCGGCAGGGTGTCCACTGTGCTCGTGATCCAGGGAGACACCCATTGCCGCTCCCAATCGGGCTAGAGGCTCGCCATTGTTCCTGCACAGCTAACTGCCTGGGTTCATCCTGATCGAGCTGAACACTGGTCGCTGGGTTCCACGGTTCTCTTCCGTGACCCACGGCTTCTAATAGAGCTAAAACACTCACCGCAGGGCCCAGGATTCCATTCCTTGGAATCCGTGAGGCCAAGAACCCCAGGTCAGAGAACACGAGGCTTGCTGCCCTCTTGGAAGTGGCCACCACGATCTTGGGAGCTCCGGGAGCAAGGACCCGCCGTAACAACAGCACAGTGCCCGGCACGTAGTAAGTGCTCATGTAATCCTCCTGCCATTCTCTGCAGGCCCCACAAGCTTGGGCTTCACTCCTTACCCTGGTCTCTGGCTGCTTCCGCCCAGCCTCGCAAGTGCTCCCCTCCAGCAAGACTCCCTTGGAGGCCCCTGATTTGTCTGTCGAGGGACTCCCAAGTGTGGGGTGCTTTCGCAGTGGTGCACCCGGAAGATATTTTCTAGCGATGGTGGGTCTGCCTCACCCTGGCATCACCCTTATGGCTCCCACCACTTCCCTGCCCTCGCCCAGGAGAAGGAGCTGAGGCCCGGCTTGTGCAGCCCCTGGGCCTGACCACAATGCAGAACCTGGACTTCTTCAAACCCAGGCTTGTCTGTCTCTTGCACCTGCTGCCCTGCGGGTGTGTCCTGACCTCCAGCTTTTTCAGCCCCAGTCGGCCTTCCCCGCTGGAGCGCAGCATCCCGGAAGGCCTCCCAAATCTCAGCGCATGCCCCGCGGGCAGGGCCTCCAGCTGACGTCGGATAAATGAATGAATGAATGAATGATTACTAATGGTCAAAGCAATGAGGACACCGTCATGGTGGCCGCTGGGAAGGGTGGCTGCCTGGACACTGCACAGCTCACTGCCTCCTCTCCTCCAAATGCCACCTTCTCAGTCCCCCTGATGAACTGCCAGACTCTGTCCCACCTCATCTCCCTCTATAATTTTCTTTTTTTTTTTTTAAGACGGATTCTCGCTCCGTCACCCAGGCTGGAGTGCAGTGGCACGATCTCTGCTCACTGCAAGCTCCACTTCCCGGGTTCAAGCGATTCTCCTGTCTCAGCCTCCCAAGTAGCTGGGACTACAGGCGCCCACCACCACGCCCGGCTAATTTTTGTATTTTTAGTAGCGACGGGATTTCACCGTGTTAGCCAGGATGGTCTCGATCTCTTGACCTCGTGATCCGCCTGCCTCGGCTTCCCAAAGTGCTGGGATTACAGGCGTGAACCACCGTGCCTGGTCCCCTCTGTAATTTTCTCCAAAGTTCTCATGGCCCAACACCTTACAATGTTTTTCTCTGCGTTTGTCCCTTGCTGGTTCCCCCCGGAGGACGCAGCCACGTGGCAGGGATTTCTGCCACTTGCTCACTGCCCGGCCCGCCACCGGGGTGACTACACTTCATATCTCTGCGGTGCTCTCCCTGTGCTAATCGTCCTTCTCAGCACTCAGATGCCAACTCAACAACTCGAACCAATTCAACAAGGGGGACGCTGCCCCGATTCCCATTTCACAGATGGGGAAACCAAGGCAGAGGTCTGCAAAGTAACTTGATTGCAGCCGCGTGGTTAGGGTGGGGCTGGCTGGCTTTCGAGCTCAGGTTCCTGATCTGTAGGTACGCTGCCTCTTTCACCAGAGGGTGCTAAATAAATAGTGCTGAACAACACTTTGAGAGGCCAAGGCGGGCAGATCACAAGGTCAGGAGTTTGAGACCAGCCTGGCTAACATGGTGAAACCCCGTTTCTACTAAAAATACAAAAATTAGCCGGGCGTGGTGGCGCCTGCCTGTAATGCCAGCTACTTGGGAGGCTGCGGCAGGAGAATCGCTTGAATCCAGGAGGCGGAGGTTGCAGTGAGTCGAGATCGCACCGCTGCACTCTAGCCTGGGCGACAGAGTGAGACTCCATCTCAAAAAAAAAAAAAAAAATAGTGCTGAACAAATACACATGTCACACGGATGAACGAACTGAGTGAGTGGCCTGCTGGGTTAGTCCAGGAGTAACTGAGTCCAAGAGTGACTTGCTGAATGAGTGAGTCAAGGAATGAACGCATGTGTGAATAAGTGAGTGGAGTGACGTGGAGGGGGTGAGTGAGTGAATGGGTGAGGACATGGGTGTCAGGATGGCCATGGGGTCTGGTGATCTGTCCCTCCACAGTAGGTTTCTCAACCTCATCTTTTTTTTTTTTTTTTTTTTTTTTTTGAGATGGAGTCTCACTCTATCGCCCAGGCTGGAGTGCAATGGTGAAATCTCGGCTCACTGCAACCTCCATTTCCCGGGTTCAAGGGATTCTCCTGCCTCAGCCTCCTGAGTAGCTGGCATTACAGACATCTGCCGCCACGCCCAGCTAATTTTTGTATTTTTGGTAGAGACGGGGTTTCTCCACGTTGGCCAGGCTGGTCTCAAACTCCTGACCTCAGGTGATCCACCCACCTTGGCCTCCTAAAAGTGCTGGGATTACAGGCCTGAGCCACCGCGCCTGGCCAGCCTCGTCATAATTGTCATGGTGGCTGGATCATTCCCTGCCAATGGGTGGGGAGGGGGTTCTTGTGCATTGCAGGGTGTTGAACAGTTCCTGGGCTCTACCCATTGGATGCCAGCAGTGCGCACACACTCCCCAGCTGTCACAACCAAAACTGCCTCCAGGCATTGCCAACTGTCCCCCCGGGGACTCCGCCTGAGAGCTGCCGGCACAGAGAGCAAGAAGAGCAGCGTCTCACCTGTACTCCTCCACAAAGGACACATTTTCAGCCACCTGCAGGGGGCTCAGGGGCACTCCCTGCCAGAAGGCCAGCCCCTGCAGCTGCTGGGCCGCAGCCTCCGCCTGCCGTCGAGCCCCTCGGGCGGCAGCCACCAGCTCCGTGCGCGGCTCGAGCACCTCCTCCAGGGTGGTCAGCTCTGTCCTCACCGCCTCGCCCAGCCTCTCCACCGTCTCCAACACCTGGGGATAGGACAGGGGCTGAGGTCTGGAAGGACATCCTGGGGGGAGCCCGCGGTCGAGGCATGGGGTTTTAGAAGTGAAGGAGGGGTGCATAGTAGCGGGTGTCTGAGATCTGGAGTCTGGGACATCTGAGGATTGAGTAAGGGAAGGGATTGGGGAGGGGCTTCAAGATCAAGTTCATGGAGTTCTGTGGCCTCTATCCAGAGCTCTGGATGGTTGGTAGCTTGAGCCCAGGGTAGTAAGTCCAGCCCCAGGACTGAGATTAAGTGTGGAGCTTTAGGTCTGAAGTTTTCATCTGCCTTCCAGAATCTGGGGTCTCAAGTCTGGGTCCCATGGTCTAGAGTCTGCAGCTGGACATGGAATCTAAGGCATGAAGTGGGGCCAGGCCTCAGCCCCAGGGCCCAGAATCCTGGAGCTGATGTCGGAGCTGAAGCCTCAAGTCGGGGACCTGGGCCTCAGGGCGGGGGTCCCTGAGCTTGCTTACGGGCCAAGAATCAGGTCTGGGGCCCTGGATCTGGCCCGTGGACAGGGGCTGGTGTCGCTGGTGCTTGGTTTCTGTGTGGCTTGGGGGTTCCAGGTAAGGTCCAGGGCTGGGCCTGTGTGTGAGGTCCTCAATTTGCAGCCAGGGTCGGGGGTTGGGTGGATAGTCTGAGGTCTGTGGGTCTCAGGATGAAGTTCTGAATCTGGGTTCCTAAGCTTCAAGCCTGGGGTCTTAGCTCTGAGTTTGGATCCCTTTGTCCTTGGGTGTGGGGAGCCCGTCCAGGTGTGGGTCTGGGGTCCCACTGGTTGCTGGCCCCTCACCAGGTGGTCAATGGTGCTGAGTGTGTGGTTGGCGTGCAGCAGCGCAGAGCTGAGCTGGGACACCCCATCACTGGTCTCACTGTTGCCATAGAAACCGATGCCAATGCCAGTGCTGAGCGGAGGAGGAGGGAGAGGAATCTCAGCGGGTCCCAGGACCCCGGGGGCCACCGTCCCCTCCCACCCCATCCCCTCCACCTCGCCTTCTTATCCACCCCTCCCATCTCAGCCCCACCTCATTGGGCCAGCCCGTGGGAAAAGGGCGACTTCAGCCTGGCCCCCGTCGGTTGCCAAGGGAACGGGAAGGCCTCACTCCCCCAGCGGAGGGACGTCATTGTGATGTTAATGGTGGGTGGAGTGGTGGGGGGGAGGGAGCCCCCGATTTAACTCGCACCTCCCTGGAGCAGAACCCCAGTCACACCCAGCTCCGGGATGGGCCGTCTTCCCCTCCCTAGGACTGCCTGCCCCACACCCTTCCCCCGCATCCTTTGCCAGGCAGGCAGCCCTCCTGGCACCTGTCCTAGGGTGCCCTAGGGTCCTTGGGGCCTGCAGTGCCAACCCTTCAGTGCTGAGACGTTCTCCGCCCCCACCTCCTGGGGGTTCCTAAGGGTACAAGGGGGGCAGCTGCCACCATCTCCTGGGGGGACGCTGAGCCTGGAGCTCTCGGCCTTCCCCCACCCGGGACCCAAGCGTCGGGCCAGCTGGGAGGGAAGTAAGGGAATGTGGGAGGGAGGCTGGAGGATGGGCGAGAAGCCGTGCCCCCGCCCCCACCCTACCGACACACAGAGCTCCATTGTGGGACCTGAATGTGGGGCCCCAGACCCCTCCCGTCCCCGCCCCCGGCCGGTGTCCCGCAGTGGAGGGGGCGGGAGCCTGACACCCTCCCGGTTCCCAGCCCCGGCTGGGCCTCCACCCCCATCCCTCGGGTCGGACGCCCAGTGTCCCCGCCCCATTGTTCAGAGTCCTACAAAGCTCCTCTTGTTCCCAGGCTGCGGGGGCTGGGGCCGTGTCTCTCCCCCACTGGGCCTTTGTCCACCTCCCCTGTCTCCCCCCACGCCAGAGAGCCGGAGGAGGAAGCGTCCTGAATACAGGCCACCCCTACAGGTCCCTCCCCTTGCCCGCTGTGGGTCCGGGGCAGGCGTCTGGCCCTCTGGGACCCCCCGTCTGTGGAAGAGGATTGCTGTCTGTAACCTGTGGGTGCTGCCCTGCCGGGGAGGGGGCTGTGCTCAGAGCTCGTTCTTGGTAGCTGGTGTGTTCACATTGGAAGCCCCCTAAGCTCGCTTTGAGGGGTGTGAGGGGGTCCTACTAACCTGGGTCTGAATCTCTGTGCTGCCTCTTAAGCCACGTGGCCTTGAAAGGTGACCTCCCCTCTGTCCCTGAGCCTTCCTCTTTGGAAACTGGGCCTGACACCCCTGAATCCAGCAGCATTATTGTGAGAAGGAATTAGACCAGCTCAGGTCTGGGCACAGATGAGGTGCTCTTGGAGGGTGATTATATCTATTTATCGTCCGTCTCCCTGATTAGAACATAAGCTGCACGAGGGGCTCCTTGCCTGGCTTGGTCAGTATCTGGCACATAGTAAATACTCAATAAACAGTTGTCGAATGAATGAGCTGGTGAATGACGGAATGACAGACATCACCAGTTAATGTTGGCTGAGAGTAGCTGCAAGTCAGACACTGTGCTTTCTCTCCATCTTACCCCCGCAGGAGGTGGGCGAGATGATAATGCCCAGTTTACAGATGTGGAAATTGAGGCCCAGGGAGACTATCACTCCCTTAGGTCACACAGCTATTCAATGGGAGAGCCACCAAAACCAGGCCATCTGACTGCCCCTGCGCCTTCTCACCAGATGGCTGCCCTTGATTCACTTCCTCTCCAGAGCCTCACTTTCTCCATCCATCAAATGGGACAGTCCTTCCTGCTGTGCGCTGAAGTGGGCTTGCAAATGGCAGGGACAGGGACGAGGGAGTTTCCTCCTTCCTGTCTGCTTCCTCCATGTCCCCGGAGGACACCCCCAGGAAGGCCAGCAAAGAGCTTGGGGAGCCCTGTCCCCACCGCCCACCCACCCTGGGGCCCCATTACCAGCCGGCGAGAAGGGCGACAATGCAGCTCCAGGTGACGCAGCCTCCCCCGGGCGAGGGGATCTTGGACCCGGGGGGCTCGGGGGGCCGGCAGCAGCAGAAGCGGATGAGGTAGACAGCGATGAAAATGAGGCTCAGGCCCAAGCCCAGGCCCGCCAAGGCCGCCACCAGCAACAAGGCCTGGGGAAGGGGGTGACATCAGACCTCCGAGGGCACCCGTGTGTTCCACACTCAGATCCCCCTTCCTGCGTGGCTGGGGGGTCGGGGTCTGGGATGTCAGAGTGAAGGTGGGAGACATCCCTGGCCTAATCTTGGGGGAGATTGGGTCCCAGCCCCTCCCAGGCTGGCAGCTGGGGCTCCAGGTGTCAGGGCCAGCTTGCTGGAGGGAGCTTCCAACTGGGGGCCCCAAGCCTTGGGTCCCAATTCTGCTCTGCCCTCCATTGGCTGTGCAATCTTTAGCAGGAACCGCCCCTTCTCCGAGCCTGGGTTTCCTTCTCTCTGCAGCCAGCAGTTGGAATGGAGGTTTTCCCAAGGACCTGCCAAGGCCCCTCCACAATCGTGTGGGATCAGGGGGCGGGTGGGGGTGTGGGGGCACCTGTTCCTGGTGCCTCGGGCCAGGCTGGGGGAGGCGTGCTTCCTCCCCCTCTCCTCCCTGCTCACTGTCTCCCCTGCTGCTGAGCGCTACACCCCACAGCGCCTGAGCTTGTCACCCAGGGACGGGACGAGGGGCTGTGTGGCAACGTGTGTGTGTGTGTGTATGCAAGACTCAGAAATGGAAACTGGAAGAGTGAAGACAGAACAGAAAGAGAGAGAGAGAGAGATGGAGGGAGGCACAGGCAGAAAGACACAACCAAAAAAAGAGACAAAGATAAGACAAGGTTCGGGCATGAGTCAGAAAAAGGCAGAGAGCAAAAGGGATCAAATCAGAGAGGAAGAGCAGAGTAAGGGAGAGAGAGCGTGAGAACACTATGGAGACGGGAGAGACACACAAGGACAGAGAGGCGGAGAGAGCCAAGGCCCGGAAGACAGGCAGGCCGCGGAAACGTTCTGCGGTGGGCAGAGCCTTGCAGAATAACAGGGCTCTCCACGTGGCGGGGATTTCACAGCTGACCTGTGCGGTCCCAGAGGCCCACAGTGGCCCAGGGGGTTTGCACTGAGCCCCGGAGCATGGAGGGACAACATTGGGATCAGAGTCACACCTCTGGACTTGCCAAGGCTGTTTCCCCTAAACCACGGTGTTTCTGCCTTTGTCCACACACATACACACACACAGTGGCACAGTGTGTGTGTGTGTGTGTGTCCCAAGTGTGTGCAGTGTTTGTGTTTCTGGTTGAGACTGGATGTTTTTATCTTTGGGCTGTCTCCATGAGATGAGGGGGCACCTGAGTGTGTCTCCTGGGTGCACTGCTGTCTGCAAATGAGAACATCTGTGGGCATTTGTGTGTTCTGGGCACAGTTCCTTGGGCCTGTGAGTGGGTCCGGTTGTGTGTGTGTAACAGTGTGGATGAGTGTGTGTGTGGATGCGTGACTGCATGTGAGTGTGTGTGTGCACATGAATGCTATAGTCAATATGTGTGTGCATGTGTGTGTAGATGTGAATGGAATGTACGTGTGTGTGTGTATGGGAGTATAAACGTGTATGTGACGGTGCATGCATGAGTGTGTAAGCATATATATATAAGTGCAGTGTGTGCTTGTATATGGGAGTAAATGCTTATACATGTGTATGTGTGTGTTGTGAGTCACTGTGCGCAATGTGCGTGTGCATATGTGTGATTGTGTATGTGTAAGTGGGTATATCCATGTGAGTGTATGCATGTGTCTATATGCGTGTGTTGTATGTGGGTGTGAGTGCATAGCGGGAGTAGTAAATGGGTATGTGTGTGTGCATATGTGAGTGTGTAATGAGAGTAGGTGGGCGTGTGTGTGTACCTGTGCATATGTGTGTGTGCATGTGTGTAATGAAAGTAAGTGGGCGTGTCTGAGTGTGTGCATGTGAGTGTGCATGTGAGTGTGTAATGGGAGTAAGTGGGTGTGTCTGAGTGTGCCTGTGCATATGTGTGTGCATGTGAGTGTGTTGGAATAAGTGGGCGTGTCTGGGTGTGCCTGTGCATATGTGTGTGCATGTGAGTGTGTAATGGGAGTAAGTGGACGTGTGTGTGTGCTGTGCATATGCCAGTGAGTGTGTGCGTGTGGCTGTGTGCCTCCCCCGGGCCAGTGTCCCTGAGGCCCTGGCTGTGTCTGCAGCTGTACCCACGGTGGTCGCGTCCCTGCAGGGGTCCCCCTTGCCCTCCTCGGCTGTGGGGCTCTGCCCGCGCATCCCTGCCACCCTGACCCTGACCCCCGACCGTGGGGGCGGAGTGAGGCTCCCCCAAACCCGTGCCTCTGGCGGTGACTGGGGCCGCGGATCCCCGCGTGCGGCTTCGGGAGGTCTCCGGGCCAGAGCGGGCGTGAGTCTGGGCCGAGGCCGGAGCCGGTGGAGCGGCGTTGTTGGAGGTGGCCGTTGTGTAACCGCGAGGCTGTGGGCGAGGGGACGGCGGTCCCCGTGTGTGGGGAGAGGGGGCGGCGAGGAGCAGGCGGGGAAGAGCTGCTCAGGGCTGTGCCAGCCGTGACCCAAATAGCTCAGAACACAGCACTCATCCCCTCCGCGCTTTTCTGGGACCCCCTCCACGCCCCCTGAGCTCTCCAATCCCAGCCCCCTTCTCCCAGGAGCAACCCAAGACGGAGCCCAGGGGCTCAGGCCCCATCAGCAGGGCCAGGACCCGTCCTGGGGCCACATCGGGACTCCCAGCACCCCCACCCGTCCCCAGCTCAGCCAAGCCTTTCTCCTCATTAATCTCGAAGTCAAGGACTTGAATTAAACTGGGTCAGGGGACAGCTCTTTCGCCCATTGGAGCTGCCCCGAGCCGGGCCCCTTCCCCAGGGACACCGGCTTCTGTGAGGTTCCCACACCGGCCCCACCCTCGGGACCCGGGTCTGTCATCCCGAGGCTCCCCAAACCCAGCCTCATCTCGGCCCTCACCCCTGCAGCGCCCTGACCACCCCTTCTTTCTTGGGACGGGCAAGAAGCTTCCTCTCCCAGAGCCCCTTCATTTTCCAGCCCTGGTCCTCAGCCCCTGAAGCCCCCTTCCCCATTTCAGACTCTCAATCCCATCCCAGCACCGCAGCAGCCAGCGTTTTCCCCGCCACCGTTATCAGGTCCGCTGTCTCCTGGGTCCCACCTTATCTGGGACATATTCACCTGCTCTGATCCTGTGGGGCAGGGTCATCTTTTAGGGCAGGAAGAGTAGACCTACCCTCCCGATGACCCTGGAGGCCGGCTTCCCAGGCAGGTATCAGACACCCGGGAATCCGGGCCCCCCTCCCCTCCTCTCCATGAACTCAGGGGTGCAGGTCCCCAGCCTTCCCTTATTTAGAGAGCTCGAGGTCTGGACCCCCAGCGCGCGTCCCAGGAGAACCTCCAGGCATGGGCGCCCCCAGGCTCCTCCTCCCTCCGAAACCCCAAAGTCCGGGCCGGCCCCCAGCCTCCGGCGGAGCTCAGGAAATCTGTGACCCAGCCCCCTTCTCCCTCGGGACCCAGGAGCTCCGGCCCCCAGCCCTGGCCCCCAGGCCCTGGCGCCCGGTCCCACCTGCTGGTATTCCTGCTCTTGGGGCGCGAAAACGCTGGGCACCGGGCGGAGCTGGAAGTCGGCGCGGGGCAGCTGGTGGAGGAGATGCACCCAAGCTGAGGGCCGGTAGCCCGGGGGCGCCCCCATGGCCCCCGGGGGAGGGGGCAGCGGGGCGGACGCCGGGGCTGCGGGAGCCTCCGGAGTCGAGCGGGGCGCGGGCGGCGCGGGGTCTGGCTGGGCTCAGGGGAGCGGGAGCGGGGGGGAGGCAGGGGGTGGGGGGCGGAGATTGGGGGGAGGGAGGCGCGGGCCGGGCGGGGACGGTGCTGCCCCTGGTGGTCGCGGCGGGGACTGCGGGAGTCGGGAGGCCCCCAGCGCTCCGCGCCCCACCCCGGTCGCGGCTCCCACCTGCTGCCCGCGCAGGTACCGCGCTGCTGGCGTCGGCGGCATCCGGACAGCTGGCTTGCATCGCGATTGAAATCAGCCCTCCTTGTCCATACGAGGCCACTCATACTGTTATTTCACCTAAAACATAATGATCCCTTTATCCTTATGGAGAAACTTCATGTCTGTGTAAAGGTTGCTAGTAAGTACAGAGCGTTTTACAAAGAACGGCCAATTCCATGGATAAGAAGTCCTCTGTGTACGAAAGTGCTCCCACCTGTAAAAGATGCCCGTATTTGTGTAAAATCTCCGTCCCACTTTTATTCCTAGCCTGCATAAGGACACAGCTTCTAAGCACAAACACTCCTATGTGTAGAGGCTACTCCAGAATGTATGGAAAAATCCACACGCCTGTGTAGCAAGCCTTCATGCTGCATAAGGACCCCTTCTACCTGCATAAGGACCCTGGTCATCTATATAGGGGCCCTTCCCATCCTGTAAACTGACTCGGGATTACTTCGGTGTATACAAGGACCCCTGCCCCTTGGCATTCGCCATACAGTTACAGAGTATTTTTCCAGCCACTCCCCATGTTACATCTCACTGGAATCCTCCGATGCCACACCGATAGATGGGGAAGTGCCAACCCTGGGAGGGGACCTGGCCACCCTGACATCATCACCCAGACTGTCACTATTGCAGCCAAAACTAGGTGCTCAGGAATCTGGCCCCAGGGGTCCCCTCTTGCTGTAGGGCAGGGTGAGACTTTGCCATCTGGAAACCACACACGTGGCCTCTCTTGTGGGAATTGGGATGAGTGGAAGAAAGGGAGATTAGTTCTCCACTTAACCCATTTCCATATTTTGCTCCAGATTGGCAAGAAAGGGCTAGGGAAAAGAGGAATGCTGGTGGTAGCGGAGGTGGTGGTGATGACGATGATGGTGGTGATTATGTTGGTGATATGATGTCATGATGATGGTGATGGTGGTGATGGTGATGATGATGGTGGTGGTGGTGTTGATGATGGTGATGGTGATGATGATGATGATGGTGAAGACATGATTATGTTGACATGTCATGATGATAATTATGATGATGATGGTGGTGGTGATGGTGGTGACGGTGGTGATGATGGTGATGGTGGTGATGATGTTGGTGATGGTGATGGTGGTGGCGATGGTGGTGGTGGTGATGGTGGTGATGGTGGTGGTGATGATGGTGGTGATGGTGATGATGGAAGACAAGATTATGTTGACATGTCATGATGATAATGATGATGATGATGGTGGTGATGATGGTGATGAGGACGATGATGATGACGGTGAGGAGGAGGATAGTGATATTGGTGAAGGTATTGATGATGAAATGGGAGAGTGAGAATAGGCGCCTTATCTCTGTCTCTCTCTCTCTCTCTCACACACACACACACACACACACACACACACACACACACACACCCTCTCTCATCACTACCCTAGGTCTTCTTCAGCTTTCTCTGGTTCTGGCTAGAGTCATGTTCTCCACCATTCCCAACCAGGTGGCCTACATGGGGCTTGGGGATGAAGAAGATCCCGAGATGAGCGGTTAGAGGTGTATTAAGTGACTCTAGGCAAGTAGTTTTTCATCTTAGAGTCCCTCTTTTTCTGTCTGTAAAATGAAGGCTTAACCCTTTAGGGCTAAGATTAGTATATTCTAAAACTCTTGTTCTGACAATCTCTTGCATCATGTCCACAGCCAGTGTTTGTTGTAGCAGCAGGATTTGCTAATGGGAAGAATTCCAAACGTCATGATGTGCACAGTTGGGCATGTGTACATCAGAGTGCAGGACAGTGAGGTGCTGGTGGTGACTGTGCAACCCAATAGAGCTCAGTGGCTCCACGTTGCCCATAGAATCAAGTCACACCCTCAGCCCTGAGTTTATACCCTCCATCATTTGGCCCTGCATCAGCCCTCTCCATATGGATAATATTCTAGATGAGTGGTTTCCAACTGATAGGGCCACAACCCACAGTGAGAAATACATTTTACATTATGATCTAGTATACACACACACACAAAAAAAAAAAAAAAAAAAAAAGTAAAAAGTTTCTGACCACTATGTGCAATGCTCTTGGATAATTTCTATCCTCTGTTACTTCTATTTTGTAATTCAAATCTGGTCACAACCTTCTAAATTGTTTTGTGGCTGGCTAATGGATCTTGGATTGCCACCTGAGAAACATGAATCCTGAATTGCAGAGAACAATCTGGGTTGGTGTTAGAAAAGGGGTAAGTGGGGGCCAGGCGCAGTGGCTCGAGCCTGTAATCCCAGCACTTGGGGAGGTGGAGGTGGGCAGATCACTTGAGGTCAGGAGTTCGAGACCAGCTTGGCCAACATGGTAAAACCCTGTCTCGGCCAGGCCCAGTGGCTCACGCCTGTAATTCCAGCACTTTGGGAGGCCGAGGCCAGTGGATCACCTGAGGTCAGGAATTCGAGACCAGTCTGGCCAACATGGCGAAACCTTGTCTCTACTAAAAATACAAAAAAATTAGCCTGGCATGGTGGTGTGTGCCTGTAATCCCAGCTACTTGGGAGGCTGAGGCAAGAGAATTGCTTGAATCCAGGAGGCGGAGGTTGCAGTGAACTGAGATTGTGCCACTGCTCTCCAGCCTGGACAACAGAGCACGACTCCAACTCAAAAAAATAAACAAACAGGCCAGGCATGGTGGCTCATGCCTGTAATCCCAGCACTTTGGGAGGCCAAGGCGGGCGGATCACGAGGTCAGGAGTTCGAGACCAGCCTGGCCAACATGGTGAAGCCCCATCTCTAGTAAAAATACAAAAATTAGCTGGATGTGATGGCACACTCCCATAGTCACAGCTACTCGGGAGGCTGAGACAGGAGAATTGCTTGAACCTGGGAGGCAGAGGTTGCAGTGAGCCGAGATTGTGTCATTGCACTCCGGCCTGGGTGACAGAGCAAGACTCTGTCTCAAAAAAAAAAAAAAATACCCTGTCTCTACTAAAAATACAAAAAAATTATCTGGACATGGCAATGTGTGCCTGTAATCCCAGGTACTCAGGAGGCCAAGGCATGAGAATAGCTTGAACCTGGGAGGCAGAGGTTGCGGTGAGCTGAGATTGTGCCACTGTACTCCAGCCTGGGCGACAGAGTGAGACTCTGTCTTAAAAAAGAAAAGGGGTAAATGTTACTAAGTAGAAGTAAGTTATATTGGCTTCCAGGGGGAGCTCATTGCTTTGTTCTTGCTGCTGTGTCCTCAGCATGCTGCTTTCTTACATGAAATACACACACACACACACACACACACACACACACACCCCATAGTCACCACATATGCCATTCCCCTTCATTCCCCTAGAAAAAGACTTTAAATTGATGGACTCTCTCTCTCTCTCTCTCACTCTCTCTGTCTCTCTCTCTCTCTGTCTCTCTCTGTCTCTCTCTGTCTCTCTCTCTCTCTTTGTTTCTCTGTCTCTGTCTTTGTCTCTCTCTCTCTGTCTCTCTCTGTCTCTCTCTCTTTCTCTCTCTATCTCTTTGTCTCTGTCTCTCTCTCTGTCTCTCTCTGTCTCTCTTTCTCTCTCTGTCTCTCTCTTTGTCTCTCTCTGTCTCTCTCTGTCTTTGTCTCTCTCTCTCTTTGTCTCTCTCTCTCTGTTTCTCTCTCTCTCTCTGTCTCTCTTTGTCTCTCTCTCTGTCTCTCTCTCTCTCTCTTTATCTCTTTCTCTCTCTCTCTCTGCTTTACTCTGGCTCTTTCTGTCCCCACCTCTCTGTCTCCCTCACATGTGTTTTGGGCCCCAGAAGGCAAGCCTCTTTAGAGAATGGCTTAGCCTGCATCGATTAAACCCAGGACATCCATCCTCCTGCATGGGACATCTGCAATGCTGCCTGACAGAAATGTATTATCTCTACCTTCTCCGGCCGTGGTTCCCTGGGTCTGTTTCTGCTGAGGAAAACAAACGGTCATTCCAGGTGGCCCTTGGGTATTTCTAGAGCCCTTGGCTGAATACCACCCCTAAACCATCTCAAGCTCTGCAGGTGTTCATTCATGGCTTGGGACGCATGCAAACCCCCTGGTAGAGGGTAGCTCAGAGAACATGGCTGTTGCTATTTCGTTTCAGCCAACGCTTGCCATATGGGAAGAGGGACCTGGCACCACCAGATGTTCCAAATTTCCAAGAGAAGGCAGAAATCTGGATATTTTTAAAAGCAAAATCCCTCAGCTTTTAAATGTTAAAACTAATTCAAATGAAAAAAAAATGCTGTGTGGGCCAAATAAAACCTGTCTGTGGGTTGGAGCTGGCTGGTTTATAAGCTCTGGTCTAGCCAGACATGGAGTAGTACAGGCATGAAAGGGACAAGTGGAGAAAGAGGGGCCCACAATGAGACTGAGAAGGAGCAGCCACAGGGATGGGAGGGAAGATTGGGGGAGGCAGTGATGCTGCCTCCTCCGGGAAGGCCTCCTGACCAGCTTCTGCTGACAGAAGGCAAGGACAGCTCCTGGCTGAAGGACTCAGCATGTGCTTCCCACGGCTTAAGCTTTGGGAGACTTGCCTGCTTAACTGAGTGGCTGTAAGAATGCCAGGAGAGATTTCCAACTGCTTGGTCCTGTGCCTAGCACATAGTAGGTTCTCAATAAATCAGGACCATGTGTGCTGTGCTAACAGCTGTGCTTCAATGATGTATCTGTTCCCCACACACGTATTGAGTGCCTACTATGTCCCAGGCACTGCTGCATGTTCTGGAGAAATGGGCATAAGCAAAAAAGACAAAGTCTCCAGTTGGCACAACTAAAACCGCTGGAGTACAGAAGGTAGAAAATTGAGGAATGAACAGGTGAGCTGAGTCTATACTATCAGGTAAGAGGAAGCAACACATAGATGTGAGTGGATGTGGTGGGGATGAGGTGGTCACTACTTTTTTTTTTTTGAGACAGAGTCTTGCTCTGTTGCCCAGGCTGGAGTGCAGTGACGTGATCTTGGTTCACTGCAACCTCCACCTCCCCGGTTCAAGCAATTATCTGCCTCAGCCTCCCAAGTAGCTGGGATTACAGGTGCCTGCCATCACACTCAGCTAATTTTTTGTATTTTTAGTAGAGACGGGGTTTCACCATCTTGGCCAGGCTTGTCTTGAACTCCTGACCTCATGATCCACCTGCCTCGGCCTCCCAAAGTGCTGGGATTACAGGCGTGAGCCACCACGTCTGGTGGTTGCTACTTATATAATAGAAGGTGCTCAGGGAATGTCTCTCTCTCCATTTGGATGATATCTGAACAGAGACACAAATGAAGGACGCTCTTTAGTTCATGATTGGCATGACTAAGAGTTCATGCTTTGCAGCCACATTATCTGGTTTCAACCCTGGCTCAGCTCCTTATTAGCTCGGTGACCTTAGACAATTTTCTCAACTCTGTGCTTTCGGTTCACATAAACAGGATGAAAATAATAACCTTGGCCAGG
Source organism: Homo sapiens (assembly GCF_000001405.40). Classification (NCBI taxonomy): domain Eukaryota; kingdom Metazoa; phylum Chordata; class Mammalia; order Primates; family Hominidae; genus Homo; species Homo sapiens. The sequence goes on along the minus strand of NT_187693.1, from coordinate 392,150 downwards.
CTCAGTGGCTCATGCCTGTAATCCCAGCACTTTGAGAGACCAAGGCGGGGGGGATCAGCTGAGATCAGGAGTTCGAGACCAGCCTGGCCAACATGACGAAACCCAGTCTCTACTAAAAATAACGAAAATTAGCCGAGCATGGTGGCACGTGCCTGTGATCCCAGCGACTCAGGAGGCTGAGGCAGGAGAATCGCTTGAATTCGGGAGGCAGAGGTTGCAGTGAGCCAGGATCGCACCACTTCACTCCAGCCTGGGCAACAAGAGTGAAACTCTGTTTAAAAAAAAAAAAAAAAGCAAGAAAGAGCAACCTTAACCAATTCCACAGGGTTGTTGTGCAGATCGAGTGAACACACGGGAAGTGTTTGCTGACAAAGTGCTTGACAAGCGCTCGCGAATTATTACGAGGGTGACAGTTGTTGATTTTTAAAAATGACTACAGTGACATCTGCCAAATAGAAGGAAAGCAAAGTGAAGGAATTCACAAGTACATAAGAAAATGACCGGAAAAGGCATAAATACGTAAAGCTGTTCAGCCTTCAGATGTTCAGTCATCCTTATGATCTTTCCCTCCCTCCCCGCCTCCCTTCCTTCCTTCCCTCCTTCCTTCTTTCCTCTTTCCCTCCCTCCCTCCCTACCCCTTCCTGCCTTCTGGCCTTCCTTCCTTCCTCCCTCCCTCCCTCCCCCCTTCCTCCCTCCCTCCCTCCCCCCTTCCTTCCTTCCTCCTTCTCCCTCCCTTCCTTCCTCCCTCCCTCCCCCTCCCTCCCTCCCCCCTTCCTTCCTCCCTCCCTCCCTCCCTGCCTCCCTCTCTTCCTTTCTCCTTCCTTCCTCCTTCCTCCCTCTCTTCCTTTTTACCTTCCTTCCTTCCTTTCCTCCCTCCCTCCCCTCCTTCCTCCCTCCCTTTCTTCCTTCTTTCCTTCCTCTCTCTCTCCCTTCCTTTCTTCCCTCCTTCCTTCTTCCTTCATTGCTACCTTCCTTCTTCCTTCCTTTTCCCCTCCTTTCTTTCGATTACATGTTTAATAGCTGCCAGGCTGTGTTAAGTAAGCCCTGGGATCTATTAATAATAAAGAAGAATCCATACATTCATTGGTTTGTTCATTCCCCAAGTATTTATTTATTGGACAGCTACTAGGTGCCAGGCATTGTTCTAGGCCCTGGGAATTCAGCAGTGAACTAAAGGGATGAAAATCTCTGCTTTCACAGAGCATGATAGAGATAACTCATTAGGCAAATGAGCAAATATGCAGATATAGCCAGTTTATTAAATAAGCTGATGTCATGGTTAACTTTATGCGTCAACTTGACTGGCCTAAGGGATGCCCAGATAGCTGGTAAGACATTATTTCTGGATGTGTCTGTGGGGGTGTTTCTGGAAGAGGTGAGCATTTGAATCAGTAGACTGAGTAAAGAAGTTCTCCCTCACCAATGTGGGCGGGCCTCATCCAATCTGCTGGAGGCTCGAATAGAACAAAAAGCAGAGGAAGGGCGAATTCACTGTGTTTTCTTAACTGGCGCATCCATTTTCTCTTGCCCTAGGACATCAAACTTCCTGGTCCTCATGCCTTTAGCCTCAGACTGAATGACACCACCAGCTTTCCTGCTTCTTCAGCTTATGGACAGCACGTCGTGGGACTCCTCAGCCTCCAGAATTGTGTAAGAAAAGTTCTCATAATAAACCTCTGCTGGTATCTCTTTATATATCTCTTTGGTTTTCTTTCTTTGGACAAATCTGACTAATAGAGCTGCATTCAACCACAGTGAAATACCAACAGCCCAAAGCAGGCCTGAGATCCAAAGATTCCAGGAATGAAGCACCCGAGTGTTATCCATTATTGATGAGAGAGTAAAGGGTACAAACCCTGTAGGAAAAGGCCTGGCAGCTTCTTACAAATCTAAGCCCACACCTATCCCATGACCCAACAATTCTACTCTTTTTTGTTTGTTTGTTTTTTAGACGGAGTCTCACTGTGTCACCAAGCTGGAGTGCAATGGCATGATCTCAGCTCACTGCAACCTCTGCCTCCCAGGTTTAAGTGATTATTCTGCCTCAGCCTCCCGAGTAGCTGGGACTACAGGTGTACACCACCATGCCTGGCTAATTTTTGTATTTTTAGTAGAGATGGGGTTTCACCATGTTGGCCAGGCTGGTCTCAAACTCCTGACCTCACGTGATCTGCCCACCTCGGCCTCCCAAACTGCTGGGATTACAGGCGTGAGCCACCACGCCCGGCCAACAATTCTACTTTTACCCAAAAGAAAAGAAAATATTTATCCACACCAAGAATTTTGCAAGACTGTTTACAGCAGCTTTATTCATAATAGCCTCAGGCTAGAAACATCCTGTATGCCTATCAACAGGGGAATGGACCAAGATAGGTAATATAGCCACAGAATGGAATACTACTTAGCAATGAAAAGGCACAAGCTAATAATGCATGCAGCAATATGGGTCGGTCTCAAAATTATTGTGCTGAGTGTCAGAAACAAAGGAGGATGCACTGTATGAGTTCAGTTAGATGATTTTCCAAACAGACAGAATTAACATATGGTAGCAAAAATAATAAAAACAGTGGTTGCCTCTGGGTGAGTAGGGTCAGGGTGACTGGGAAGGGGGCTGGGGGAACTTCCTGGGATAAAGGGCCTCGTTCTGTATCTTGATGAGGGTTCGTTTTGTACCAGTGTCTGCATTTGTCGCTCACTTAAGATTTGTGAATTTCTGGCCAGGTGCGGCGGCTCACACCTGTAATCCCAGCACTTTGGGAGGCCGAGGCAGGTGGATCGCCTGAGGTCAGGAGTTCCAGACCAGCCTGGCCAACATGACGAAACCCCGTCTCTACTAAACATACAAAAATTAGCCAGCTGTGGTGGTGCATGCCTGTAATCCCAGCTACTCGGGAGGCTGAGGCAGGAAAATCGCTTGAACCCAGGAGGTGGAAGTTGTAGTGAGCTATCACACCACTGCACTCTAGCCTGGGAGAAAGAGTGAAACTCCATCTCAAAAAAAAAAAAAAAAGATTTGTGCACTCCACTCTATAAAAATTTTACTGAAAAATGTTAATGAGGTGCATGCTTAGTATTGGGAGAAAGTGTAGTGGTGTCTGCAGTCTCTTTTTGAAGTTAATCACAAAAGAAAATAAGACGGATGGATGGAGGGATAGGTAATAAGGCAAAGGAAGATAAATATTAAGCAAGGTACAGTGGCATGAGTCTGTGCTCCCAGCAACTCAGGAGGCTGGTGCAGGAGGATCACTGGAGCCTAGAAGTTCAAGGCTGCTCTGTGGGTATGATTGCACCTGTGAATAACCACTACACTGTAGCCGGGACAACATAGCGAGACCCTGTCTTAAGAAAGAAGAAAGAAAGAAAGAAAGAAAGAAAGAAAGAAAGAAAGAAAGAAAGAAAGAGAGAGAGACAGAGAGGGAGGGAGGGAGGGAGGGAGGGAGAGAGAGAGAAAGAAAGAAAGAAAGAAAGGAAAGAGAGAGAGAGAGAGAGAGGGAGTGAGTGAGTGGAAGGGAAGGGAAGGGAAAGGAAAGGAAAGAAAGAAAGAGGGAGAGAAAGGAAAGAAAGAAAGAGGAAAAGAGAAGGGAGAGAAAGGAAAGAAACAGAGAGAAAGGAAGGAAAGAAAGAAAGGGAAGGAAAAAGAGAGAGAGAAGGAAGGAAGGAAGGAAGGAAGGAAGGAAGGAAGGAAGGAGAAAAGATTAACAGTAGACTAGAATCCAGGTGATAACTATCTAGGTTTTCACTGTAATATTCTTTTTTTTTTTTTTTTGAGGCAGAGTTTTCACTCTTGTCACCCTGGCTGGAGTGCAGTGGCACCATCTCAGCTCACTGCAACCTCCGCCTCCTGGGTTCAAGCAATTCTCCTGCCTCGGCCTCCCGAGTAGCTGGGACTACAGGTGCATGCCATCACACCCAGGTAATTTTTGTATTTTTAGTAGAGATGGGGTTTTGTCAAGTTGGCCACGCTGATCTTGAACTCCTGACCTGAGGTGATCCACCCTCCTCGGCCTCCCAAAGTGCTGGGATTACAGGCGTGAGGCACCATGCCCAGCCTGCATTGCACTTTTTTTTTTTTTTTAAATATGGGTGAGACGCTCTCTCCTGTTGTCCCGCCATGACCCCTGAGAACTAAGCTCTGATTTTTTTATCTTGCCCAAATTCCTACCTAAGGCGTTTGAGGAGTCATGCCTTACAAACCATAAATTCTCATCAGATGGGTTGTATTTAATCCTCTATGGTGTGACTTACTTTCCAATCTGACTCTGGCATAGCATTACAACACAAGGAAGAAAATAAAAATATTTTACCCCAAAACATGTTTCTCTGCCATATTTTGAAATTGCCCTGCAAAGTCTCTTGTGGGAAAAATCCACATTCTTTACAGAACCCCGTTTCTCCTTTGTTTTCCCTTCTTCCTTTCCAGGCCCAGGAGAGCCAGACACTCTTTTTTTTTTTTTGAGACAGAGTTTCACTCTTTTTGCCCAGGCTGGAGTGCAACGGCACAATCTCGGCTTACCGCAACCTCCACCTCCCAGGTTCAAGCAATTCTCCTGCCTCAGCCTCCCAACTAGCTGAGATTACAGGCATGCACCACCACGCCCAGCTAATTTTGTATTTTTTAGTAGAGACAGGGTTTCTCCATGTTGGTCAGGCTGGCTTTGAACTCCCGACCTCAGGTGATCCGCCTGCCTCGACCTCCCAAAGTTGCTGGGATTACAGGTGTGAGCCACCGTGGCCGGCCCAGGCACTCTTTTAGGTCCTGTAAGAAGCATTTTACACCCTGCCCTCTCTCTCTGAAGTCAGCTTCCTCTGCACAATAAAACCTGGTCTCCACGATCCTTTAGCTTAACCTGAACATTTCCTTTCTATTGATTCCGGGTCTTCAGAGAAAACTCAACCAATTGTCAATCAGAAAATGTTTAAATTGCACGCCTCGCCCCACCCTTTGTGTTGTTCCACCTTTCTGAACCACGCCAATGTATTTCTTTCTTTTTTTTTTTTTTGAGACAGAGTATCACTCTGTAGCCCAGGCTGGAGTGCAATGGCATGATCTTGGCTTACTGCAACCTCCGCCTCCCGGGTTCAAGCGATTCTCCTGCCTCAGCCTCCTGAGTAGCTGGGACTGCAGGCATGCGCTACCACGCCTGGCTAATTTTTGTATTTTCAGTATAGACAGGGTTTCACCATGTTGATCAGGCTGGTTTTGAACTCCTGACCTTGTGATCCGCCCTCCTCGGCCTTCCAAACCCAATGTATTTCTTTTTTCTTTTCTTTTCTTTCTTTCTTTTTTTTTTCTTTTTTTGAGACAGAGTCTCGCTCTGTCGCCCAGGCTGGAGTGCAATGGTGCGATCTCGGCTCACTGCAACCTCCGCCTCCCGGGTTCAAGCAATTCTCCTGCCTCAGCCTCCTGAGTAGCTGGGACTATAGGTGCATGCCACCACACCTGGCTAATTCTTTGTATTTTTAGTAGAAATGGGGTTTCACCATCTTGGCCAGGCTGCTCTTGAACTCCTGTCAGGCCTCTAAGCCCAAGCTAAGCCATCCTATCCCCTGTGACCTGCATCTATACATCCAGATGGCCTGAAGCAACCGAAGATCCACAAAAGAAGGGAAAATAGCCTTAACTGATGATATTCCACCATTGTGATTTGTTCCTGCCCCACCCTGACTGATCAATGTACTTTGTAATCTTCCCCACCCTTAAGAAGGTTCTTTGTAATCTCTCCCACCCTTAAGAAGGTTCTTTGTAATTTTCCCCACCCTTGAGAATGTACTTTGTGAGATCCACCCCCTGCCCGCAAAACATTGCTCCTAACTCCACCGCCTGTCCCCAAACCTGTAAGAACTAATGATAATCCCACCACCCTTTACTGACTCTGTTTTCGGACTCAGCCCGCCTGCACCCAGGTGAAATAAACAGCCTTGTTGCTCACACAAAGCCTGTTTGGTGGACTCTTCACACGGACTCGCGTGACACTAACCTCATGATCCACCTGCCTCAGCCTCCCAAAGTGCTGGGATTACAGGCGTAAGCCACCGCGCCCGGCTTCAAGATGTTTTCATACATAGGTATGGGGGGCCCAGCAGATGAGATGGACCACTGAGAAGACAGTTTGTCACAGTTCTCAAGAGGAAGGGACATGCCAGGCCAGGCAGGACACCCAGAGAGCACCAGGGCCGAGGGAGCATGCAGGTCACACGGGAGAGCACGAGGGATCAGAGGCAGAGGGAGTGAGGGCGGAGAGAGGGCAAGAGCTTGATTTGGTTTTTGCAGGAATGAGTGGGTGGGGCAGGGTAAACAGGTTTGTGATTAGCTAATTTGAATAATTTCAGCAGGGCCTGGGGCATTGGGCCTACTCTAGTGGTCTGGTTCCTGGCCCTGGGTGATGAAGGCAGGTGCACAGCAGCCCTGAGTGTGAGAGCTCAGAAATGGAGGTGGCTGGGGGCTGGGCTCTGGACTGTTTGGTTTGCACATGAAAGGTGTGATTGAAAGACTTGTTGGCCGGGCGCGGTGGCTCACGCCTGTAATCCCAGCACTTTGGGAGGCTGAGATGGGTGGATCACCTGAGGTCAGGAGTTGGAGACCAGCCTGGCCAACATGGTGAAACCCCGTCTCTACTAAAATACAAAAAAAAAAAAAAAAAAAATTAGCCAGGTGCAGTGGCAAATGTCTGTAATCCCAGCTACTCGGGAGGCTGAGGCAGAGAATCGCTTGCACCATGAGGCGGAGGTTGCAGTGAGCCAAGATCGCGCCACTGCACTCCAGCCTGGGTGAGAGAGCAAGACTTTGTCTCAAAAATAAATAAATAAATAGAAATGTTAACAGTAGCTTTGTTCACAAGAGCCCCCAAGACTGGAAACAGCCAGGTGTTCATCAGTGGAAGAAAGGATAAATAAACCACGGAACCCCGTACAATGCAATCCTGCCCCGCAGTGAAAATGAACGGACTGTGGACACACACAGCAGCACGGGTGAATCTCAGAAACTTTGAGCTGAGTGGAAGAAGCCAGAGAGGAGAGTTCAGTTTTCTGAGAGTTTATGATTCTGCTTGCGTGAAGTCCCAGAACAGTTGAAATTAGTCTATAGTGAAAAAATAATAATATCAGAAGAGTGGTAGCCTCCAGGGGAGTAAAGGCAAGATGTGACTGGGCAGGTGCATTTGGGAGCTTGCTGTGACAATGGCCATATTCTATGTCTCCATAGGGGCTTCAGTATATAATTTTAAAACACGCTTAGGCCGGGAACGGTGGCTCACGCCTGTAATCCCAGTACTTTGGGAGGCCGAGGCAGGAGGATCATGAGGTCAAGAGATCGAGACAATTTTGGCCAACATGGTGGAACCCTGTCTCTACTAAAAATACAAAAATTAGCCAGGCGTGGTGACAGGCACCTGTAGTCCCAACTGCTTGGGAGACTGAGGCAGGAGAATTGCTTGAACCCGAGAATCGCTTGAGCCAAGATCGTGCCACTGCACTCCAGCCTGGTGACAGAGCGAGACTCTGGCTCAATAAATAAATAAATAATAAATAAATAAAACAAACAAAAAAACCCACACAGTTAATGGTGTACTTAAGATGTGTGCAACAGCCGGGTGTGGTGGCTCACACCTGAAAATCCCAGCACTTTGGGAGGCTGAGGCGGGCAGATCAATAGGTCAAGAGTTCAAGACCAGCCTGGTCAACATAATGAAACCCTGTTTCTACTAAAAATACAAAAATTAGCTGGGCATGTTGGCTCATGCCTGGAATCCCAGCACTTTGGGAGGCCGAGGCGGGCAGATCACTTGAGGTCAGGAGTTTGAAACTAGCCTGGCCAACATCATGAAACCCCGTTTCTACTAAAAATAAAAAAAAAAATTTAGCTGGGCATGGTGGCAGACACCTGCAATCCCAGCTATGTGGGAGGCTGAGGCAGGAGAATCGCTTGAACCTGGGAGGCAGAGGTTGCAGTGAGTCAAGATCATGCCACTGCACTCTAGCCTGGGCGACAGAGCAGGACTCTGTCTCGAAAAAGAAAAAAAGTTGTGAATGGTTGAGTCTGGGTGTCTGGGTGGTGTGGATGGGGTATTCATTCTAAGATTCTTTCAACTCTTCTCTATGCTTGAAAAATTTTTATAATAAGATGTTGAAGGAAAAACTCATCCTCTACCAACCTTCTCACCCCAGATTTGTCGATCTCCTTTAATTACAAAAAAAAAAAAAAAAAAAAAAAAAAAGACGTGGGGCACCTGGCACAAAGTGTGTGGGAAGAGGTTTTATTTTGGGAACCACCTTGGCTGCTATGCACCGTGGCAAGTCATAATTTGTCATTTTCCGCTTTCCGTGTATGAACCTTTTTGCTACTTGGAAAGAGGTCCCTGTCAGTCTGAGTCTTAGTGGGAAGTCTGGTTCTGCCTTCCTCTGTGGAGGGAAAGGTGGAATCCATTCTATCCTTTGAGGTGGAGAGTGGGATCCCCCATCACACGGCCCAATGTGGGCCTTTTTTTTTTTTAAAGAGATGGAGTCTGGCTGTGTTGCCCAGGCTGGAGTGCAGTGGTGAGATCTCCCGTCACTGCAACCTCTGACTCCCTGGTTCAAGTGATTCTCCTGCCTCAGCCTCCCAAGTAGCTGGGATTACAGGCATGCGCCACCACACCCAGTTAATTTTTGTATTTTTAGTAGAGATGGGTTTGCATCATGTTGGCCAGGATGGTCTTGATCTCCTGACCTCATGATCCACCAACCTCGGCCTCCGAAAGTGCTAGGATTACAGACGTGAGTCACCGCGCCCAGCCTTTTTTTTTTTTTTTTTTTTTTGAGATGGAGTTTTGCTCTGTCGCCCAGGCTGGAATGCAGTGGCTCGACCTCAGCTCACTGCAGCCTCTGCCTCCCGGGTTCAAGCGATTCTCCTGCCTCAGCCTCCCGAGTAGCTGGGATTACAGGCATGCGCCACCACGCCTAGCTAATTTTGTATTTTTTAGTAGAGACGGGGTTTCTCCGTGTTGGTCAGGCTGGTCTCGAACTCCCGACCTCAGGTGATCCGCCCGCCTTGGCCTCCCAAAGTGCTAGGATTACAGGCGTGAGCCACCGCACCCGGCCTTTTTTTTTTTTTTTTTTTGAAATGGGGTCTCCCTCTGTTGTTCAGGCTGGAGTACAGTGGTGCGGTCTCGGCTCACTGCAATCTCCACCTCTCAGGTTTTAGCTATTCTCCTGCCTGAGCCTCCCAAGTAGCTGGGATTACAGGCGCCTGACCCCACGCCTGGCTAATTTTTTTTTGTATTTTTAGTAGAGACGGGGTTTCACCATGTTGGCCAGGCTGGTCTCGAACTCCTGACGTCATGATCCACCTGCCTCAGCCTCCTAAAGTGCTGGGATTATAGGCATGAGCCACCACGCCCGGCCTGACCATTTTCTTTTCTTTTTTTTTTTTGTTGTTTTTTTGAGATGGAGTCTCGCTCTGTGGCCCAGGCTGGAGCGCAGTGGTGTGATCTCCGCTCACTGCAAGCTCCACCTCCCGAGTTCACGCCATTCTCCTGCCTCAGCCTCCTGAGTAGCTGAGACTACAGGCAACCGCCAACACACCCGGCTAATTTTTTGTGTTTTTAGTAGAGATGGGGTTTCACCATGTTGGCCAGGATGGTCTCGATCTCCTGACCTCGTGATCCACCTGCCTCGGCCTCCCAAAGTGCTGGGATTACAGGCGTGAGCCACGGCGCCTGGCCCGGCCTGACTATTTTCTTACAGCAAATTCTGCAGGGCCTTTCTATGACTCTTCCCATAAGATAGATGCTACTCTCTGCAACAAGGAAAAATAATGTGGCATTCTGGCTAAATTCCTTTATGAAGCCTATCTCTGCTTAGAGGTTATATGAGGTTTAGAGGTTTATGTGAAGTGTCAGTGTAATACAGAGGAAAGAGAGGGACTGCTCAGTGGTGAGTCTTACATGGCAAAATAGAGATTATGTTTTCTGCCCTAAGCATGGTAAGAAAACCGGTTAGACTCCCTCTCCACCTTAAGCAGCTGCCCTGCTGTGCCTGTAAGGGCTTGGCTGTGGGATATAAGGAACCCTCTGTCTCTGCTCCCTTAAAACAAGCAAGCCACACCTGCTGGGGTGGGTCCTAGGCTGGTAGAGCTGTAAGGCAATCCTATTTTTGGTGGAAGCCTGAAAGCAACCTATATAATCCATACATATTCATAAGGTTTGCCTTGTGCGGTGTGGTAGGCAGCCTCCCAGATGGTCCCCAATAATCCTCACCTCCTGGTATTTATAGCATCATGTAATCCCGTCCTTTTAAGGATGATTGTGTGACTTGCATTCTGTTAGCAGACTCTTTTTGCCTGCTTAGTTTGCATACTTTGATGAAACAAAGCTATCCTGTTGCAGAAAACTTTCATGGCAAGGAACTGAGGGGTGGCTTCTGGCCAAGAGTCAGCAAAGAACTGAACTGCCAGCAACACCATGAAATCAACAGAACCTTGAGATGGCCACAAAGCTGCTGGCCCCTTGATTGCAGCCCGGGAGAGACCCTGAAGCTGAAGACCCAGCCGGGCTGTGCTCAGATCCCTGATTCACGGAAATCGCAAGACAATAAACGTGTGTTGTCTGAAGCTGCTCCCTTTGAGGTGATTTGTTACACAGCAATAGCTAACTGATACATATAGAAATAAAGAGAGGCCGGGTGCAGTGGCTCACGCCTGTAATCTCAGCACTTTGGGAGGCCGAGGCGGGTGGATCAGGAGGTTAGGAGATTGACACCACAATGAAACCCCATCTCTACTAAAAATACAAAAAATTAGCCAGGCGTGGTGGCGGGTGCCTGTAGTCCCAGCTACTCAGGAGGCTGAGGCAGGAGAATGGCGTGAACCCGGGAGGTGGAGCTTACAGTGAGCTGAGATCGAGCCACTGCACTCCAGCCTGGGTGACAGGGTGAGACTCCGTCTCAAAAAAAGAAAAAGAAAGAAATAGAAAATAAAATCTTGGGTCTTTCTTTTGATATCTTGATCAAGAAAGTTTGATCACTTTACCAAACATGTATTATGTATTTTTCATAAATAAAAGAGAATTTATAAAACAGCTTGAATCATGAAACATTAACGAAACGGCCTCACTTAGCCCACCATCCAATTAAGAGCTACAATCTCATCCCGACCACCTCATCTACCTGGAATCTCCTTCCATTCTCATCCTCCACTTTCCTCCTCTGCAGAAGTAACTGTGCTTGTCGTTCCCTTATTTGTTTTATTTTATTATTTTATTTTATTCTACTTTAAGTTCTGAGACAGAGTCTCACACTGTTGCCCAGGCTGGAGTGCGGTGGAATGATCTCGGCTCACTGCAAACTCTGCCTCCCAGGTTCAAGTAATTCTCCTGCCTCAGCCTCCCGAAGAGCTGGGATTACAGGCGCGCACCACCATGCCTGGCTAATTCTTGTATTTTCAGTAGAGACGGGGTTTCACCATGTTGTCCAGGCTGGTCTCAAACTCCTGACCTCAGGTGATCTGCCCGCCTCAGCCTCCCAAAGTGCTGGGATTATAGGCGTGAGCCACTGCACCTGGCCCCTTATTTGTTTAAAATAGTGTCTCTAAACCACATATTGGAATGAACTTGGTAAAAATGACAACAGAAACCATGAATTTTTTTTTGAAATGATTCGTGAAATCATTTTCAATGCCATAGTTTGAAGCTTTCCAATATAGGTCTATATCACAGTTTTTGTATTTTTGTACCTGTTGATGAACACATGGGCTTCTTTTATTTTAGTTACTTTTCTATTTCTATTTATTTTACTTTCCCTATTACGTAACAGACATTTTTTACATGTTTCTTGGTGCATATGTGCAAGAATTTTTAAAGAGTATACATATAAGAATGGAATGATTGCGCTATAGGGATTGTTAGTTTCAATTTTTTGAAATAGTGTCAAAGTGTTTCCAAAAGTAGCCTTACCAATTTTTTCCTGGCTTAATTGAGATATGATTGACAAATAAAAGCGTATATATTTGGTCAGGCGCGGTGGCTCATGCCTGTAATCCCAGCATTTTGGGAGGCCGAGGCGGGTGGATCACAAGGTCAGGAGATCGAGACCATCCTGGCTAACACGGTGAAACCCCGTCTCTACTAAAAAAAAAAATACAAAAATTAGCCGGGCGCCTGTAGTCCCAGCTACTCGGGAGGCTGAGGCAGGAGAATGGTGTGAAGCCGGGAGGCGGAGATTGCAGTGAGCCGAGATTGCGCCACTGCACTCCAGCCTGGGCGACAGAGCGAGACTCCGTCTCAAAAAGAGAAGTGTATATATTTAAGGTGTACAACATGATGTTTTGACATATGTACACATTGTGAAATAATTACCATAATCAAGATGTTTAACATATCCATCACCTCACTTTTTTTTCTGAGACAGAGTCTCATTCTGTCACTCAGCCTAGAGTGCAGTGGTGCGATCTCAGCTCACGGCAAACTCCACCTCCCACGTCAAGTGATTCTTGTGCCTCAGCCTCCCGAGTAGCTGGGATTACAGGTGTGTGCCACCACGTCTGGCTAATTTTTGTATTTTTTGTAGAGATGGGGTTTGGCCATGTTGCCCAGGCTGGTCTCAAACTGCTGACCTCAAGTGATCCACTTGCCTCAGCCTCCCAAAGTGCTTGGATTATAGGTGTGAGCCACCGTTCGTGGCCACATAGTTGTCATTTTTGCGTGTGTGGCGAGAGCCCTTACGATCTATTCTGCTAACAATGTTTAAGTACATAATACATTTTCACTAATTTGTCACCATGTTGCACAACAGATCTCTTGAATTTATTTTTTTCTATCTAAAATTGTGTACCCTCTGACCACGATCTTCCCAATCCCTACTCCCCTTCCCAAGCCCCTGGTCACCACCATTCCGCTCTCTGCTTCTGTGAGTTCAACTTTTTTTTTTTTTTTTTTTTTGAGACAGAGTCTCACTCTGTCGCCCAGGCTGGAGTGCAGTGGCGCAATCTCGGCTCACTGCAACCTCCGCCTCCCAGGTTCAAGCCATTCTCCTGCCTCAGCCTCCCGAGTAGCTGGGATTACAGGCATGCACCACCACGCCTGGCTAATTTTGAATTTTTAGTAGAGACGGGGTTTCTCCATATTGGTCAGGCTGGTCTCGAACTCCCAACCTCAGGTGATCTGCCCGCCTTGGTCTCCCAAAGTGCTGACAGGCGTGAGCCACCGTGCCCAGCCTCCCGAGTAGGTTTTGCCATGTTGGCCATGGCTAGTCTCGAAGGCCTGAGTTCAACTTTTTAATATTCCATGTATAAGTGAGGTTGTGCGATATTTGTCTTTCTGTATCTGGCTTATTTCATGTGGCATGATGTCCTGAAGGTTGACAATTACATCCATACTGTAAATGACAGGGTTTCCTTCCTTTCTAAGGCTGGATAGTATTTCCACTGTGTATATATACATTTCCTTTACCCATTGTCCACTGATGGAGACTTAGGTGATTCCATATGTTGGCTATTGTGAATAACTCTGCAATACACATAGGGGTGCAGACATCTCTTCCACACACTGGTTTCAGTTTCTTTGAGCATATACCCAGTAGTGGGATTGCTGCATCATGGAGGGTAAGCTTTTTTTGTTTTGTTTTGAGACAGAGTCTCGCTCTGTCGCTCAGGCTGGAGTGCAGCAATCTCGGCTCACTGCAAGTTCCGCCTCCCGGGTTCAAACTATTCTCCTGCCTCAGCCTCCCGAGTGGCTGGGACTACAGGTGCCTGCCACCACGCCCGGCTAATTTTTTGTATTTTTAGTAGAGATGGGGTTTCGCCATGTTGGCTAGGCTGGTCTCGATCTCCTGACCTCAGGGGATCCGCCTGCCTCAGCCTCCCAAAGTGCTGGGATTACAGGCGTGAGCCACCGCGCCCGGCCACAAAAGCAAATTTATGACAGGGACCTGGTGATGCGTGCTGCATCACACCACATCCTTCCATTCCTTTTCACAAAGAGACTCTAGTGGCTCATGCCTGTAATCCCAGCACTTTGGGAGGCCGAAGCGGGCGGATCACAAGGTCAGGAGTTCGAGACCAGCCTAGCCAACATGGCGAAACCCCATCTCTACTAAAAACACAAAAATTAGCCAGTCACGGTGGCTCACATCTGTAATCCCAGCACTTTGGGAGGCCAAGGCCCACAGATCACAGGGTCAGGAGTTCAAGACCAGCCTGGCCAACATGGGGAAACCCATCTCTACTAAAAATACAAAAATTAACCAGGCGTGGTGGCAGGCGCCTGTAATCCCAGCTACTTGGGAGGCTGAGGCAGGAAAATCACTTGAAACCGGGAGGCGGAAGTTGCAGGGAGCTGAGATCGTGCCACTGCACTCCAGCCTGGGCGACAAGAGTGAAACTTTGCCTCAACAACAACAACAACAACAACAAAAAAAAAAAAAAAAAAGAAAAGAAAAGAAAAGAAAAAGAAATGATGCCAGGCATGGTGGCTCACGCCTATAATCCCAGCACTTTGGGAGATCGAGGCGGGTGGATCATCTAAAGTCAGGAGTTCGAGACCAGCCTGACCAACATGGTGAAACCCCATCTACTAAAAATACAAAAATTAGCCGGGCGTGGGGGCAGGTGCCTATAATCCCAGCTGCTCGGGAGGCTGAGGCAGGAGAATCGCTTGAACCTGGGAGACGGAGCTTGCAGTGAGCCGAGATCACAGCCACCGCACTCCAGCCTGGGCAGCAGAGCGAGACTCTATCTCAAAAATAAATAAATAAGTAAATAAGTAAATAAATAAATAAATAAATAAATAGATAGATAGATAGAAATGAGCTCTCAAGCCATGAAAAGACACAGAGGAACCTTAAATGCATATTACCAAGTGGTAGAATCCCATCTGAAAAGGCTACGCATTGTCTGATTCCAACAATATGACATTCTGGAAAAGGCAAAGTATGGAGACAGGAAAAGATCAGAGCTGCCAGGGGTTGGGCGAAGGAAGGATGAATAGGTGGTGCACAGAGGAATTTTAGGGCAATGGCTCTCCTCTGTCTAACACTGTGACGGTGGGTGCCTGCCATTAGACATTTGCCTGAACTCATAGGATGTGCAACAGGAAGACTGAGCGAGCCCTAATATGACTTTGGGTGATTACAATGTGTCAATGCAGGCTCATCAGTTGTAATAAAAATACCGCTCTGGTAGGGAACGCTGGTAATGGGGGAAGCTATGTAGGTGTCGGCGTAGGGAGTACATGGAAAATCTCTACCTTCCCCTCATTTTACTATGAACCTGAACCTGCTCTAAAAATAGTCTTTTTAAAACATTTTTCTTCCTCTTCCTCCTCTTCCTCTTCTTCCTCTTCCTCTTCCTCTTCTTCTTCTTTCTTCTTTCTTCTTCTTATTCTTATTTTATTTTATTTTTTTTGAGACGGAGTCTCGCTCTGTCGCCCAGGCTGGGGTGCAGTGGCGCGATCTCAGCTCACTGCAAGCTCCACCTCCCGGGTTCACACCATTCTCCTGCCTCAGCCTCCCCAGTAGCTGGGACTGCAGGCGCCCGCCACCACGCCCGGCTAATTTTTCTGTGTGTTTTTAGTAGAGACGGGGTCTCCCCGTGTTAGCCAGGATGGTCTCGATCTCCTGACCTCGTGATCCATCCGCCTCGGCCTCCCAAAGTGCTGGGATTACAGGCGTGAGCCACTGCGCCCGGCTAAAAATAGTCTTTTAAAGAAAATTTCTCAACCCAAGCACTACTGTATGGAGACAGGGAGGGTCTCCAGGGATTATAGGAATTTAATCAACTTGAGCAATCAGCCTGTTTCACAGCCTTCTGCCCTGCAGCCTGTTTTTCTCCAAACCCTGTGTGGAATGCGGCCACTCGTTGGTTGGAACCAGCCTCTGACGGGCCCTGGCAACTTAGAGATGAACCCGAGTGAACTTTCTGCACTGCTGCGCTCAAGTCTCCATCCCGGGAGGAGCTGTAGTCTCGTTACCGTAACATGCGACCCGTGTGCTGGTATGACGACTCGCTGCATCTGCGTGACTGGGACCCTCCTCCACATACAACGACGCGCCCTCTCCCTGCTCCCTCACCCCATAGAGCCCTCCTGTCCCTTTTCCTCAGGGAGACACTGCTTTGAAGAATACACCCAGTGCCTTCCTTAGCTGTGTCAAGTCATAAAACTCTTCTTGATCAAAACCTCTGTATTAGTTTGTTCTCATGCTGCTAATAAAGACATACCCGAGACTGGTTCATTTACAAAGGAAAGAAGTTTAATGGGCTCATAGTTCCACTTGGCTGGGGAGGGCTAACAATCATGGCGGAAGATGAAGGAGGAGCAAAGTCACGTCTTACATGGCAGCAGGCAAGAAAGAGCGTGCAGGGGCGCTCCCATTTATAAAACCATCAGATCTCGTGAGACTTATTCACTATCACGAGAACAGAATGGGAAAAACCTGCTCCCGTGATTCAGTCGCCTCCCACAGGTCCCTCCCATGACACGTGGGGATTATTATTATTATTATTTTGAGACGGAGTCTCGCTCTGTCACCCAGGCTGGAGTGCAACGGCGTGATCTCAGCTCACTGCAACCTCCACCTCCCAGGTTCAAGTAATTCTCCTGCCTCAGCCTCCCGAGTAGCTGGGACTACAGCTGCCCGCCACCACGCTCGGCTAATTTTTTGTATTTTTAGTAGAGACGGGTTTCACTGTGTTATCCAGGATGGTCTCGATCTTCTGACCTCATGATCTGCCTGCCTCAACCTCCCAAAGTGCTTGGATTACAGGCGTGAGTCACTGCCCCCCATCGACACGTGGGGATCATTACAATACCAGGTGAGATTTGGGTGGGGACACAGAGCCAAACCACATCACCTGCATTCTCGGGAGAGTTGTTTGCTCCTCACCAGGCAAAGGAACCCTGTTTTTTTCTGGGTAACACTGTTGACTTTCGGGGCTAGGTTATTCCTTGGGGGAGGAGCTGTCCTGTGCATCCCCCGCCTCCACCCCCCACCACCCAGAAGCATCCCCCTCTCCTCTGGGTTGTGACAATCAAAAGTGTCTCCAGACTTTCCCTAGTGTCTGCATTTGGGACCCTTCTATTATTACTGCTGATTCCATGAGTACATGGTAATTACCCGCTGAGTTCCAGGGACTCCACTATAATTATCCAGCTGGTTTTGGGAGCTCCTGGTGCAATTATCCAGCTGGTTCCTGAGACTGCACCGCGATTCCTTAGCTGATTTCCATGACTCTACACACTGCCAGCGCCTGTACATAATTATACACTAGTTTCTAGAGCCTTTCTGTAATTATTCAGCCTTTTATAGAAATCTAATCATAACTACCTGGGCAATTTGTTTTGTTAAGTAGAGTGCTAATGAGTGGTCGCCAATGTTTCAGCTCCTCTTCTGAGTACCAGGGACGTGGGTAGAACTTTGATCCTATCTTATCCTTACAGGATATTGAGAGGAGAGGAGAGAAGTTGACATGGCACCACCCAGTGGAATGACATAGTCAGCACAGAGTGCAGTGGGAGCACAGAGGAAGAGTGCCAGGCCCATCGTGTCCAGCTGTGTAGGTTGTGCACTGCACAACTCTGGGGTCATATCACAAACTGTGAGTGTGAAGAGCCTTGTAAGGCTTCCAGGACAGGTTTCTAGGGGTCACCAGATGCAGTTCTAGAGCAAGGCTGAGGAATCCTGACTCCTAGAAAGAAGGGGGCAGGGAATTGCTGAGGACGTTTGAAGTCTAATGGGATGACACGTCCCCTGCTGTGACAGGCAGCTCAGGTTTCTAGTTGAAGTCTGGGAAGAAGAAGGCTCCATGAAGGCGCTTCTATTTGGAGTCATTTGTGTTACTTCCCAGCTCACTCAGGGTGATCATGGTGACCAACAGGGCTCTACACAGGACCTGTGGCCCCAACCCTCACCCCTCTGCATTCTCTTCCTGCCACTTCCCTCTTCCTACCCCTCTGTCTGCAACTGCCACACTATTCCCCCTGCTGAGCTTTGCACCCTCCAGACCCCCTGGACCACCGCTGCACTTTCTCATTTATCCAAATCACTCTCACCTTCTAGCTGACTGTGACTGTATAATGCCTGTGGGTTACTGCCCCTCTCCTTCTGCAAGAATATAAGCTCTTCCATGGAAAGGGTGTTTGTTTTCTATATTGGTGGACCTCTAGAGCCTCAAACAGTGTCTGGCACACAGGACAGGACCAACAAATACTTACTGAATGAAAAAAATGAATGCCAGATGGAAAAAATAAAAATGAACTAAGCAGGGAGTTTCTCCACTGTGGCCACAAGAGGGAGCCCAAGCTATGTGTTAAACCCTTCCAGCACTAAGGTGGGTGGTCTCTCTGCTCCTCAGCCTGGAGGACCAGGGACAGGTGTGACCTGAACCACGTCCTTTCTCCTCTGTGAGCCTCTATTTCCCCATGTGTAGCGTGGAGATGGAAATGCCTGAAAGGAGTTCCCGTAAGAAGCGGAAAAACCAACAACGCATGCACGTGAATGTCTTCCAAGGGGTTATTGCATGTGTCCAAATTCATCTGATTGTGTACATTAAGTGAGAAGGTTTTTTAGTAGAACAATTATAGCTAAACAAAGCTGCTAAAAATAAATGGAACAAAAATAAAGGAGAATTGCATTGAACAACAACATCCAAACCATTAGGCTAGCACAGGAAACTTGAAGGAGAGTAATCCAGCCCCTGATAAATCAACAGAGTAAGAAATATTAGTTACAGAAAGTGACCATAATGTTACCTTGGGATATTATTAAAGCATAAAACTAAATGGAAATTATGAAGCTGAAAAGTACAATAAATTTCTAGCAAGAGCCGGATGTGGTGGCTCATGCCTGTAATCCCAGCATTTTGGGAGACTGAGGGGAGTGGATCACCTGAGGTCAGGGGTTTGAGACCAGCCTGGCCAACATGGTGAAACCCCGTCTCTACTAAAAATACAAAAACTTAGCCAGGCATGGTGGTGCATGCCTGTAATCCCAGCTACTCAGGAGGCTGAGGCAGGAGAATTGCTTGAACTCGGGAGGTGGAGGTTGCAGTGAGCCGAGATTGCGCCATTGCACTCCAGCCTGGGCAACAAGAGCGAAACTCTGTCTCAACAATAACAACAACAGCAGCAACAACAACAAAAATCCTAGCACGATGAAGACATATTCACTAAAATCAATCATATGTCTATATACTGACAAAAATAATTCAATAATGAAATTAGGAGAGCAATTTTATTTACAAAGCCTCAAAAATAATAAAATGAATAGAAACCAATTTAATAAAGAAATGCAAGATGTGTACACTAAGAACTACAAAAGATTGCTGAGGGAAATTAAAGATCTAAATAAAGAGAGAAACACTTCATACATTCACAATGGCATGCAAAATAATAAGAAATAAAATTGGGCCAGGTGCAGTGGCTCACGCCTGTAATCCCAGCACTTTGGGAAGCCAAGGTGGGTGGATTGCTTGAGTTTGGGAGTTTGAGAACAGCCTGGGCAACATGGTGAAACCCTAGCTCTACAAAAAATACAAAAATTAACTGGGTATGGTGATGTGTGCCTATAGTCCCAGCTACTTGGGGGGCCAAGGTGAGAGGATGGCTTGAGCCCAGGAGGCAGAGGCTGCAGTGAATTGAGATTGCTCCACTGCACTCCAGGCTGGGTGACAGAGTGAGACTCTGTTTCAAAATAAAAAGATGAAATAAAACGAACAAAACA
Organism: Homo sapiens; assembly: GCF_000001405.40. NCBI lineage: Eukaryota > Metazoa > Chordata > Mammalia > Primates > Hominidae > Homo > Homo sapiens. The sequence goes on along the minus strand of NT_187693.1, from coordinate 372,467 downwards.
TGTTATCTTACAAAGCAGTATCATAATTTTAGGAACACACTGACCACATCCTTCCTCATTCTTAGGAAAGGAATCATGCTTCTGGAGGTTGCCCTGTGGCCCTGTAATCACGTCCAAATATACGTGATTGGTAAACGTGAAATCATTAAGATGAGTTCCATGAAAAATAAGAAAACAGCAAGAAATAAAGTCAGAACTCAAAAGTGTTTTTTGTTTTGTTTTGTTTTGTTTTTGAGATGGAGTCTCGCTCCATCGCCCAGGCTGGAGTGCAGTGGCACGATCTCGGCTCACTGCAACCTCCACCTCGCGGGTTCAAGGAATTCTCCTGCCTTAGCCTCCCGAGTAGCTGGGACTACAGGCGCCAGCCACCACGCCCGGCTAATTTTTGTATTTTTAGTAGGGACAGGGTTTCACCTTGTTGGTAAGGCTGGTCTCGAACTCACCTCAGGTGATCCACCTGCCTCGGCCTTCCGAAGTGCTGGGATGACAGGCGTGAGCCACCGCGCCCGGCCCAAAAGTGTTTTATAAGGGTTGTTGGGATGACATTGTTAATTTCTACAATGTGCTCCAGTCTGAAGGACTGCAGACTGTGGATGGGGAGCTCAAGTTCAAAGGCCACCTTCTTCCCTTCCTAGCGGAGGATCTTTGGGCAAGCTGCTTAACTTTGCTGTGACGCTGTTTCTGCGTTGGTAAGAGGAGTAGCAATAGTATCCAACGTGAGTGTTTTAGGGGTCGTGAGATGAGTCAGTGCATGCCCAGTGCTTTGAACTGTATCTTGACAAAGCGAGAGCTTCATAGCCACTGTTATTGTGGTATCTCGTCTTTGAGCCACCACCTTTCCATCTGTAAAACAGACTTGGGGTGCTCCATCTCTCCAGTCTTGAAAGGTTCTTTGCAGTAGTTTGCAGTGTAGCAGGTCGTGCTGGGGCCCGAGAGGACTCCAAAGCAGTTCTTGTCCTGGAAAGTCTCAGCTTCCGGGGGCGCTGAGACGCCAGCTGCTGTTATGGCAGCTGAGTCCTGTACGGCACAGAGACACGGGACTGAACGTGAAGGCTGGAGAAGGGGGAGAAACTTGGAGGAGGGAAACTTGCTGCAGAGAAAATTTGGAAAGGTGGGGAGAGAGGAAGGCGTTGCCCGGGGGCACTGGGAGTCTGGGGAAGCCGTGGCATCCAGGTGGAGACGTTCAACAGGCAGCGAGAGTTTCGCCCGCAAGCAGGGAGGAGGGAGCTCACTTTTGTTTCTGAACCGGGGAGGCCGGGTTCTGTGCTGGGAGTTTACTCTGCACGGCTGCAGTTACTGCTGCACGGGAGTTACTGCTGCACGGGAGTTACTGCTGCACGGCTTTACTCCTCCCAGAGCCAGCGTCCTCGTCTATATATAAAACAGAGGTGAACATAGGAACCCTCTACAGGATCCTCGTGGGGATTAAATGAGGCTCGCAGATGGAAGCTGTTGCCTGCTGCGGAGCCTCTTCCTGCAGACGCAGATGTGGGTGTGGATAACACAGATCTGGGCGCAGATCTGCAGGGGCAGGTGCATCCGCCCCTCCCTGCGAGGATGGGAGCCCAGCCTTGCGCCGTGACTCCCAGGAGGGGAGGTTTTCTTCTAGGTACGGAGGCTCTTCTAGGGCTGGACACAGGCATCAGCCCGCAAGTTGCTGCTACTTAGGATGAGAGCAATGTGGGAACTGGCGCCCACAATCGACTTCTGTGAAGAAAAAAACAGGAACTTGAACTTGGGTGAAAAGTTGAGCGTCGTGGAATGCCTGGGAAAATAATTTTTAAAAAATTTAATACAGATAAAGGCAGAATAGCCACTACACACACCCTAGGTGCTGAGGCTCACGGGGCACACCTATGGGAGTCTCCCGGACCCCCAAACCTATAGAAGCTCTCTGCAGACACTTGCAATTACAAAAAAAAAAAAACCTTACTCTATCGAGGAATAATTGACATATAAAAAGCAGTATGTATTTAACATATACGACTTGATGAGTTTGGAGATGAGTATGCCCTGTGTGTCAACACCACAGTTTACGACATAAACCCATCCACCACCTCTCACAGGTTCCTCCCGTCTATTTGTATATTATTATTGTTTGATACTATTTTTATGGCCACATATCAATTTGTGATGATAAGAGCACTTAACAAAAGATCTATCTTCTCAGCAAATGTGTAAGCACACAATACTGTATTGTTACCTGCTGGCACTACACCGCACAGGAGGCTCTGAGACCTCCTCATCTTGCATGACTGAAACTCTAGGGAGAAAATCTGAAGGGGTCAGTCACAGAAGGAGGTCTTGACACCTTATCTGTTTCCACCTAAGCCTGTACTCCCAGCTCCTCATAGGTGGCCATTTTATTTTATCTTCTTAAACAAAAATAATTTTGTTTTTCCTAGTTACGACTGACACATGCTTAATGTAAAAAAATTCGGCCAGCACGGTGGCTCACCCCTATAATCCCAGCACTTTGGGAGGCTGAGGTGGGCAGATCGCCTGAGGTCGGGAGTTTGAGACCAGCCTGACCAACATGGGGAAACCCTGTCTCTACTAAAAATACAAAATTAGCTGGGCGTGGTGGCGTATGCCTCTAATCCCAGCTACTCAGGAGGCTGAGGCAGGAGAATCACTTGAACCCGGCAGGCGGAGGTGGTGGCGAGCCGAGATTGCACCATTGCACTCCAGCCTGGGCAACAAGAGTGAAACTCCATCTCAAAAAAAAAAAAAAATTCACCCAGGCATGGTGGCTCACACCTGTAATCCAAGCATTTTGGGAGACAGAGGCAGGCGGATCGCTTGAGCCCAGGAGTTAGATACAAAATACAAAAATTAGCCGGGTGTGCGTGGCACGCTTCTGAAGTCCCAGCTACTCGGGAGGCTGAGTTGGGAGGTTGACCTGAGCCCTGCGAGGTTGAGAGTGCAGTGAGCTACGATCGCGTCCTGCACTTCAGCCTGGGTGACAAGAGCAGGACCCTTTCTTTAAAAAAAAAAAGTCCAGGGACCAGGCGCGGTGGCTCATGCCTGTAATCCCAGCATTTTGGGAGGCCAAGGCTGGTGGATCACAAGGTCAGGAGATTGAGACCATCCCGGTCAACACGGTGAAACCCCATCTCTACTAAAAATACAAAAAATTAGCCTGGCGTGGTGGCGGGCGCCTGTGGTCCCAGCTACTTGGGAGGCCGAGGCAGGAGAATGGCATGAACCCAGAAGGCAGAGCTTGCAGTGAGCCGAGATGGCACCACTGCACTCCAGCCTGGGCGACAGAGCGAGACTCCGTCTCAAAAAAAAAAATCCAAATAAAACAACTCATAAAAAATGAAATGAGAGAATTTGAAACCCTCATTACCTCATGTTAATCACAGCAAACATTTCTGTTAACACTTTCTCAGAAATCTCTCCTTCCATAAACATGTGTGTAAATGTACATATATAACTTAATGTATGTAACTTCTACATACATGTGTTTTTCCTGTTTTGTTCACTCAACAATACCCTTGACATCTTTCATGTCAATAAAAGTAAAACAACATCATCCTTTTTTTTTTTTTTTCTTTGAGACAGAGTTTCGCTGTGTGGGGCAGCCCGGAGTGCAGTGGCACGATCTCAGCTCACTGCAACCTCCGCCTCCCAGGCTCAAGTGATTCTCCTGCCTCGGCCTCCTGAGTAGCTGGGATTACAGGTGTGCGCCACCATGCCAAGCTATTTTTTTTATTTTTAGTGGAGATGAGGTTTCATCCTGTTGGTCAGGCTGGTCTCAAACTCCTGACCTCAGGTGATCCGCCCGCCTTGGCCTCCCAAAGTGCTGGGATTACAGGCATGAGCCGCCGTGCCCGGCCAGCAGCATCATTTTTAATGCTAATCCAGTATTTCATTGCATAGGGGTGCCATTATTTAACCTTTAAATGTCCAGTAAACAATGGCCAATATTGTTTCTGATTCACTATTCGTTCTACAAGTATTTGCTGAGCATCTATTATGTGCCAGGCCCTAAGTACCGGTGATAGAGTGATGATCAAGACAGACAAGGTCCCTGGCCAAGTGAAGTCTCCATTCTAATGGGGAGAGAGGGACAGCGTACAAGTCAAAGAGTAGATAATTAGAAAGGAGGATGAACGTCAAGAGAGAATGAAGACAAATCTTCTTAGCAAAGGGATGGGTGTCAGGGGAGTGGACTTCTTTCAACAGAGTGATCTGAGAAGGCCCTTCTTGCTAAGATGATGCTGAGCAGAGACCTGGAGGCTGTGGTGCAAAGCAGGAGGTCGGTGCACCCAGGCAGAGACGCAGAGTCCCAAGGCAGGGAGGGACCTGGTGTCTTCAAGGAACAGCAGGAATGTCATGTGGCCTGAGGGCAGGGAGTGAGGGGCACAGGGACCAACATGAAACTGGAGAGGTGAGTGAGTGTCCCGTAGGTCACAGAGTTTGGGTTTTGGGCGAAGTACATCATGAATCACTGGAGATTTCAATGGTAGCAAGACATGATTTGACTGACCCTTTGAAAACATCACCCTGGCTACAATGAGGAGAACAGCTAAGAAGCAGCAAATGAACACAGAGACACCACTTAGGGAATGTTCCCTGGACGAGGAGAGAGAGGGTGAACCTGGCGCCGTGGTGCTGGCAAGCAGTGTCTGCATGAGGACAGATTCTGGAGGTAGAACAAGGGGAGAGGGTGAGAAAGAGGAGCAGTCGAGGTGATTTCTAGGACCGCAGCTTGTTCAGGTGGTGGACGGGGAAGAAAACGTGGGAGAGCCACAATTTTAACTTTCTCATATTAATCCTTCCAGTGTTTGTTTCTGGGTGAATATGAGTCAATATGAATGTATATTCTGATTCCCCCAATTCTTGGCACAATACAGATGACATCCTGATGTCGTTTAATCTCTAAGAATACACTCTGGGATCTCTCCATAGGAATACATAGGCTATTTTCTTCCTTCCTTCCTTCCTTCATTCCTTCCTTCCTTCCTCCCTCCCTCCCTCCCTCCCTCCCTCCCTCCCTTTCTTTCTTTTTTTTTTTTTTTTTTTTTTTTGAGACGGAGTCTCGCTCTGTCGCCCAGGCTGGAGTGCAGTGGCGGGATCTCGGCTCACTGCAAGCTCTGCCTCCGGGTTCACGCCATTCTCCTGCCTCAGCCTCCCAAGTAGCTGGGACTACAGGCGCCCGCCACTACGCCCGGCTAATTTTTTGTATTTTTAGTAGAGACGGGGTTTCACCGTTTTAGCCGGGATGGTCTCGATCTCCTGACCTTGTGATCCGCCCGCCTCGGCCTCCCAAAGTGCTGGGATTACAGGCGTGAGCCACCGTGCCCGGCCCTTTCTTTCATTTTTTGAGACAGAGTCTCACTCTGTTGCCCGGGCTGAAGTACAGTGGTGCAATCTCAGTTCACTCCAACCTCCACCTCCCGGGTTCAAGCAGTTCTCCTGCCTCAGCTTCTGGAGTGGCTGGGACTACAGACATGCCTGGCTAATTTTTTTGTATTTTTAATAGAGACAGGGTTTCACCATGCTGGCCAGGCTGGTCTGGAACTACTGACCTTGTGATCTGCCCGCCTCGGCCTCCCAACGTGCTGGGATTACAGCCGTGAGCCACTGCACCCGGCCACAGGCTATTTTCAAACGCATTTCTCCCTTGTCAACTTCCAGAGTGACTGATGAGAAGTCTGATGTGATTATAATAATAGAAACCGGCCGGGCGCGGTGGCTCACGCCTGTAATCCCAGCACTTTGGGAGGCCGAGGTGGGCGGATCACGAGGTCAGGAGATCGAGACCATCCTGGCCAACATGGTGAAACCCCATCTCTACTAAAAATACAAAAAATTAGCCGGGCGTGGTGGCGGGCGCCTGTGGTCCCAGCTACGCGGGAGGCTGAGGCAGGAGAATGGCGTGAACCCGGGAGGCAGAGCTTGCAGTGAGCTGAGATCGCGCCACCGCACTCCAGCCTGGGCGACAGAGTGAGACTCCGTCTCAAAAAAAAAAAAAAAAAAAAAAAAAAAATAGAAACTTAGTGCACAGTTGTCTGTTTTCTCTCACCTAGAATATGTTTATTTTCTTTTTCTTTTGTTTCTGAAAGCGTCGTGACAATGCACCTGGGTGAGTTCCTTGGGCACTTACTGGGGCATTTCTTCTGTTAACCTTGTGTTTGCTGCTTTTCTGGACCCTTCCTGCACCTCCCCTTGACTTCCTTTCTCCTTCCAGCTCCACAAGTTGCATGCTCAGTAAGTAATTTCCCAAACTTCGTGTTTTCTAAAAAAAAAAAAAAAGTGTACATTTTCCCCTAAGTAGGACTTTTATTGCATTCAGCAAGTTTCGATATGAATCACTGTCTCTGCTCATTTCTAAATATTTTATGTCTCCTGTGTTTTTTAAGTCTGAACTCATAAGTTGTACTGAATTTTTAGTTTTAAAAATGTATTTTTAAATCTTTTAATATTTAATCTTTTACATAAATTTGTAGTCACAGAATATGGTCTGTATTTCTTTTTTTTCTTTTCTTTTTCTTTTCTTTTCTTTTTTCTTTTTTTTTTTTTTTTTTTTTTTTTTTTTGAGACGAAGTTTTGCTCTTGTTGCCCAGGCTGGAGCGCAATGGCACAATCTCGGCTCACTGCAACCTCCACCTCCCGAGTTCAAGCAATTCTCCTGCCTCAGCCTCCCAAGTAGCTGGGATTACAGGCATGCACCACTACGCCCGGCTAATTTTGTGTTTTTAGTAGAGACGGGGTTTTGCCATGTTGGCCAGGCTGGTCTCGAACTCCTGACCTCAGGTGATCCGCCCTCCTCGGTCTCCCAAAGTGCTGGGATTACAGGCATGAGCCACTGTGCCCAGTCATGGTTTGTATTATATGAAGTTTTTGGAAGATTTTGAGACTTCCTGGGTGGATTAATAAGTCATCAATTTTTGTAAATGCTTCATTTGTTCTTGAAAAGGATGTGGATTCTCTGCTGATGCTGTTTTGTACATATAATGACAACACCAATAATGAAAATATAACAGCGACAATAACAATCATATTAACGATAAACGTTAGAGCTCTTACCAGATGACAGGCTCAGTCTGACTACTTTTTTTAAAGAAAGCATGCTTACTTTTGCCTTATATTTATGATTATGATTATGATTATTTTTTGAGATGGAGTTTTGCTCTCGTTGCCCAGGCTGGAGTGCAATGGTTTGATCTCTGCTCACTGCAACCTCTGCCTCCCGGGTTCAAGCGATTCTCCTGCCTCAGCCTCCTGAGTAGCTGGGATTACAGGCATGTGCTACCACGCCCAGCTAATTTTGTATTTTTAGTAGAGGCAGGGTTTCTCCCTGTTGGTCAGGCTGGTCTCAAACCCCCGACCTCAGGTGATCCGCCCTCCTCAGCCTCCCAAAGTGCTGGGATTACAGCTGTAAACCACCATGCGCAGCCGATTATTTTTTATTTGTATACGTTTATGGGGTACGAGTGTAACTTTGTTGCATGGATAGATTCCAGAATGATGAAGTTAGGGCTTTCAGGGATCCACTAACCCAGTGACATACATTGTATCCGTTACGTAATTTTTTTTTTTTTTTTTTTTTTTTGACGGAGTCTTGCTCTGTCACCCAGGCTGGAGTGCAGTGGCGTGATCTCAGCTCACTGCAACCTCTGCCTCCCGGGTTCAAGCGATTCTCCTGCCTCAGCCTATCTGATTACTTTTAACATAATAACTCACCGAATAGTCACAAAAATTTTATGAGTTCTGTACAATTACTTTGTATTTTTTTTTTTTTTTTTTTTTTGAGACGGAGTCTTGCTCTGTCGCCCAGGCTGGAGTGCAGTGGCGCGATCTCAGCTCACTACAAGCTCCACCTCCCGGGTTCACGCCATTGTCCTGCCTCAGCCTCCCGAGTAGCTGGAACTACAGGCTTGCGCAACCACGCCCGGCTAATTTTTTGTATTTTTAGTACAGACGGGGTTTCACCGTGTTAGCCAGGATGGCCTCGATCTCCTGACCTCGTGATCCGCCCGCCTCGGCCTCCCAAAGTGCTGGGATTACAGGCGTGAGCCACCTTGCCCGGCTGAAAAATTTTTTTTACAGAGGAAGAAGTAGAGGAACAGAGAGGTTAATAAACTTACTCTAAAGTCACAAAGCTTATAACTGGTACAACCATAATTAAAAGCTAGAGATCTGGCTTCTAGAATTGTACTCAGTAATCATGCCCTTGTAGCCTTCCTTATACTTCCTATATACTGTATATGTCTATTCATTCATAAGTTTAGAGATTTTAGATACTCAACAAATATTCATTCAAAAAAATTTATTGAGTATCTATTGTGTGCCAGGGACTGTCCTAGGTGCAGGGACACTATAGGAAACACTGCAGAAAAAACATCTATGACTTCATGGAGATATATTCTAATGGGGGGGCAGATCATAAACAATATTAATAAATAAAATATATGCAAGATTAGTGATATATGCTGAAGAAAGAAAAAAAGGCAGTGAGAGGTGATATGAAATCTGGAGGGAGTGTTGCAACTTTAGATAGGATGGTCCAAGAAGACCTGAAGGAGAAGGGAATATTGGAGTCAAGAGTGAAGGAGGCAGAGAGTGAGCCCCATGCATCTCTGGGGGAAGAGTGTTCCAGGCAGAAAGCATGGCACATGCAAAGGTCCTGAGGCAGATGCATGCTTGGTGTATTCTAGGAACAGCAAGGATGTCCATGTGGCTGGATCAGGGTCACGAAGGGGAAAGTGGGAGGAGATACAATCAGAGTGCTAAGCCAAGAGGTGGGTGGGGGAGAGAAGATGCAAAGTCTTGTCAATATGACCTTGGTGGGAAGTTCTGGAACGCTTTTGGGCATAAGAGTGTATTAGTCCATCCTGGGTGCCAATTTTCTGTATTAGTCCGTTCTTGTATTGCTGTAAAGAAATACCTGGCACTGGGAAACTTACAAAGAAAAGAAGTTTAATTGGCTCATGGTTCTGCAAGCTGTACAGGAAGCACAGTGGCTTCTGCTTGGCTTCTGGGGAGGCCTCAGGAGGCTTTCAGTCATGGTGGAAGGCAAAGGAGGAGCAAACACTTTACATGGCTGGAGCAGGAGGGAGAGAGAGAGAGAGAAGAGAGGTGCCATACACTTTTAAACAACCACATCTAATGAGGACTCACTCACTATCGTGAGAACAGCACCGAAGGGGATGGTGACAAACCATTCATGCTGGAGCCACCCCCATGAGCCAATCACCTCCCACCAGTCCCCACCATTCATACCGGAGCCACCCCCATGAGCCAGTCACCTCCCACCAGTCCCCACCATTCACGCAGGAGCCACCCCCATGAGCCAATCACCTCCCACCAGTCCCCACCATTCACGCAGGAGCCACCCCCATGAGCCAATCACCTCCCACCAGTCCCCACCATTCATGCAGGAGCCACCCCCATGAGCCAGTCACCTCCCACCAGTCCCCACCATTCATGCAGGAGCCACCCCCATGAGCCAATCACCTCCCACCAGTCCCCACCTCCAACACTGGAGATGACAATTCGACATGAGATTTGGTGGGGACACAGATCCAAACCATACTAAGGAGTGACACAAAGTGGCCAGTGCTTTTGCTATACTGCCATTTTATTGCCAAATCGTATTTTATGATCAGCATGCCTTATTTTATGGAATTGGACTTGCACTTTGGAGGGAGACTTTGATTTTCATGAAGGCATGTGGCATGCATGTGATAATGATGCCAGCAGTCCAGGTAAGCTGCTGTCAGCCCTTTCTCCAGGACATCACCCCCCGGTGTGAGTAGCTGGGCATTACCCTTGTACTTCCACTCTGGGGGCTGGTCACTAGGACCTGGCGGCAGGTACCCGGGACCTTCACTCTCTAAGAAGACACCTTGGGTTTCACCTGATGACCACTCCTTGCTCCTGAGGGGCATCCTTCCTGCTCTACCTGGACGTTGCTTTTGTTGTGTTCCTCTCAGCCACCTGTACAGGGACCATTGCTTCCAATGAAGAGGTCTTCTCCAAGAAGGGCTCCTTCCAAATTCATGGTCTTGATTAATGCAAAAATTTCACAGGAATAATAAAACATTTCATAGGAATCAGCTCTTGGCTAATTTTCCCCCATTGCCTGATCATCTTTTGAGTCATTTACTGCTTAATCTTTTGTAGAATCCACCTTCTTTTGACAAAGCTCTGTTCTCAAGGGAATGATTTCCCAGAATGACAGCCATAAAGTTAGCTATTGTCTTCTCTCATCCGGACCCACCCAAAACTCCAGAAACGAGCTTGGCTGGCACGGTGCATGAGCAGGCATCCCTGTGGCTTGGAGCAGCCATTGCTGTGTCTGATTGGCTGTGATCCTTGGGAGAATCGTTATCTTCTTACAAGACAACTCTGCTACTGTGTGGAGAACAGATTAATAGAGGAGGAATGTTAGATGCAAGAAGGATTAGTTAGGAAGCTCTTGCAATGATCCAGGTACAGCAGACAGTGGTTCAGGCTCGGGTGGTCTCCAAGAGGTGGAGAGAAATGATACTATTCTGGAGATATTTCAAAGGGAAATGTCTGATAATGTACTCACAGCTGTGGGATATGAGGAAAAACATGGAGTCAAGGGTAACACTTATTTTTTTTTTTTGCCCAAATAACTAGTGGCTGGAATTCTCATTTACTGAGATGGGAAAGACCTTAGGAGGAGGAGATTTGGGAGTGAATATAAGCAACTTATATTATAACATGTTATAAACACGTGAGGTTTAAGTTCCTACTGGACATCTACTGTGTGGCTTGATGTTTTTGATTCATTTTAGGAAATATTGTTCAGTAACCCTTCCAATATCGTGTCTGCCTTTCTCTTTCTCTGTCTTTCTTCCCCTTATGGGATTCCAGTTGTACATATGTTAAGTATTTTCACCATGTCCCGTATTTTCTTTTTTTTTCTTTTTCTTTTTTGAGATGGAATCTCACTCTGTCACCCAGGCTGGAGTGTAGTGGCACCATCTCGGTTCACTGCAACCTCCGCCTCCTGGGTTCAAGCGATTCTCCCGCCTCAGCCTCCTGAGTAGCTGGGATTACAGGCATGCGCCACTGAGTCCGGCTAATTTTGTATTTTTAGTAGAGATGGGGTTTCTCCCTGTTGGTCAGGCTGATCTCAAACCCCCAAGCTCAGGTGATCCACCCGCCTTGGCCTCCCAAAGTATTGGGATTACAGGTGTGAGCCACCGCGTCCGGCTGTGTTTGTTCTTATATTTGCTAGTTCTTTGTTGAAATTCTTCATCCTGCTCCTACTCAGCTTTTTGGTCTCTCATCTGCTGCCTTTAGTTTCAGAATCAGCAAACCGTTAACATAAAACTAACCTCAAAGGATAAAGTCCCCTTGCTTGGTTTCCTTCCTCTTTTATGTCTTGGAACCCTAAATTCTCTCTGCCTTGGAAGCATGCCAAGTTCTACAGACAGATGTTCTTTGGTTTTTGTTCATCTTTTACAGTTGTTGTTGTTTTTTTTGTTTTTTTTTTGTTTTTGAGACGGAGTCTCACTCTGTTGCCCAGGCTGGAGTGCAGTGGCGCGATCTCGGCTCACTACAATCTCCACCTCCCGGGTTCAAGCGATTCTCCTGCCTCAGCCTCCAGGGTAGCTGGGACTACAGGAACCCACCAACACGCCTGGCTAATTTTTGTATTTTTAGTAGAGAAGGGGTTTCACCATGTTGGCCAGGATGGTCTCGATCTCTTGACCTCATGATCTGCCTGCCTCGGCCTCCCAAGGTGATGGGATTACAGGCGTGAGCCACCGCGCCTGGCCTAAAGTTTTTTTTTTTTTTTTTTTTAATTAACGGTGAGAAGTTTAGTCTAAAACAACCTAGTCAGATATTTCTGGAAGCCAAACTTCCATCAGCATTTCTTCTGAGCCTACCTCCCAGTCATAAATCCACATATTTACTGAAATTCCTGCTGTGATAATTCCAGTGCAAACAAATCATCACTGTCCTGGAAGGCAAGAACTTTTTAACTGGTCTATCCACACTTGGTTTTTCTTGTTTTCTTTAAGAAATACAATGATATATCAATAATAGGTAAGGACGGCCGGGTGCGGTGGCTCACGCCTGTAATTCCAGCATTTTGGGAGGCCGAGGTGGGTGGATCATGAGGTCAGGAGATGCAGATCAGCCTGGTCAACATGGTGAAACCTCGTCTCTACTAAAAATACAAAAGTTAGCCAGGCGTGGTGGTGGGCGCCTGTAGTCCCAGCTACTCAGGAGGCTGAGACAAGGAGAATTGCTTGAACCTGGGAGGCGGAGGTTGCAGTGAGCCGAGATCATGCCACTGAACTCCAGCCTGGGTGACAGAGCAAGACTCTGTCTCAATAATAATAATAATAATAATAATAATAATAATAATAATAATAGGTAAGGACATACTTTCTTCCTGGGTTGAAATCCAGTTCCTTCCATGAAATTATGCATGTTAATACATGACACTAATCAAACTAATTAACCTCTGAGTTCAGTGTTCTCATCATTAAAATGAGTCTAGTGATGAAAACACCTTTCCAAAGTTGTTGGGAAAATTAAGTAAACTATCCATACTGGGGACTCAGGGCAGTGTCTGGCATAAAGTAAATGCTCAGAAAACGTTACCTCTTACTGTTTTTGCTTCGTGCAATTCTGACTTCAGGAAGTGGTCTTACAGATACATTTTAGACAAAAATATGATGATGCCATACTTATGCTCAAAACCTGTCCCACTCTCTTGAGGGTAAAATACCAAAACTTTATTTGGCCTTTTAGAGACTCCTGCTCAATCAGTACACATATTCTTCGTATTATTTTTCCATCTGGAGTCCACTCAACTTACAACAGGAAAAATTGTCTCCTGATTAGGGCTTTCACAGAAGCTGTCTCCTCCGTCCACGTCTCCCCCAGCTGCTCTTCCTGTCGCCAGCTCGTCAGTCCTCAGCCCCAATTCCACTCCACACTGCAGGTGGCTTCCCTGGAGTTAGCTCTGAGGGTTGAGTCCCCTTTTCACACAAGGTCGTAGGATTTTTTTTTTTTTCTGAGACGGAGTCTTGCTCTGTCCCCAGGCTGGGGTGCAGTGGCTCGATCTCGGCTCACTACAACCTCTGTCTCCCAGGTTCAAGTGATTCTCATGCCTCAGCCTTCCAAGTAGCTGGGACTACAGGTGTGCACCACCACACCCAGCTTAGTTTTGTATTTTTAGCAGAGACGGGGTTTCACCATGTTGGCCAGGATGGTCTCCACCTCTTTTTTTTTTTTTTTTTTTGAGATGGAGTCTCGCTCTGTCGTCCAGGCTGGAGTGCAGTGGCACGATCTTGGCTCACTGCAAGCTCCGCCTCCCAGGTTCACGCCATTCTCCTGCCTCAGCCTCCCAAGTAGCTGGGACTACAGGTGCCCGCCACCATGCCCGGCTAATTTTTTTGTATTTTTAGTAGAGATGGGGTTTCACCGTGTTAGCCAGGATAGTCTCGATCTCCTGACCTTGTGATCTACCTGTCTTGGCCTCCCAAAGTGCTGGGATTACAGGCGTGAGCCACCGCACCCGGCTGGTCTCCATCTCTTGACCTTGTGATCTGCCTGCCTTGGCCTCCCAAAGTGCTGGGATTACAGGCGTGAGCCACTGCGCCTGGTCACATTCAGATTTTTTATTTAAAAGGCACGGATGAGCCCTTTCCACTCTCTCTTCCTCTTTCCCCTCACTGGTAACAGAGCACTCCAAGGTTCTAGGGGAGGTTGGACCCCAAAGTTGGAAGAATCTGGGCACCTGAGTCACCTGATGGAGGAGCTCCAACTGCCAACCGGGGGCCCCCATATGGACGTGTCACCCAGTGAGAAGTGAGCCTTCCATTGTGACAAACTGCAGGTATTTCAAGGCTAATTTGTTAAAATCTACGGTTAATATGCTATATATGACTTTTGAATAGTCAGAGGTGTGCCCTCCACATTAGACTGTGAGGTCCGTTGACTTGTGTGGCTCGTCTCTGACACAGACTCAAGCCCTTAATAGGCGCCTGGAAACGTATGTTTTCGTTCACACAAAAAGGAAGTTGACCAAGCCCCCTTGATGAAGCCTCACTGGGGAGGTGGCCCATCGAAGGTTGTATATTGTGAATGGGGCGAAGGCAGCGTCGCCGTCTCCTTCAAGTCTGACCTCCAGGTTGGTGTTCAGATTCCCCCTCCACACCCCACAGCCGTGGTTGCCCGTCTGGATTTGGTGTTTGGGTCAGAGATGACGTTCGGGCCGGGCGTATGGATGATGATGTCCAAGGAGACAGTTCTCTCCTTTACCCCAGTCACAGGAAGGAAGAACTAAGCCTCATGGTGACTTCCTGGGAGATACGTGGTAAGAAGCCACAAGACGGTTGGGACTGAGTCTCTGCGCACCGCATCCTGAGCCTCTGCATTCTGCACAGCGGGGCGGGCGCAGGCAGCACGGTGCCCCTTACCATGCTTTCTTCCTGGACTTTCCCTTGACCAGTCTTGGCACGGCAGGCGAGGGATTGAGGGATTGGGGCTGGGAGGTGGGGAAGACAGCTCTCTCCCTGGGCCCATGTCTGGTTAGATCAATGCTGTGGGAGCTTAGCGATCGAAGAGGGAGCAGAGATGACGGCGGGACGGCATTGTCTGCCCAAGCCTCAGGCTTCGCAGCCCAGGCTGGGACCAAGAGCTTACAGACGTCATCGAGTGCAGATTTTGAGCGACGTACTGAGCATTGTAAATCCAGATTTCTCTTCCAGAGCTGAGTCTGGGCCACAGGACCTGGACACAGGAGGGTCAGTCTTTCCGGTAATGGTGAGGGTCTGTCTTCTTGGAGCAGCACAGCGGACTCCCACCAGGACAGTGGATGCTGGGTACGGAAGGGCTGGGCTGAGGACAGTGGATGCTGGGTACCGAAGGGCTGGGCTGAGGGGGTCACTTTGGCAGTGGTTCTGGAGTCTAAATTTCTAAGGGCCTGGAACTCAGGAGACTCTAGATGCTGATTCTTTTCTGGAGAACTTCTCCAGAGTCACCATCCTGGCTTGTGCAGACTCAACATTCCACCTGAAGAGCTCTGGGAACCTCTGGGGCTGGGAGCCTTCTGGGCCTGATGAGTTCTGTTGGGATGGAGAAGATGATCTTGAAGTTAAAGATTTCAGTGGGAGTCCAGGAAAACGTCGCAGCTGTCCATCATACCCACAACAGCAAACGACTCAGGACTTTGCCAAGGTCACTGCGGCAGCCAAAACCACAGCTGTGATCTGGGGCCGGACTCATACCCAGGGGTTGTCTGGGTTCAGGTTCTGCACCCCCGGTTCAGAGAAAGAGGAAACGGAGTGGGCCGTGTGGACCCCGTCCTTCATCGAACTCCAGAACTAAGGGAACTGGGAGGGGAGAAGGCCGTCACCCTTGCACAGAGCTGCCTCCTTCAGTTCTAGTGGTTTCTACTCCTCTCTGCAGGTTAGCTAAGACGTGCATGGGTTCCAGAGGGAATATGACAATATTTCTCTTTAATATTACTTGAACCTTTGGTTTTGATTTCCTTCTAAGTACAGGGGAGTCAATCACCCCACATGGTCCATCAATCAGGTGTCACAACATCATGCTCCTGGGCTATACATTCTCAGGTACATTTCTTCTTGAGATTATTTTTCACGTGAGGCAGAAATATGTGGCTGCTCACCAGAAAAAAAAAAAATTCTGTACTTACCCTTACAGTGCAAGCATTGGAACCTCTGGGAAGTGGCTACCCCCACCAAGGGACTTTTTCCCTGGTCTTGTTGCATCATTGTGTGACTGTTCATAACACTATTTATAGCCAACAATTCTGGACAGAAATGACATGTGTCAGCAAATTTTGCAAGTGCACAGATATATTCTGTTTCTCCTTCTTTCTTGCTGTTTGAAGTACGGGACGCCATTGCCCAAGGGCATGATGGGAGCACAATGGAGGAAGCGGGTGTCCCTGAGTCATCCTGGGGAGAAAATTCAAATTCTGCCCCAGAGAAAACCGCACTGGTCATTTACATGAGTGAAAAGCCAAATCCCATTGTGTTAAGCCATTGGTGCGATCTCGGCTCACTGCAACCTCTGTCTCCCTGGTTCGAGCTGGGATTACAGGTGTGCACCACCACTCTTGGCTCTCACTCTTGTCTCACAATAGTCGTGAAATAATTTGTGATTTGCTATTTGACCCTGTTCCCATAATCATTACACTAAGAGCTAGGTTGAGGGCAGGGACTGGATCTGTTTTGTTCATTCCTGAATCTCAAACACCAAGCGTATAAGAGGTAATTGATAAATATTGGTCTATCGACTTATTTATTTTATTTATTTATTTATTTTTGAGACGGAGTCTCGCTCTGTCACCCTGGCTGGAGTGCAGTGGCGCGATCTCGGCTCACTGCAAGCTCCGCCTCCCGGGTTCATGCCATTTTCCTGCCTCAGCCTCCCAAGTAGCTGGGACTACAGGTGCCCGCCACCACGCCCAGCTAACTTTTTGTATTTTTTTAGTAGAGATGGGGTTTCACCGTGTTGGCCAGGATGGTCTCGATCACCTGACCTCGTGATCTGCCCGCCTTGGCCTCCCAAAGTGCTGGGATTACAGGCGTGAGCCACCACACCAGGACTGGCTTTTTAATTTAATTTTGTTTTTTTAGGACAGAGTTTCGCTCCTGTTGCCCAGGCTGGAGTGCAGTGGTGCGATTTCGGCTCACTGCAACCTCTACCTCCTGGGTTCAAGCAATTCTCCTGCCTCTCAGCCTCCCAAGCAGCTGGGATTACAGGCGCCCGCCACTATGCCCCTCTAATTTTGTATTTTTAGTAGAGATGGGGTTTCACCAGGTTGGCCAGGCTGGACTCGAACTCCTGACCTCAAGTGATCCATCCGCCTCGACCTTCCAAAATGCTG